>NC_000011.10:1272121-1575151 GCF_000001405.40 Homo sapiens | reverse complement strand
GCATGCATTTTACCACAAGAAAAAATCATACGGTTTTTAAAGAAATAACGGGAGAAAAAGTCTACTTGAACAGCTGGGATGGGCATTGTATTGAGTTAGCTATGCCTTGACTTAAAAAAGTTGGGGAAATAGTGGCATGGAGGTTTGCTACACATAATTAGTTGCAACGATTATATGCACATTAGCGAGAAAAGTGAACCCCACTGTTCCTTCTGCGCAATAGGGATGCTTTAAGAAACGACCTTGGACGTCCTCCCGGAGGCGAGAGGAGCTTCAGGCGGCCGAGCCTGCGCCACGGCCTGCGGACGGCAGAGGGCGCGCGCGAACCGCCGGGCCGGCCCCGCTCGGACCCCCACCTGCACGGCCCGGAGCGCGCGTCCCCGCCCCAGGCTGCTGGACCCCCGCACGTCCCTCGCCGCGGCCTTGGCGCCTCCCCGGCCCCTCGCAAGGTCCTCCCGAGCCCCAGAGACCCCCGAGGCGGCGTCTACAGGCCCGGGCCGGGACTGACACCGCAGCCCCCTCCCTGGTCGCGCCTCCCACCCCCGTCCACACCTGTGCCGGGAGGCGGTGCGGCCGCCGAGCTGAGCTGAGCCGAGCCGACCTGGTCGGGCACCCAGGCCCCTGAGCCCACCGCCCAGGCCGGCCTCTGCTGGGTGCAAAGGCAACGTGGAACTAAGGCGGGGCTGCAGAAAAACCACCGTCCTCCCCAGGGTGCCACCTCCCTAGTCCGCCAGCCTGGTTAGGGGCAGAACCTAACGCTCTCAGTGCTTATTTGCATGAAAATGGCTACGGGGATTATAACAATCGCCGCCCAGGGCACTCTGCCCCCCAGGGACAGCCCAGGCCCTCCAGGGGAGCCGTATTCCCCTCCAAACCGCCCCCTGGGAGCCTCCAGGAGGGACTAAAGGTCGCTGCCTGCCACCTGCTCCAGCCTGGCCAGTAGCTGCCCAGGGTATAACCAGAGCTCTTAGGGGACAATGGGCACTCCCAGGCCACAGGCAGATGCTGGCCACATCCCAGCTGGGCAGAAGACACGCCCATCGGGCTCACCTAGGCCTGGCAGGGGGAACAAGCCAGGTGAGGCTTCCCCCCAGGCGACAGCCCCTCTATCTAACGGCTAACAGCTCCCATGCCTGCGGGTCCCAGGTCCTTTCAGGCCTGTGACTGCCTCCTCAAGGACCTCCTTCGCCCCCTCCGGGTCTCAGCCTGAATCCTCCTGCCCCCTCCCAGGGCCAAGCCTCCCCCACTTTTCAAACCCAGCAAGGCTGCAGCAGGCAGCCCTACTCACCTGGCCCCGCATCCGGGTCCGGCACCTCCAGTCTCAGGGTCCCCCTCCAGCCAGGGCCTCCCTTCTCGCAGGGCCCTCCCGCTTTGGGGCGCAGCCCCAACCCCAATAACCCCTGGGCTCCCTTCCGGGACAGACCCACTCCCGCCAAGGCGTTTGTTTGTGCTGTGTGCCAGCTCTGCGCCAGGACGCACTCCACCGCCACCCCCACCCCATACGGGCCACTGCCGCTCCCCTCAGGCTGGCCAGGGAAGGGAGCTGCAAGCGCTTATTAATCGCCAACGGTGTACTCAGCTCTGAGGCTGGCAGGAAGACTGAGTATGGAAAGGGGGAGCCCCAAACCCCGCTCAGCATCCCCTGCTGCCCACAGTACTCCCCACCCCCAGCCATCACCATTGGCACCCTGAGCTCCGTGGTCCTGGTGCCCACTGAGGGTTCTGCGGTCGTTGCGCCAGCTTCATTTTCTGTGGCCCTTCATTCAACCAGCGGCCGAAGCCCCCTTCAGAGCCCCAGGGTGACCCTGGGGGGCCCAGGCTGGCTGGGGGCTCGGGGGCAGAAGGCGGATCCCCCCACGCTCCCTCTCCACCCGGCAGCGGGGAGGGGGCCTTTTAGAAATGTCTAGGGTGTCTCGTGACAACCCCCCCCCGCCAAAAAATCATTACTTTCAAAGGCTCCCAGGCTCCTGGGCAGGGGTCTTTGTCCCCTTCCTCCAGGACAGCGAGGCCTCCCCCGCCCTCCCCCTGCAGCGCGAGTCTGACCCCCTTGCTCCCGCCCAACACCTGCCGAAGGTGCAATTACCCGTGCGTTCTTCCTGCCCCGGACTCGCCGCGTCCCCGCCGCACGCGCGGAGGTGTTCCCACAGCGGTCGGCGGGGTGCGGCCCCTCAACAGCCCGCACAGGGGTCGTCGGGGCGGCTTTCCACGGAAGCGGGAGGGCTGGGGGTCGTGGGGGGTCGGCGGCGTCCTGGGGAGCCCGCCCCCGGAGTTCGCGGATGTGTGACCCGAGGCAGCCGGCTCGCCTCTGAGGGTCCCAGGTCCGCCCGAGTGCAGGGGGATCCGGCTCCGTCCTGCGGGGGTCGCGGCGGGGCGAGCACAGCCGCTGCAGGTAAAACGCCGCGCCTGGGTCTGGGGAGGGCTCCCCGGCGGCGGCCCAGCGCCAACAAAGGCCAGGAGAAGGGGGGAGCGGCGCCGGCGCCTGTCCGGGTCGGGGGGAGGACTTCGCGCCCGGAGCCGCTCAGCTGGACCGTCCGGGGTCTGTGCGACGCGGCCGGGGGCCCGGGTGACGGGGGGCCTGGGTGACGCGGGGCCCGGGGCCGGGAGGGCTTCCTGGAGGCGGGGTCCCGGACGCCGCGTGGTCCCTTTAAGAGCCGGTCCCGGGGTGAGGGCGGAAGGCGGCGGCGGCGCGACCCACCCGCACCCTGCACCCCGCCCCCCCCCCGCGGCAGCCGCCTCAGCTTCACCCCGAGCCCGGGCTCCGCTGACGTCACCTGCCCCCGAGCCGCGCGCGCTGATTGGCTGCAGGTGACGTCAGGGGCTTTTTTCGCTCGGCATGACCTCATCCCCGCCGGCGGCCCCGCCCTCCGCCCCGGGCCTGTCACTCGCGGCCGAGCGCGGCGGCCGAGCCGGCTCCCCCCACGACGCCCCGCCGGACGCCGGACGCCCGAGCCCGAGCCCGAGCCCGAGCCCGAGCCGCGCCGGAACCTCCCGGCCGCGCCCGCCGAGCCGCGGGGCTGGGATGCGCGCCGCGAGCGCGCGTGCCCGCCCGCAGTGCGCGCGCCCCGGCCCGAGCGAGCGCTCCCCGCGGCGTTGGCGGCGGCGACGGCGGCGACGGCGACGCGGCCCGCGCGCTCCCCCGGCCCCTGCCCCGGCTGCGCGGGCCCCCGCCGGGCCCATGGACGGCGCGGCCGAGCGGGCGCCCTGAGCGCGGCGCGGGTCCCCGGAGCGCCCCCGAGGCGAGCGCGAGCGAGGTGAGCGGAGGCGCCGGCGGGGCGGGGGCGGGCGCCGGGGATGGGGTTCACCGGCCCGGGCCGGGGGGCGGAGGGCGCCGCGTCGGGGGCGCTGGGGCAGCGGCACCCGGTGGGCGCCCGGGAGGAGGAGGCGGCCCCGGAATGAGCGGCCACGGCCGTCCAGGACGCCAGGGACAGGGAGGCCCCTTCCCCGCCCCCCGCAACGCCCGGCGGACCCGGGCCCAGCCCACGCCCGCCCGCCGCGTTGCCGCCCTTCTCCCCGCAGCTCCTTCTTTGGGTGTGGAATGGGGGGGGGACAAAAATCCAGGACCCACCAGGGCCGCCTGAGATCCAGCGCGGATCTGCGCGAGCCCCCGACGTCCCGAACGTCACCCCCGCGGGGGCCAGAACCGGAGCAGGCGGACCCTGGCCCGGAGTCGGTCCGGGAGGTGTGGAGCCTCGGCCGTGGGAGGGACGCGACGGCCTCTGGCCTGGGACACCCGGGAAGGGGCCTTCCCCTGTCGGGGGGGAGGGCTGCAGATCCATCCCCCCAGTGTCCAGGCCGCACTGCCTCCCCATCCCGGGGTGCCCAGCCGGCCCCTGAGGGATAAAGCCCCCGCGCCCTTCCGCCTGCTGCAGAGGCAGCCGCGGCGCTGGGGGAGGGGCTGGCACAGCCAGGCTGCTGCAGCCACCTCGCTAGGCCCAGCTGCCCAGCCTGGGATGCGGAGCAGACCAGGTGGGGATACCTAATAGTCTGGCCTGGAGGGGAGGGGGCAACAATAGGCCCAGCCCCAACAGGGTCACCCCTTCTGGGAGAATCTGCCTCCGTCTCCCTGCTGCGGGGTGTACCGGCCTCTGCTGAGGGGAATAGGGGCTCTGGTGCTGCAGTGATGGGGGGCGGGGACACTGTGGGATGGAGGAGGGGGTGGCAGGATGTAGCGTGGCTCCGCAGTGCTCTTGCTGTGCAGCTTGGGGTGGGGGTGGGGTGCTGCAGGCCAGGGAAGCTCCTTTTGTGCCCCAGCGGGGGGTCTGAGGGGAGATCCAAACCCCGGCACTCTCCCTTGCCTCCCTTCTGGCACAGCCCACCCAGAGACACTGTTGCACCTAGGGCGGTCCAGGGGTGAATGTAGCACCCCAGGCCCCAGCCCTCCACCAGGAGGACAGTCCCATGCATTCACTGCTAATAAGCACTGGATGCGGATGGCAGATCATGTGACCCCAGCTGGAAGTTCATCCTGAAGTCTCGCTGAAATACCTCCTGCTGCAGCCAGCCGGGGGCTGCACGAGTGTGGCTGGGCAGGTTCTATTCCCCTGGTATCCTCTGTCCTCGGGGAGGCTTCTGGGAATAAAGTCCCATTAACAGAGGTGCAGAAAGACGCTTAGAGTCAGTCTCTGCTCCAGGACCCTTCTCTTCTCAGGCTGGGGCTGAAGTCAGGGCCTAGAGGCTGCCACTGGACAGGTGCCTCGAAGGGGCATCAGCTAGGGCCTGGGGAGACCTAGGTGTCACTTCTTGCAGAAGGCAGGGAAAGGGGCAGACCCACAGTGAGAGAGAGGTGGTTGGACTCTGGCCATGAGAACTGCACCCGCTGAGGCCCCCTCTGCCGGAGTTGCTCAGGGCAGTGAACCTTGGAAGCGCCACACTGGTCCTGATGTTTAGCATGTGGCACAGTGACCAGGAGGAGGGACACAGGTCTGGTGGGAAGGGAGGGAACCTGGATATGTCCGGCTCTGAGACTCGACTGTCACGGCCCCTTGTGCCAAGTCCTCCCATCCCCTGCCCTGCCCGGACCCCGTTCCTGGGATCGGAGGGAGCCCCCCGCCCCACCCCACTTTCTCCCAGGTCCACAGCTTCCCCAGGCCAGCGGAGCAGAGTGTAGGCCAGCTTGGGTCCTACAGCACTAGCCAAGGGAGCTGAGGGGAGGCAGGGATGAGGGCATCTGGGGGAGCCCAGTGAGGGAAGATGAGCTGACCTGTGTGAGTGCAGGGTCCCTGCCTCCCAGAGTTGCCACCCACCAGTCTCTCCTCAGCCTCCTTAGTGTGACGATTTCTGCCTCCAGAAGCATCCCTGGGTAACAGTGAGCCGGACAGCTCCAAGAGCCTGCCTAGGTGTGAGGGGGAGACACAGTCCCATCCCCCCATGCTTGACAGTCCTGGCAGCTGTCTCTGAAGGTAGTGAGTCCCCATTTCTAGGTGCTGAGCAGAAGGTAACATGGTAAGGATGCTGTCAGTTGAGAGCTGGGGGTGGCCTGGGACTCCCTGGTCCCGTCTGTGCTCAGGGACAGGAATGTGCTGCACAGAGACGCTGGGTGTGGGAGCTCGTGTTTGTAAGGAGTCTGAAGCTGACCCCTCGGGTACTGGAGTCCTGGGGTTCTCAGGGGATCCTGCATACAGAGGGCAAGGACGTGCGTGTACTCTAGTGTATGTCCAGCCCACGCGTGTGCACATATTCACGCGTGGGTACTTGCACACAGGGCAGGTGGATTGTGGGTAAGGAGCACCAGCCCTGTGTGTGGAGTGGGTGTGCAAAGAGGTGTGTTCTGGCACGCACAGAGGGCAGTGTGCACGCAGCACTGGAGCCAGGCGTGCTGTGTCCCAGGGGAGGGTGGCGGCCTGGTGCCTCCTGGAAGGTGTGGGCCTGGGAGGAGCCTTCTTCTGACTTTGGACTTGGAAACTGCTTCCTCCTGGGCTCAAAGACTTTTGAAAAGGGTGTATGGGGCTGTGCTAGGGGGCATCCTGTCCCCAGCCCTGCCTCTCACCCCCCAACCCCTAGGCACTGGAATAGCAGGGCCACAGGTACTCAGGAGGGCTTGGCATGTGGGGCCGTGAAAGGAGAGGCATGGAACCAACACCATCCACATTTCCTTACCTCTGTTCCCACATGGCCAGTGCTGGCCCCACTGATCTGCACCAGACTGTCCTTAGTGTCTCTGCTCCCCACCCCACCCAACCTGCCCCATCCCTGGCATAGCTGAGCCCCGATCCTTAGCATCTGGGGAGACAGAGGTGAGGAACATGTCCCCCTGGGAGCTGTAGGTCCAGGGAGACCCTGTGGGTGAGGATGCTCTCCCAGAGGCCAGCATGGCACAGAGGCTTCCTGCAGGAGGGGGCACTCGGCCAGCCCTTCGCAGTACAGAGAAGGCCTCTGAGGGGGCGGGGAGCCGGCGAGCTGCAGGGAGCATGCTGGGCACAGCAGGTACCTGGAGTGGGAAGGAAGGTTAGGACCAGGTAGGGCAGAGGAGCGGAGGGGCTGAGGACTGGGCTCTGCACTGCCGGGCACCTGCTGGGGTGGGTAGGAGAGAGCAGGGAGGGGCGCGTGCCCACTCTGCAGAGGAGCCTGCTCCATGGTGGTGGCTGCCGCAGGAGCAGCGGTTGCCTGGCACCTCTGCTGTTGCCATGGTGACGATGGAGGTGCTAACTTGCTAATGAATCCCCTTCGGCTGCAAATAACAATACTATTGTGGGTGATAGGCCCAGCTCCAGCTCAGCGTTGCTTAGGAGGCAGAGCAGGGCCAGGTAAAGGCCAGGACCCGTCCTCCCGCCCCTCCAGCCCCTGCCCACCACCCTGCAGCTGGACTTGCCCTCCTCCCTCCCCTCCCTCTGGGTCTCAGATCTGGCTGGCTGCACCGAGGTCTCTCATGGCAGTGTCAGGACTCAGGGCTGCATGAAGGCTAGGCCCTGGCTGCAGAGAGGGCGAGGGCCTCTCCTCACACCTGCCCTCCTCCCTGCACTGGGGGGTATTTGCTTCTGTTGTTTTCAGTGAGAGAGAATCCACCCCCACTTAACGGATGAGGACATTGAGGCCGGGGCAGCTCCTCAAAAGACCCCCAGCCCAAGTGTCCCTGCCACTGCAGCCTTCTCGGGGTTCTGGGTCTCTGAGCTGGACCCTTGGGTATCCTACGGGGCACCTGGAGCCGCTGTCTCACCAGAACCACACATCTGGGCCCTCGCCTCTCACCACCTGTGCAAGGCTCAGGTAGAACTCGGGAAGGACAAACAGCTCATCAAGGACCCCCTGTGGGTAGTCAGGGACCCCCTTGGCAGGCAGAGACCCTCCACAGCAGGCAGGCAGCAGGCCCTTTTGCTGTTGAACTTGCTGGGTCTGGCCCTGGAGAGGACTCCCAGGCCTCGTTCCCCACCCTGTGGTGGAGGCTGGAGCACCAGCCCAGGAACGTTATCTGAGTGGGATCCTGAGGCCCTGCTGACCAGGTGCCACTGCAATCCCTGGTGTCAGCCGTGGGGTCAGCTGAGGCTGCCCATCCACAGTCAGGTGTTTCCCTGGCCTCTGGCAACAGGAGGGATGGTGGGAATGCACAGAAGCCTGGGCCCAGTCGAGGCGGGAGGGGCCAGGCAGGGGCCAAGCTTGAAGTGTCTGGAGAAGGAGAGTGAGTGCGAGGCTGGGGCTCCTGGGCAGGGAGGAGCTGGGACCTGCCCCTCAGTGTGGAGTTGGGGCTGGGCCAGGGACGAGGTCCACACCAGCCTTGCACCTGCTGCTCTGTGAACTCTCTCACTGGCCCCCGCCGGCCTGGGAGCTGACCTGGAGAGTCCAGAAACGGTGGTGGCCTCTGTCCCCAGCCTGCTGTTTGCAGTGCATGGGTGTCCTCAGGGCGCCTCCCCCCAGTGCCTCCTGTGGCTGTGGGTTGGGGGTCTGGCTTGCTGAGGGCCCGCTACCCACCGTAGCCCGCTTTGCACAGGGCGCAGGGCCCAGGGTACATCTATCTCCCAGCCTTCCCTCAGTCCTGAGCTGGGTGGAGTAAACTTCCTGACTGCCTGGCAGCTGTGGGGGCACAGGGAAGATGGCATTGCAGGGACACCCAGTGCCCATCTGTGTGTGACCCAGGTGTGACCCAGGTCCCAACCCTGCCCCAAGCCTCGGTTTCCCCATAGTTAAAGCAAACTCATCATCCTTAACACTATGCGCCTCCTAGGGGCTGTGAGTGTAAAGTGGACCCAGAGGAAGGCCAGTCCTGGCAGGTGACAGGGAGATGGGGCCCGGCAGTGGGGCAGTGACAGGCTTGTCATCAAGCCTGCAGGAGGGGCTTCCGGAGACTCCATCCTCAGACATCCCTACTCCACCTGCCCACCCGGCAGTCTGAGGCCTTTGCAGGCCATGCCGAGGGCCTGGCACCTGCGGGGTCCCCGACACTGACCCTCCTCCCAGGGCTGCCCCGCCCCTCCCATCCTGGGCCCTATCAGCCCATGAAGGAGCCTCCTAGACCCCAGGCTCCGCTAGGGGAGAGGCACTGTGTGGGTGCAACACGCCCCTGCAGGAGCTGGGCACTCACCCCCAGCAGGCACGTGGCGCACACTAAACCTCAGCCTGCAGGTCAGGAGGGCAGCAGTGGCAAAGGAGCCGTGCCTCTGTGCCTGAGCCCCTCCCGCACCCGCCTGCTATCCGGCTGCCCCCGGGAGCCCACTCTCCAGTGGAGGCAGCCCCAAGGCCACCATCCACCAGGGGCTGGATTATCGGCTTACGGAGCTGCCCTGGAGTCAAGTCTCCAGGGATTGGACTCCCTGGGGCTGTGCTAGGGAGAGAGGGGCAGGTGTGAGGACAGCAAGCCCGGAGGAGGGCAGAGAGCTTGACCATGTGGGAGGGTGAGGTGCAGTCCAGACCCCGACTTGCTGGGGGTCCTGTGGTGGAAAAGATGCAGAAGTCACAGCAGGGAGATGCCTGTGTCCCAGGGATGAGATGGAATGTTCTGGAATGCCTAAGGGTCCGTGAACCCCAGGGCCCACAGGAAGGACCCCTGGCCTCTTCCAGCCCTCAGACCCTTCTCTGTGGGGCCCATTTGCCCCCCTCTGCCTTGTTGCATCCTGCTGAGAGCTGGCCTTGTGACCTGGACGGGGTCTCTCCAGAGGGAGAAGGGTTCCCACGGGCACATGTTGGTGTGTCCTGGTGGGCGCAGCTCCCAGCTCTGATCTGTCCTGGGGAGCTTCTGGGTGCCACCCAGGGGCCCGCAGCACTGCTGACCATCCCCCTGTCCCTGCAGGTCCAGCACCATGTGCTAGGTCACTCCCAGCGCGAGGCCACACCTGGGCCGTCGGAGCAGCCCCTCCTCACTTCAGGGGTCACCCTCCCCAGCACCCATTGCCCCACCATGGCTGGGGACCGGCTCCCGAGGAAGGTGATGGATGCCAAGAAGCTGGCCAGCCTGCTGCGGGGCGGGCCTGGGGGGCCGCTGGTCATCGACAGCCGCTCCTTCGTGGAGTACAACAGCTGGCATGTGCTCAGCTCCGTCAACATCTGCTGCTCCAAGCTGGTGAAGCGGCGGCTGCAGCAGGGCAAGGTGACCATTGCGGAGCTCATCCAGCCGGCTGCACGCAGCCAGGTACCCAGCCCACTGCCCACCAGGCATGCATCACGTCCAGGGTCCACAGCTAAGGGGCCCTCAGCTCGGGCAGCACCCCCCTCCTCTGCCTTCCAGTCCAAACTCGACTCCTTGGGGTCACAGCCAGGGGCGTGTGGAGCAGTCCTCCCTGGCACTTGCCTCTCACCGCTGCCTGTTGCCCCTGCTCAGGGCATCCCCCGCACCCCCGCCCGCAGCACCCTTCCCTACCCTCCCTCCAGGGCCTCCTTGCTCAGCTTCTGCACAGAGGTGCCGGGCCCTCCCCACGCAGATAGGACTGTGTGGCCAGGGCCAACCCAGGCTCACAGAGGGGAGCAGTGAGTGGAATAGCAAGGTGTGACCACATGGCAGTGGGAGCAGCCCAGCTGGCCTACACGGGACAGGGACAGCTGTGTGGTCCACTTCCACTGCTGTGAGGACAGGAGGGGTGGTCAAAAGGCACACGTGAGCAGTCCATGTCCCCGTCCCACAGCTTCCCCCAGCCCGCAGAGTATTCAGGGACCCAGAATTCTCTCTGTGGCCCCCCAGGAATGTCCTTCTGGGGAAGGACAGCTCATTCTGCCCAGGACCATCAGGTGCAGCTGGGGAGGGACCAGCGGGGCTGTTGACCTGTGAAGGTGGCGGCACCTCCTCCTTCTACTGCCTCGCAGGGGACAAGGGTGACAAGCTCTTGGCCCTGGAGGCTTTGAGAGGGGTCTGGGTCACTGATAGGCCCTGTTCAGAGCTGGGACATGGGAGGACTCAAGTGGGATGGCCACTGGCCAGGAGTCCGCCCACCCCAAGGCCAGAATCGGCTCCCTTTGGTTTCCAACAAGGGGAATCTGGTGATTAATGACCCCCAGCAAGGACTCCCGGCAGAGTGCGATCCCATTGGCTGCCGGTGACGTCACCCAGCCCAGGGTTGGCGGCTCAGCTGGCTTAAGGGCTGAGTGTGTGCTTGCAGGGCGGGGGCACCGGTGCTGTCTGAGCAAAAGCCGCTCAACATCTGGGCTGGCCCTTGGGGTGGGGGAGGAGGGCAGGAGGAACCCAGCTTCCAGCTGCTGCCTCCGGAATTGGTGCAGGGGCCTGGGGTCCTGCTGCAGCCCTCTGTTTCTCCGCTGGGGGTTGGGGAGGGGATAGGGTGGGGAGCAGAATTGCTGGCTACACAGTTAGCCCCACTGAGAGCCCACACCCGAAGGCATGCGTTTCAGGGCCGAGCTTCTCTGTCCCTCCGCCACCCTGGGAGCCAGCCAGGTCCTATCCTGGGCTCCCATCGCACTCACCTGTGTCTCCTCCACACAGGCCTGGCCCAGAGCGTCCGTCCCCTTCACCCATGTGCATGGCATGGGGGCACAGCTGCGCAGGGCAGGAGTCCACCCCTCCCTGCCCCCATGGCTTGCTGTGTGGTGTGGGTGTGTGCATCTGGGCCTCTGGCAGATGGAGGAGAGTGTGTGACTGCACCTGCCCTCCCCTCCAGGCAGCAAGGTGACAGCTGCCTGCCTCCCATCATCTGATGCCCTTACTATTCCCTTGAGCCAGCATATCTGGGACGGGGCCAGGGCATCGATAGGTGGAGGCGGCATGCTGATCTCTGCCCCATGGCCCCCAGGTGGAGGCTACGGAGCCACAGGACGTGGTGGTCTATGACCAGAGCACGCGGGACGCCAGCGTGCTGGCCGCAGACAGCTTCCTCTCCATCCTGCTGAGCAAGCTGGACGGCTGCTTCGACAGCGTGGCCATCCTCACTGGTGAGTCCATGACCCACGCCTCCCCGAGGCACTTGCTCCGCCAGCAGTGGGGCTGGGGCTGGGGCTGGGGCATCAGGGAGGTGTCCGCTGGGCACGGGGGGATCTCCATACATCTGTGGTTCTTGAGGCCCCACCATCCTCTCCCCAGGACGCCCACACTTCAGGACCCACCAATATGACTATCCTCAACACAGAAGGAAACCTCACAGTACAGCTGGGCTCCAGAGGTGTAGGGCAAGGCATGCAGGCTGGGAGCCCCTCCCACTCCCGGAGCTCCTGTCAGAAGCCGGAGGCAGAGGCCCCATCCTCTGGAAACTCAGTTGGAGCCGTGGGGTCCCGAGGAAGTCCCCCCACCTCCGAAAGCCCAGCTGAGTGCAGGTTGCCTGGCAACAGCCTGGCACCAAGGCTGCTGCCTGGGTCCCAGCAGACAGCCCCCAGGGATCCCTGTGGCCCAAAAGCAGCCTGGGCAACTGGCCCCAAGCCCTGGAGGCAGGGAAGCCGCCCCCCTACACACGCTGATACACACTCATATACACTCACACACTCGTGGTCCCAGAGGGTTCTTTCTTTCCTTGGGCTGTGGCTGAGGGCGTGTCTGTAGAATCCACCTCCTGGGGTCGGCCCAGGTCCCAGAGCCGGACGGAGCTGGCCTGTCCCAGGGATGTGCACCCTCCCCCATCCAGGTCTGGGGTCTTTGTCCAGGCTCCTTCTGCCTGGCCTCTGCTACCAGGGGCTGTTCCAGGCAAGCAGAGGATATGGGGGACTGTGGGGTGCAGGCACGGTGGGGTGAGGAGTAGGCAGCCAAGCCAGGCCCTTGGCCCTGCATCCAGTGGAAGCAGGGACCTTCACCCAGCCTGAGGGCGACTGTGGGGGATGAAGGGGTGGCAGCCGCTTTGGCCAGGCCGACCTCCCGACATGGCATGTCCTGGGACCTAAAGGGCACCTGGGAGGCTTGAGGGTGGTCCAGTGTCCTGGGCAAGAGCATTGAGGCCAGGCTCCCTCCCCACCTCTCTGTGGGTGAGACCAGCACCCTGCACTGCTGGGTGGCCATGGTCAGAGGGTGTCTGTGCGTCTGTGCATGGCTCTGGGCGTCTGGTGACCAGCATCTGCCTCTGCGAGTGTGTACGTGAGCATGTGTGTGCATGTATGTGTGTGTGTGCATGTGCATGCATGTATGTGTGTGCATGTACATGTGTGCATGTATGGGCATATGCATGCCTGTGTGTGCGCATATGTGCATGTACGTGTGTGCACGTGTATATGCATGTATATACATGGAGGTATATTTGTGTATGTACCCGCCTGTGCTTGTCTGGGTGAGATTTGGGATTTGTGTGCATATGTGTGAACTCTCAGAACCAGAAGCCACAGAATGACGCACTCTGATCCAACCCTGTTCCCCTAGGTCCAGTTTGAGGACTGAACTGGTGGGGGGCGGGGAGAGAGTAGTTTGGGGCTTTTTACAGCTCACCAGGTGTAACAGGACCCCTCCCAAAGGCCAGTTTGCTGCCCTAGCCAGGAATGGGAGTCAGGAGACTCTTCTTGGAGGCTGAGAAAGGTCCCAGAGTGGCACCTCCCTACCTGCAGGCAGATCCCAGGAAAGTCCCAAGCCTGGAAGGGCCTGTCTCCCTCGAGGCCAGAGTGGGACGGTTTGGGGGGCTGGGGCCCTCACCCAGCACTGGTGGGTGGGACAGCATGGGTGTGCAGGTGGGCGTGGATGAGTATGGGCATGGGAGGGGCCGGGCCTGTGCTAGGATTTGCCAGGAGGGCACTCCCAGGGCCTGGTCATGCCACCCTCAGAACTGCCTTTCTGTGCTGACATCTGCCCTGCAAGGTTGAGGCTGTGTCCCCTTTTCTCCAGAAGTGCAGCTGCCAAGGAGTCCCAGGCCCCGTGGTATACAGTGGGCTCATGGCGACACCCAGGCAGGCCCACGGGCTCTGCCCTCAGGCTCCCTCCCACCCTGTGGTGGGCACAGCCCCTGCTCTGGGCTGGCTCTGCGAAGAACCAGGGAGAGTGGGAAAGAATATATTGGGGGGGGCAGGGGTGCTGCCCCTCACCCAGGAGAAGGGATGTTCCAGGATCCCGCGGCACAGGCAACACAGCTCCTTGGTCCATTTGCAGGGACAGTAGAGGCCGGAATGTGAGGACCAAGCCTCTGTCCTCCCCACAGCAGGGCAGGTTTGCGGGAAGCGGGAGAGAAACAGTGGCAGGACAGGCTGTGCTGGGGTCCCAGGACTGCTGTGAAGCCCACCTCCCCCTGCCGCTCCTCTTCCCCCACTCCAGCTGCGCTGCTCACGATGTTGGGGGGCAAGCGGCAAGGGATGAGAGAGGGGCCTGGCCCTTTAAGCAGCGGCCCGCAGTCGGCCTTGGACCCTTGGCCGGGCGACTGCACTGCAAGTGGGTGGGGTGGCGGCCCCCGCCCTGGCGGGGAGTCCAGGGGTCATGGAGGTGGCGGGCAGAAGTGCGTCTGTGACTGTGGCCATAAGCGCTTGCAGGGTCTCCCAGGTGGCATGGGGCAGGCACATGTCCTGGTACACACGCCTTTTTTCAAGTCTGGGATTTCACTGTGAGTAACAGGTGAACTGCAGGCGCTGCCCCAGAAACCCCCGAGTCAGGGAGCAGGGATACTGGGAAGGCGCCTTTGGAGATGCCTGGGGGTAGGGGTGCCTCCCCAGGGCCCAAAGAGTGCTGGGACCTACAAAGGGTCCACTGAACCCCAACACCCCTCACTTATCACTCACCCCCAGAGCCTGGGTGGTTCTGAAATCCCTGGAGCCTCGGTCCCTGCTAGGCCTGGCATCCACAGTGGGGTGTGTAGGGACATCCACACTACCTGCTCCGCCTGGGGAGGTCCTGGGAAGCTTCCTGGGGAATTGCTGACATAGCTGTCGGTTCTCTGCACCTGTCCAGAGACTTTCCTGCCTTTACCTCCTCTGGGAGAGGTGGGAGGGTACTGATGGAATCCCCAGCACCTCCTCCTTTGGCCAGGCCCTGGAGAAAGCAGAGAGTAAGGCACAAAATCCCTGGGAGAGCCACAGGGAGGAGGAGAGGCAGCAGGTGGCAGAAGAGTCTGCAGAGAAGTGGTGCAGCCCTTCCGCCTCCCCGGGGCTGTCCTGCAGCGGGAACATCCAGGGCTACCCCAGCTCAGAACAGTGAGTGGAAGCCAGCTACAGTGCCCATCCCAGCCTCTGCTCAGGGGAACCTGCAAGCTGGGGCGTCGTTGGTGACAAGTCACCTACCTGCTTTCCCCTGTCCAGTCAGCAGGTTCCCACAGAAGAGACTGTTCCTCCAAGGCTGCTGCCTCAACCCACCCAGCCTGGAGCTTCCCCTATCTCCACAGTCCCCCAGCGTCACGCCCTTTTTAGGGACACGGGGAGCTGGCACAGCAGGTGTTCTGGTTGGGGGTTTGCACACACTCCCCTGTCCTCAGGAGTTATCCAGGGTGGCTCTACTCCACCCAGCAGGGGAGAATGGAGAGAGGAGGAGCCCTAGGCACTGGGGGCACGCGGGGCAGGCAGTGGGCACCTGCTACACATGTGGCACCAGCCTCTTCTGCAAACCAGGACAAAAAAGAGCCCTGGGGTTCCCAGGCCCTGAGCTCCCGCCGTCACTCCCCTGCCCCGTCCAATGGGATAGGGCAGGCCTCAGCCCAGCTGCCTCAGGCTCTGCACAAGCAGGAGCCGGCTTGCCATGGGGGCTTATGTTCTGGAAGGTGTCCTCGGGGTGGTGCTGGGCCATGCTGGCTTCACCCTCCCAAGAGCTGGCAGCCACCAGGTGGGTGCTGCCCAGTTTCTGGTCCACATCGGTGGTCGCCCCAGCCAGGTCAGGGACGGCCAGGTCCATTCTCACCATGTGTCTTCGTGCTCATTATCTTCTTGGAACCACATGATGCTGTGTGGCAGGCAGGAGGAGGAAGCTGAGACCAGAGCCATGGTGTGCACTACCCATGGTCACTGAGTCAGACATCCAGGGATTCACGTTCGGGTCCTTCCAGCTGGTGCAGGGCAGGGGACTTCCTCCCACCAGCCTGTGGCCTCGGACTTGGACGTGTGTGGAAGGCAGCAGCACACGCTGGTCACGTGTGCAGCGGGTGCCCACTGCCTGCTCTGCGTGCCCCCAGTGCCCCGGGCTTCTCCACTCTCCGTCCTCCCCTGCTGGGTGGAGTACAGCCATAACCAGACAGCAAATGCCCCGAGGGCTGTGCCAGGGTGATGTCATGCCTGGGGACGGGGAGGGCCTCTCGGAAGCCCTGGCCTCCTGGTCCTGGCACCCAAGCCCAGGCCTGGGGCTCCCAGCCAGCTGGAGGCAGGGAGGCATTGCATCAGTGCAGGGGAGGAGGAAGGCCCAGCCTGGCCCCAG
The DNA here is from genome assembly GCF_000001405.40 of Homo sapiens. Lineage (NCBI taxonomy): Eukaryota > Metazoa > Chordata > Mammalia > Primates > Hominidae > Homo > Homo sapiens. The sequence goes on along the minus strand of NC_000011.10, from coordinate 1,559,490 downwards.
GCCATGGGTATGGGAGATGGCCGGGCTCGTGAGGGCCTCTCCTCTGGGCTGTGTGACACACACCCTCAGCAGGAGACCCCTGTGGCCTCTGAGCCCACCCCTGCCTGGGCCCAGCGCGTGCCGTGATGGCCAGCCACCTCAACGCCACCTTTACGGGCATCCTAGCGGCGTCCTCAGCTGGGTCAGCCCCTAATTAGCATGAGGAGGAATGTGGGCGTAGGTGCAGGCTGTAAATGTGTGGCAGTACCCCCTCCCCCCACCGCGGGCAGAGCAGGTGCTCCGCCAGAGGCTTGCCGGCTGGGCTCAGGCTCGGGTCTGGGCTGGGTGTGACTGATCCTCAGCAGTAGATGGGGTGCCCTAGGCGGACAGGGCACCCTAGGCGGACAGGGAGCCCTAGGTGTTCTCTCAACCCACTTGACGGCCCTCCTCCTACAGGGGGCTTCGCCACCTTCTCCTCCTGCTTCCCCGGCCTCTGCGAGGGCAAGCCTGCTGCCCTGCTACCCATGAGCCTCTCCCAGCCCTGCCTGCCTGTGCCCAGCGTGGGCCTGACCCGCATCCTGCCTCACCTCTACCTGGGCTCGCAGAAGGACGTCCTAAACAAGGTGTGTGTGCAGTGGAGTTCGGGGGGTGGTCAATGGGAAAGGGGCAGGAGCTCCAGAAGCAGCTTGGCAGCGGAGCGGGGGATGAGGGAGGAAAGGAGCTGAAGGCAGTGGATGAGCTGGGTGTGGGAGAAGCATGGGTGGGGGCCCAGGAGGACCCCAGGCTCCCCACCCATGCCCCTGGAAGGACCACAGCAGGGCTTGCGGGAGGGCCCGGCAGGGCTCGGGGGAGGAGCGGGGAGCTGGCATGCCAAGCTGCGGATGTCACTGGGCCTCTGGCCAGCTCTGAAAGAATCCCATGTTTTAAAAATGGTGACGAGGGAAAAGGGTAAAAGCCACCACCCAGGCAATCATAAAATTCCTAGGAGCCCACCACCAGCCGTGGGTGGGGCCTGCAGTCGGAGGCCAGCCGTGCCCCACCCCCCGCACGGGCCCAGGGTGCCAGGGTGGACCAGAGAGGCCTCCTGGGCCCTCCCCTGGATACACTGGGATCTGGGACAAATTCCAAGGCTCCCAGGATTCTAAAGGCCCTCCTGACGGCAGGGCAGGAAAAGCCTCCACCTTCACTCCCGCCCCGAGCTTCTCCCACCCCTTTCCAACCCGCCCTCCCGCCCCTCCAGGATCTGATGACGCAAAATGGAATAAGCTACGTCCTCAACGCCAGCAACTCCTGCCCCAAGCCTGACTTCATCTGCGAGAGCCGCTTCATGCGGGTCCCCATCAACGACAACTACTGTGAAAAACTGCTGCCCTGGCTGGACAAGTCCATCGAGTTCATCGGTGAGTCTGCGGTGGGCGGAGGGCAGGGACCTGGCTAGAGGAAGGCTAGAGCTGTGTGTGGCCACAGACACAGGAGGGGTCCCCAGGAAGTAGCCGGAACTGTTGGCAGTTGGGCGGGTGGGGTCCCCTACCTGGGCCAGGGAGAAGCTGTGCAGTCTTAGCCCTCACCTGGCCCCCATGGCCCACCTGCCCAGATAAAGCCAAGCTCTCCAGCTGCCAAGTCATCGTCCACTGTCTGGCTGGCATCTCCCGCTCTGCCACCATCGCCATCGCCTACATCATGAAGACCATGGGCATGTCCTCCGACGACGCCTACAGGTACCACCTTCCCCAGTCGCGCACTTGTGGCTCACAGCGTCGCTTCCCTTCCCCCGGCTGCCCACTTGCACCAGAATGACCCCACCGTCCAGGACCCGTGGCAAGGGAGGAGGGCCTGAGACCAGCCTGGCGCACATGAGCTCGTGGGTGCCCAGCGGGTGCGTCAGGTGGGCAGCCTGGCCCCGGCGGGCGCCTGGGACTGAGCCTCCTCCCCCGCAGGTTCGTGAAGGACAGGCGCCCGTCCATCTCGCCCAACTTCAACTTCCTGGGCCAGCTGCTGGAGTACGAGCGCAGCCTGAAGCTGCTGGCCGCCCTGCAGGGCGACCCGGGCACCCCCTCAGGGACGCCGGAGCCTCCGCCCAGTCCTGCCGCCGGGGCCCCGCTGCCACGGCTGCCACCACCTACCTCAGAGAGCGCTGCCACAGGGAATGCGGCTGCCAGGGAGGGCGGCCTGAGCGCGGGCGGGGAGCCCCCCGCGCCCCCCACGCCCCCGGCGACCAGCGCACTGCAGCAGGGCCTGCGCGGCCTGCACCTCTCCTCGGACCGCCTGCAGGACACTAACCGCCTCAAGCGCTCCTTCTCCCTGGACATCAAGTCTGCCTACGCCCCTAGCAGGCGGCCCGACGGCCCCGGGCCCCCCGACCCCGGCGAGGCCCCGAAGCTCTGCAAGCTGGACAGCCCGTCGGGGGCCGCGCTGGGCCTGTCCTCGCCCAGCCCGGACAGCCCGGACGCCGCGCCTGAGGCGCGCCCACGGCCCCGCCGGCGGCCCCGGCCCCCCGCCGGCTCCCCCGCGCGCTCCCCCGCGCACAGCCTCGGCCTGAACTTCGGCGATGCGGCCCGGCAGACTCCGCGGCACGGCCTCTCGGCCCTGTCGGCGCCCGGGCTGCCCGGCCCTGGCCAGCCGGCCGGCCCCGGGGCCTGGGCACCGCCGCTCGACTCCCCAGGCACGCCGTCGCCCGACGGGCCCTGGTGCTTCAGCCCCGAGGGCGCACAGGGGGCGGGCGGGGTGCTGTTTGCGCCCTTCGGCCGGGCGGGCGCCCCGGGACCAGGCGGCGGCAGCGACCTGCGGCGGCGGGAGGCAGCGAGGGCTGAGCCCCGGGACGCGCGGACCGGCTGGCCCGAGGAGCCGGCCCCGGAGACGCAGTTCAAGCGCCGCAGCTGCCAGATGGAGTTCGAGGAGGGCATGGTGGAGGGGCGCGCGCGCGGCGAGGAGCTGGCCGCCCTGGGCAAGCAGGCGAGCTTCTCGGGCAGCGTGGAGGTCATCGAGGTGTCCTGACCCCTCCGCTGCCCTCGGCCCCGCCGCCCGCAGCCAGGCCCGTTATAAATGTATATTATATATAATGCAAAGAAAGGTAAATGGTTTTACTGGGATTTTTATCGAGAAGTAAATATTTCGATTTTTTATTTATTTAAGCTGTTCATTCTGGCAATGATTTGGCAACAGTGCGGGTGGTCCTCGAGCTCTATTTTTACTGTCTGGTATTTAAACTGAAACATACGTTTCTAAGCAATACGAGGCCACCTTCAGTCGCAAGCTGGGTGCCAGGCCTGGGGCCCCTCCCAGTTCCCCCGCCCCAGGAAACACTGCTGACCTTTGCAAAGGCTGCCGAGCTTTCGTGCACTTTTTACATAACAAAAAGGTGAAAAAAAGGAAAAAAAAACTTCTTTGCCACAAACTGAGCCGCAGAACCCCCCTTCTCCCCCCACCCACCTCCCCTGCTCCCTCCCTTCTCTGCGCCGGCCTAGGGCTCTGCACCAAAGCCATAGGATGGAGGAGCAGGAGCTGGTGTGCCCCGGAGAGGTGCGGCCAGCCCTCCATCAGCTCCAGGCACCAAATCTTGGTGGCAAGGAGGGCACCCCGCTGCCCGTTGCCCCAGAGCTGTTCTCTGGCAGGGGAGGACAGGCATTGGGCTTCATGGTGCCAGGGTGTTCAGAGGGGCTGAGAAATAGAACAGTGTGTGTAGGGGCTTCGGGCAGGGGGTTCTGGAACGTCAGATGAGGTGCAGCCCAGGGGAGGACAGAGGTGTTAGTGCCCCCAACTCCTGCCAGAGCCCCAGTCCAGCCACAGAGTGGCTCAGAAAGGCCATTCCTAGAGGGCTGCGGCCCTCCCTTCTCCCTTGCCCATGCCCCCAGAGCTGCCTGCCGGGCAGGGTGGCACCATTGCAGGAGAGGAGCTTGGCCTCCGGGGGTCAGGCAGGAGGCGCCTGGCTAGCCAGTGCTGGCTCCACTGGGCAGGAAGCCCTGGACCCCCAGGTATGAGGAGGGGGTGGTCTTAGGGTTCTGTTCCAGGTCTGCCCCGCCCCCCTCCCAGCCATGCCCCAGGCAGAACTTGGAATTCAGGTGTGCACCTGCAGGCTGAGGGGCTCTGTGAGCAGGTGCTGCTCACACAGGGAGTTCAGGCGCCAGCCAAGCCCCTGTGCTGCTGGGATAGGCCTGCTTCACTTAGGGAGCACTGCCTCAAGACAGGTAAAGCCCCCTCGTTTGCCCCCACCCCCATGGGGCCGCTCAGGAGAGAAACTCCCATTCACCCCTTTCCCAGGGTGCTCTCTCTCTAGGTGGCATGCCAGCCCCCAAACACAAGTGGCTTTTGGGCCCAGGTGGGTCAGCCTGCTGCCCCTGCCCCATACCCCCTCGGGCCATTGGGACCCCTGCCCTTCAGATGTCCTAGGGTCTAGGAGTGGGGCCAGTCACTGTGGGAAGAGGCCAGGGGCTTGGCCGGAGAGGCAGCCCAGGGCAGGACCCAGTCCTGAGTCCTGGAGCAGGGCCAGGGAGGCGCCCATCCCGCCCCAGCCAGCCGCCCTCTCTGCTGTTTCTTCTATTTGTTCTTCTTTTCACCCACAGCTCTGTGTTCCTGTCATCCCTCCTTTCAGCAAAAGTCCTGTTCCCGTTCCCTCTGTCCCCACCCACTCCTGTTCCCCCAAGAAAATAAGCTATCGTTGTATTTGCAATCTATGGATTAGAGGTTTAAGTATTTATTATTATTGGTTAATTATTATTAATTATGTAAATTTGCCTCCCATATGTCTGTTGCGTTGGGTTTCTGAGGAGACCCTGGGTGAGGAGGATGCACTGGCTTCCCGCTTCTCGCCCCCCACCCCTGTGCTGTCCGGGAGACAGTGGTCTGGGGCCACTGGTTGGGCCCCCTTCTCCCTTCCCCCTTCCCCTTGTCCCTTCTGCAGGCCGTTGAGGGGGGCTGTCTGTCTCAGTCTGTCTCTGCTCCCACTCTTGAGGCACTGGTTACCGCAAAGTGAGCAGCCAGCAGGGGGGCGAAGGTCCTGTGTTGGCCACTGCCTCCTCCAGTGCTGCAGGAGGCGGGCTGAGGCCCCACCTGGTGGCTTTCACCTGACCCAGCCCTGAGTCCTCTCCAAGCCTCTCTCCGGCCCCTCCCACCTGGCCACTGCCTCCTCCAGTGCTGCGGGAGGCGGGCCAGGGCCCCACCTGGTGGCTTTCACCTGACCCAGCCCTGAGTCCTCTCCAAGCCTCTCTCCGGCCCCTCCCACCTGGCCACTGCCTGGCATTGGGATCGCCCCAAAATGGACCCGGCCCCTCCTGTTATTTGCTGGGAAGTCCAGCGGAGGAGAGGGTGCAGGTCCCCCGCTGAGCCTCCAGTCTCTGTAGACTGGGCTGCCGGCCCTTCAGCCCCCCTTGGAGCCCCTCCCGCCACAGCCGCACCTTCTGCTCCCGGCCCCTCCCTTTGTATTTGGAGACAATGTGTTGTAATAAAGCTTAAAGTGGATGTTTTCCCCACGACTCCGCGCCTCTTCCTTCAGACTGGTGGTGGGCAGGGTGGGGGCAGAGGCTGCTGGGAGGCAGGCCTGAGGCCAGAGCCTGGTGTGTTGGGTCTGGAAACTTGCCCCAGGCTCACACCGCGGGTGAGCTCTGAGAATAGTCCCTGGGGGCCAGGCATGGGCACAGGTCCTCAGCTGCACCTTTAGGGTGTAAAACACACTTTTTCAGTTGTTACAGGCTAGTAAAAGCTTAAATAACTTAAAACGATATAAAACCTCAGTGTTACCCACCAGTCCCCTCACTCCCACAATCCCAATGTGAACAGTTGGATGCTTCCCTCCCAGCCCCTCCATGTGTGCTGTGTGCTGTGTGCATGTGTGTGGGTGCATATACGTACCAGCAGAAATAGGGGTCTAGCTATATATAGTGTCTCCAACCAGACTTTTTTTTTTTTTTTTTTTGAAATGGAGTTTCGTTCTGTCATCTAGGCTGGAGTGCAATGGTGCGATCTCCGCTCACTGCAACCTCCGCCTCCCCGGTTCAAACAATTCTCATGCCTCAGATTCCCAAGTAGCTGGGATTACAGGCACGTGCCATCACACTTGGCTAATTTTTGTATTTTTAGTAGAGATGGGGTTGCACCATGTTGGCCAGGCTGGTCTCAATCTCACTGACCTCAAGTGATCCGCTTGCTTTGGCCTCCCAAAGTGCTGGGATTACAGGTGTGAGCCACCGTGCCTGGCCTCCAACCAGCTTTTCAAATCTTAAGTAATGTGCATGTCATACAAGGATTAAAAGCACACCAGGGTATGTGGTAGAAAGTACTGGTTTGTCTCCCCCAGGCTTGTCCCCAGCCTCCAGGGTCCTCTCCCTGGAGGCAGCCCCAGCCCGGCCTGCAGAGCCCCGCCTCCCCCCCCCCCACCCCCCACCGAGGGCAGACCTGGCTGCTGCAGGTGCCACAGGCTGCAAAGATTCACAGTGTGCGTGCAGCCCGGGCTGAGGCTTGTCTACACTGTGGCGGAGGATACCAGATCTGTCCTTACCACACAGACCTGGTTCATGCAGCTTCTTCCAGGTTTAGTATACCTCTCCCAGGGACCCCTCCCAACCAGTGATGCTGTCCAGACCGTGTGTGTGAGTGCTCATGAGACAGGAGGAAGAGGAAGCAAGAGAGGGGAAGAGGAGGGGGCCAGTCCCTCCTCGGGGGCTGCAGGAGGAGGTAGGGTCCTTGAATCCTGCATCTTTAAGAGTCCTCAAAAAGGAGGAAAGCTAGAAACATAGTCTGATGCTCCCGCAAGGCTATTTTTGGCTCAAGAACATCTATTTATAACTCAGGCAGCCCCCAGCAGTCAATAAAACTGAGGCCTGGAAAGAGCTGATGGCTGACTCAAGCAGCACCGAGGTGCTCCCTTACCCCCTGTGCGCAGGAGCACCTGCAGCTCCAGCAGGTGGGTGACGGCCTCTCCTAGGATGCCCATCTGGGGCACATAGGTCTCAGGACCCTGGGGGCAGTGTAAGACTCCAGATGGAAGGAGGGGGTCTCATTTACCAACTCAATCAGGCTCCTAGTGGTCCAAGAGCTGCCCAAAGTAGGCGGTGAAGCAAGAGTTGAACACTGGTGGACTGGCCTCCAACTGCTACGTAGAGTCCCCTAAAGGCTTGTTGCCCTGCCTACAGCTGTGTCTCCCCCCAGGACAAGAGCTTTAGTTGCTGGATGGGTCTTGGATGGGTGGGTAGATGGGTGGATGAGGGAGGGAGACATGGATGGATGGATAGGTGAATTTATGGATGGGCAGATGGATGAATGGTGGATGGATGGATGGGTGCATGGATGGGTGGGTAGAAGGGCAGATGGATGAATGGGTAGAGGGATGCGTGGGGTGGGTGGGTGGGTAGATGGATGGATGGATGGATCAATGAATGGGTGGATGGGTGGGCAGATGGATGAATGGGTAGAGGGATGAGTGGGGTGGATGGGTGGATGGATCAATAGGTGGAGGGATAAATGGGATGGGTGGATGGATGGATAGAGGGGCAGATGGATGAATGGGTGGAGAGGGATGAGTGGGGTGGATGGATGGATGGATGGATGGATGGGCAAATGGATGAATGGGTAGAGGGATGAGTGGGGTGGGCGGGTGGATGGATGGATGGGCAGATGGATGAATGGGTAGAGGGATGAGTGGGGTGGGTGGGTGGATGGATGGATGGATGGGCAGATGAATGAATGGGTAGAGGGATGAGTGGGGTGGGCAGGTGGGTGGACGGATGGATGGATGGGCAGATGGATGAATGGGTAGAGGGATGAATGGGGTGGGTGGATGGATGGATGGATGGGCAGATGGATGAATGGGTAGAGGGATGAGTGGGGTGGATGGGTGGGTGGATGGATGGATGGATGGGCAGATGGATGAATGGGTAGAGGGATGAGTGGGGTGGGTGGGTGGATGGATGGATGGGCAGATGGATGAATGGGTAGAGGGATGAGTGGGGTGGGTGGGTGGATGGATGGATGAGCAAATGGATGAATGGGTAGAGGGATGAGTGGGGTGGGTGGTTGGATGGATGGATAGGCAGATGATGAATGGGTAGAGGGATGAGTGGGGTGGATGGGTGGGTGGATGGATGGATGGATGGGCAGATGGACGAATGGGTAGAGGGATGAGTGGGGTGGGTGGGTGGATGGATGGATGGATGGGCAGATGAATGAATGGGTAGAGGGATGAGTGGGGTGGGCGGGTGGGTGGATGGATGGATGGGCAGATGGATGAATGGGTAGAGGGATGAATGGGGTGGGTGGATGGATGGATGGATGGATGGGCAGATGGATGAATGGGTAGAGGGATGAGTGGGGTGGATGGGTGGGTGGATGGATGGATGGATGGGCAGATGGATGAATGGGTAGATGGATGAGTGGGGTGGATGGGTGGGTGGATGGATGGATGGATGGATGGGCAGATGGATGAATGGGTAGAGGGATGAGTGGGGTGGGTGGGTGGATGGATGGATGGATGGGCAGATGGATGAATGGGTAGAGGGATGAGTGGGGTGGATGGGTGGGTGGATGGATGGATGGATGAGCAAATGGATGAATGGGTAGAGGGATGAGTGGGGTGGGTGGGTGGATGGATGGATGGGCAGATGGATGAATGGGTAGAGGGATGAGTGGGGTGGGTGGATGGATGGATGGATGGATGGGCAGATGGATGAATGGGTAGAGGGATGAGTGGGGTGGGTGGGTGGATGGATGGATACGTGGGCAGATGGATGAATGGGTAGAGGGATGAGTGGGGTGGATGGGTGGGTGGATGGATGGATGGATGAGCAAATGGATGAATGGGTAGAGGGATGAGTGGGGTGGGTGGGTGGATGGATGGATGGGCAGATGGATGAATGGGTAGAGGGATGAGTGGGGTGGGTGGGTACATGGATGAATGGGTGGAGGAATGAATAGGATGGATGGATGGATGAATACATAAATGGGTATTCATAAATAGGCAAGTAGATGTGTGGCTAGGGAGTAGAAGGAAAGGAAGGTGGACAGATGGATGGACGGGTGGAGAAGTGATGGGGTGGATAGGAGGTGGAAGAATGGGTAAATGAGAGGGAGGGAGGGAGCGAAGGTGGGTGGGTAATAATGTTACATTGCGTTAGTTGCACTTCTGTTAGTCTTACATTAAAGCCAGCTTGTGCTTACCTCCATTCTCCATTGGACTGCAGATGGGTACCTGGTCTTTGCATACAGAAGGTACCCAGTGAATGTCCAATGAATAAGCCACATACTAACTGTCTTGGAGTGGGACATCACAGGAGAGACCCTCTCCAAGGCCCAGGGAGAGGAACAGGCTTGGTCAATGTCCCTTAGAGGGTCAGGGGCCAAGTTGGGGCTGGGCTTGGTTCCTGGTCTCTCAGGCACCATTCCTCTGCCTGCCGAGCCATCCCTGGAAGTAAGCTGGAGGCTGGTCTCAGTGGCACCCCTGCCAGCTGCCACTGTACTCCTGTGGATGGACTTACCAAGGCCCTTCCGGAGCTCAGAACTGAAGAGACTGAGCAGGAGAAAGGGCAGAGGGCCAGTTCTCAGGAAGCCTTTCAGGAGGAGAGTTTTGGCCTCTGAAGGCCAGGTTGTGTTTGGAGGGGCTGGGGGCAGGTGGGGCAGGAGGACATTGCAAAGGTCCACAGCATGGGAGAAAAGGCAGAGGTAGGAGCGCCCTGCGGGGAGCCAGGCAGAAGCTGAAGGCCTCTGGCCAAGGCAAGGCCCGACGGGAAGAGGGTGCATCTCGATGGGGCTCTGAATGGCAGGTGGGTTGGGGGAGTGTCTAAGAAGAGTGGTTCTTTGTGGGCAAGATGAAGGGAGGACTTGCTGTTAAGGGGAAGCCATGGAGTCTTTGAGGGGCCTATACAATGGACACCAGCAGAGGGTGCCCCAACCTCCCCGGAAGGGCGCAGGGCACAGGGCAGGGCGGGCCCTGGACAGAGGGTGGGAGAGGAGGGGCTGATTCTCAGCAGAGCTTCACAACAAATGCCTTGTGTCCATGGTGGGAGCACGTGGGGAAACTCAATTATCCCTGCAGGCAGCTGGGGCTCGGCGGCACAGTCCCTCCAGAGAAAGCACAGCCTTCTGGCCCAGGGGTGAGGGTCTAGACCTGTAAGGCAGCCCACAGTCCCAGGCCCCACTCCTGCCCCTGGGAATGGGTCTCCTGGGGTAGGAGCCTCTGTGGAAGACACTAGGCCCTGAAGGCGTGATGATGGCTTGTTTGTGAAGCGAGTGGTCCCTGACTGTGGGGACCAGAGCTCAGAGGGGATCCTGGTGGGGCGAGGGGAACATGCGTGTGCCTCCCACCCCCAAGCAGGGCGATGCCAGGGCAGGCCTTTGCCAAACACTAGGCAAGTGCCTGGGTGGATGCCCTTCAGTCCTTCCAAACTGAGCAGGTAGACTTGTCTTGCTTCAGAACCCTTCAATGTCCCCCTCCAGAGGGGCTGGGTTGGGGGTGGCCTCAGGGAGGGAAGGGGTATGGGAGCTGAACTGGAGTTGAGTGAGAATGCTGGGGAGAGGGAGGCCTCAGTAGTGGGGTGAGAGGAGAGGAACTCAGTGAAGGGCCTTCATTCTGGAAGGTGGGCGGGGGGAGGGGGACGGGTGCTAGGTCCAGGGGCATCTCTCCCAGTCTTTGCAGACACCACCCATGAAACCAAGGAACAGTGGCCTGTCCCCAGGCAGCTCCCAGGAGGAAGCTCTGGGAAGGAAAGGGGAAGACGCCGCTTACCCCTTCCCCGCCAGGAATTCTGCTGCCCCCCCCCCCCACCAAGTCCAGTGCCCTCCCACTCTGCCCCAGCACATGCGCCCTCATGGCTGAGCGCACCTGCAGAACGCACTCCCGCCCCCCACACACCTGGGGCCTCCGACCAGGACAGCGCAGGGCAGGTGACTACCCAGGAAGGGTAGGGGAATGTAGGGGGACTGGTGGCACCGTTGGCATCGCCGGCCGAAGCCTGCCCCTGACTGACGCAATTGCCGGCCGGTCGCAGCTATAAATAGCCAAGGAGAGCTGGAAATAGAAGCCAGGGAAGGGCCAGAGGCGGGTGGAGGGAGGAGCTTGGGCTTGAGCACCTGATGCCAGAGGAGGAAAACAAAACTCCATTCTAGGGCTCCCCTCCCTCATCCCACCCCAGCCCAGAGGGGCGTTTGCACCCGGAAACGTTTGGGGAAGCAGGGTGAAGTCAAGAACCTGCCCAACAGTGGGCGGGGCCTCCCTGCCGCGAGGGTCGGGGCGCGTGGAGCCTGCGCTGGCCACAGCCCGCGGTCTTCGGCTCTGGGTCATCTGCGGGGCAGTGGCCCCTCCTGATATCCGCCCGCCCCCACTCCCAAGCAGAAAGAGATTCCGGTGCCTCTCCACCCTCCCCACCCCACTCCCTCCGTCAAGCCCCTGGCCCAGGAGACCCCCGACAGCCCTGGAACACAGGGCCGATTGGCGAGATCAGTGGACACTAGGCCTGCCCAGAGCCTAGCCGGTGGGGGCGGCGTCCTGGGGGTGGGAGGGGGGCTTGTGGGGCAGTTTCCATATCTTCCTCGCCCAACCCAATCCTTCGGCCAGCGGCAGGAATGGGGCTCAGAGACTTTGCCGGCCTGGGGCAGGGCGCACTGCAGCCAGTGTGGAAGCCAGACCCAAACCGGACGGTCCCGGTGCCTGGTTCTGCTCGGTCACCTCTTGCCCACCTACCCAGCGGGCGCTCACAAGCTGGGGGCCCAAAAGAGGAACAGAAAACCAGAGGACTGGGGGGGCTTTGAGGCTGAAGGGCGAAGGCCCTTCCCGGACACCCTTGAGCCCTCCACCCTGAGCCCCTAGCAGCGCCAGGGAGTGACTTCAGTCCGGGTTCCTACTGTGGGGCCTCCGCCTCTCGGAGGGCATTAGGGCTGGCAAGGCGCGGCCGATGGGGCCCTTCGCCTGTGTGGACCGTAACAAGAAACTCCAGGAGGGGCAGGATTGAGGGCAGTAGGACGGGGTTGGTGTGGGCGAGGGGAGGTTTGGGTCCCCCCACCTCTCCGGGCAGCTGGTGGCGGCCCCGCCCTCCCTGAGGGCAAGGAACCCGCAGCCGGGAGGACGGCGGCTGCAGGCCAGTGTAGGGTGGGCGCGGTCCCATTAGAGCGGGCGGGGTCCGCCAGGATGGGCGGTGAGGTCAGCCCCGACGTAGGGGGCCCAGAGCATCGCTGGGTGGCTCGGGTGGCACCGGCGTCCGGGCCGCCAACCCCGCAGGAAGCGCCCAGTCACAATCCCGCCCCAGGGCTCCTCCACGCCCCGCCGCCCAGAGCCCAGAACCTGCCCAACCTGCGCGCGCCGCGGGGCGCAGCCGGGGGCTCCGAGGACCGGGAGGCAGGCGCGGGGGGTGCGCCAGCTGCTCGCGATGACCTCACGCCCGGCGGGGCCGCGCCCACTCCCAGACTGCCCTCCGCGGCGCTCTCCATCCGCAAAGCGCCGCTGCTCCTCGGCTCCCGCGTCCTGCGCGCCCCTCGCGGGTCCGGGTCCCCAGGCACTGCTGGCGTGGAGGGCGGGCGCGGGGAGCAGCTGCTCCGCTCCGAGCACGTGGGCAGCGCGGCTCCGGGTCCGGGGCCTAGGTGGGCAAACACCTGTCCCGCATGGGCGGGGCGAGCGCCCCTCCGGAGCCCGCCTGTCCGGCCCGGGGAACGTAGTATGAGCTCTTCTCCCGCCTCGGGCTTCGACTTGGGCTCGCCCGCCACCCCCACCCGGCGCTCCCCGAACCCGAGGCGGAGCGCAGCCCGGCAGCGCCATCTGCTGCCCGCGCCCGCCGAGGCTGGGGCCGGTTCTCGGGCCGGGGGCCCTGCACGCACGCCCACCCGTCGGGAACCCACCTGCTGGGAGGAAGGCACAGCCCTGTCTCCACCCCGCGCCCCCAGCCCACCCTCCTTCTAAGGCCCTCCCCTTGGTCCTTCGGCTGCCTCAGCTGTACCCACAACCTGCACCTGCTCTGGGCTTGCGGGTCCCGCAGGAAGGTCGCCCACACCGCGGCCCCAGGGACTCAGGCAGTCAGTGACCAGCTGTGTCTCCAGCCAGGTTTTCTCCCTGTCCTCCAGACCGGGCAATGCCAAATGGCAGCGGCCACCTGCGTCTGACTAGGCCCCCATCCCAACGCCTCCAACCCCCTTCGCGGCCACCCCCCCTTCTCAGGTAAGCAGTACACCTAGCTGCTGTTCTTGGCTCTCCCGCCACCACGCCCTCACCTGGATGGTTCCGCCAGACCCCGCAGGCCCCTTAGTCCGCCCCAGCCCTACCCAGCTGTCTACAAAGCGCATTCCTGGAAGGGCCCCTCCCTGGTCTGCCGGTGTGCTCTGCGCTCCTCCCCCAGCCCAGGTGCAGGGCGGCACTCTGAATCCCCTACCGTGCAGAGGGCATGTTCACCTCGGCCCTTGACTTCCCAGCAGGGCCTGGCATTGAGGGTGCCGCCCTGGGATATTGTGTGTGGCCTGAGGCTGCTGGAGCCAAGCACCGCAAACCAGGCGGCTTCAACAGAAACGTCTCTCCAGCCCTGCGCGGTGGCTCATGCCTAGAATCCCAGCACTTCGGGAGGCTGAGGCAGGCGGATCATCTGAGGTCAGGAGTAAGACACCAGCCTGGCCAACATGGTGAAACCCCAGTCTCTACTAAAACTACAAAAATAAGCCGGGTGTAGTGGCAGGCACCTGTAATCCCAGCTACTCAAGAGGCTAAGGCCGGAGAATCCCTTGAACTCGGGAGGTGGAGGTTGCAGTGAGCTGAGATGGCGTCACTGCACTCCAGCCTGGGTGACAGAGCAAAATTCTGTCTCAAAACAAAACAAAAAAAGAAGAAAGAAGGAAAGAAAGGAAGGAAGGAAGGAAGGAAGGAAGGAAGGAAGGAAGGAAGGAAGGAGGGAGGAAAGAAAGGAAGGAAGGGAGAGAAAAAGAAAAGAAATGTCTCTACAAGGTCTGGAGGCCATGAGTCCAAGATCCAGGTGTAGGCAGGTGGGCTCCGTGGAGGGCCAGGAGGGAGCATCTGCCTCAGCCCCTCGCTGCAGCCTTTCACAAGGCCGTCCACCCACCCTACTCCAGTGTGGCCTCATCTTAACTAGGTTCTTCTGCAGTGACCCTAGTTCCAAATAATGAGGTCACATTCTGAGGTACTGGGGTCAGGACATCGACATATGAATGTGGGATGCACAATCCCACCCATAACAGGTATCGGTGGGAGAAGGAGGCGTGTGCAGGCTCTATGACCACCACCGGGAACCCTTCAGACTGCCCTCACCACACTGCTGGCAACCAGTCCTAGGAACGGGCTCCGCAGAGGTGAGTTTGCAGAGCCAGCATCCCAGGAGGTGGGGCCCGCATGGGTTTGATAAGTAAAAGCTGTCAGGCTGTCAGGGTCCATCTGGTCCGGGGACTCCCACCCTCCTGCCCTCCAGCAATGCCTGGGGGGATCTTTAAATGCAGGGCCCAGGGACCTACATAGCCAGCCTCTGTGGGGGCAGGGCTCAGGAATCTGTATTTCCAAAGTTTCCCTACGGAGTCTGCTGCATCTGTTGATGAGACATGTACATTTGGGGACCTGAAATCTAGGGGTCCCTACCCAGTGGATGGAGGGGACAATAGTGAACCCCAGCTGGCTAGAGGCAGAGCCAGGAGGAAGGCTGAGCCTCCTGGCCTCCATCTGTAGTTACTGTGTGGGTGCATCCCCACGAGGCCGAGGCCCTGCTCCTTCACTGCTTCCTGACCCTCCACGCCTCCAGGCCACGCTTTGGCCATGTGCACCATGCACTCTGTGTCCCAGGGCACAGGCTCCCACCAGGACAGCTTCTCCCAGTCTGGCTCCAGGCACTGCGTGGCTTGTGGGAGCAGCAGCAGCTCCCACTGGACCCTGGAGGGCAGAGCTGTCCTGCCAGTACCCCACCTGTGTAATGGGCCTCAGTGTCCCAATCCAGGAGAGGGAGCTGGAGCAGGCCTGGTGCCTCCTCCTTCCCATAGGGAGACGGGGAACCTGTGCACAGGCTAGCTCTGTGGGGGCCAGTTCCATACTGTGCCGCACCCACTGGGCCCTCTGGGGCCTCAGGGTCTTGTCTGCAAAATGGGAATTGGGGAGGGGTGGAATGTCAGTAACTTACTTTCCCGTTCCTGCTTTTTGTGGATTTTTTCCATTAACATGTGTGGAACCCTTCTGGTGCTGGGGATGGCCCCTCGGAGCCCCCGTGCCTGGGAAACAAGCCTCTGTCATCACTCTGAGATCAGTGGTTTCTGTGACAGGTGTGTACAAAAGGTGCCACCACTCAGGAAGGCTGCCTGGAGGAAGGGGCATGTGAGAGAGGCCTTGTGTGATGAGCAGGAGTTCTTTGAGAGGAGCAACTCCTTCCCAACAGTAGCAGCACATTCGAAGCCCCGCAGTGCAGGGGAGCCCATGACTGCAGCCACGGGAGCCCCTGACCGACCACACACCCACCTAGGGCCGGGCACCCTGCCGAGTGCACAGGATGAAGTAGTTCCTAGAGCTGGGGAGGGGGCAGGGAACGGTCAGTTCCCAAGGATGTCAGACTCTGTCCCCAGGGCAAGGGGAGCAAACCTGCAGGTCCTTGCCTGAAAGGGTGTTTTGTTAGGGGCTGGCACCACCGGCCAGGAAGGGTGGTGGATCCCGGCCGGGTGGGGGTGGCAGGAAGGGTGCTCATTGGGGACACAAAGGGCAGGTTCCCAACTCCCCAGGTCAGTCACCTCTTTGCTTCAAGGAATGGCCTGCAGGTGACCCTGGGGGTCAGGGCCTCAAGGAGCAACCCACGGCAGCCTGGACGCTGCCTGCCCTGAGCGCTCTCTGCCCAGGTCTGGACAAGGACTCTGCCCATCCTGCACTTGCCAGCTGGCAGGTGGCCTGTGCCCCAGCCTCAGGCCTCATCTGCATTTGCAGATCACTGGCACCTTACAAGAATGATTCCCAGGGGAGATGAGCCCCGTCTCAGCCTCAGGTAAAGCACACCCTATATGCTATGAATCATGTGGCCGGTAACTGCACCTGTTACAAGTTGAATTGTGTGCCCCAGAAAGATATGCTCAGAGATGGGGCACGGTGGCTCACACCTGTAATCCCAAGGCTTTGAGAGTCCAATGCAGGAGGATCGTTTGTACCCAGGAGGTTGAGGCTGCAGTGAGCTGCGATGGTACCGTTGCACTCCAGCCTGGGCAGCAGAGCCATACCCTGTCTCAAATAAATATATATATATACACACACACACACATATATACACACACATACGTGTGTGCGCATAAAATAATAAACATATTTTATATATATACATATATATGTGTGTGTATGAGAGTGTGTATATATGTGTACATATATATGTATATATATGTGTACATATATATGTATATATATGTGTACATATATATATGTATATATATGTGTACATATATATATGTATATATATGTGTACATATATATGTATATATATGTGTACATATATATGTATATATATGTGTACATATATATGTATATATATGTGTACATATATATATATATGTATATATATATATGAGACAAAGTCTTGCTCTGTCACCCAGGCTAGAGTGCAGTGGCACCATCTCAGCTCACTGCAACCTCTGCCTCCCAGGTTCAAGTGATTCTCCTGCCTCAGCCTCCCGAGTAGCTGGGACTACAGGCATGTGCCACTACGCCTGGCTAATTTTTGTATTTTCAGTAGAAACAGGGTTTCACCATGTTGGCTAGGCTGGTATTGAACTCCAGACCTCAGGTGATACACCTGTCTCGGCCTCCCAAAGTGCTGGGATTACAGGCATGAGCCACTGCTCCTGGCCAGGACAGGGCAGCTTTCTGGGAGCAGAGGCTGCAGCCCTCCCTCTACTGGACCTCAGTGAATCCTGGCTAGCGGGACCTTTGATGGGGGTTGTTGCAGCCGCCTGCAGGTCCTGGGGGAGGAAGTGGCCTGGAGGGCCGTGCGTGAATGGGCAGGTGACAGCCCTGGATGTGGGTAGCAGCATCCACCAGAGATGAGCAGGAGCACCCAGCCTGCCTCCCTGTGGTGCCGCCGTGGCCTGTTTACTTAGCCACACCTGGAGATAGGGAGGCAGAGGGCACCCTCTCAGAGAGCACTGGCAGCTGCTTCAGGTCATGCACACGGAGCTTTCGGCTGCACCTGGCTCATGGGACGGCCCCAGCCATAATCCCAGGTGACACTGATTATCAGCATCCTCATGCCCTGCCTGCATTCCGGTCACCCCAGGGGCACCAGGCCCCCACGGAGAGCTAAGCCAAATGCAGGGGCTGTCCTGGCCTCTGGAGGGGAGGCGGGGATGACTGAAGCCTGGAGAACACTGCCCAGCCTGCTCCCAAGGGTGACCACCTTGACTGTTTCCTCAAGACCCAGGGAGGAGCATCCCTTTGGTAGGCAGGTCATGGTGGGACAATGGCGGGCTTGAGAGCAGATGTTTCTGGAACCCCAGCTGCCCGCCCACTCGCTGAGTGACCTCGGACAAGCCTCTGGTCCTCCAGGAGCCTCAGCCTCCTCTCTGGATTGTCACTGCCTGGGGATTAAGTGAGGGAGCAGGAGCAGGACAGCAGGCACAGTGCGATCAGCAGGAGGGCATCTGAGGCGTTTGTTGAAGGCTTGGAAGAGCTGGCGGCACCTTGGGACCGGGAGGCAGGGCAGGCTTCTGCGCCACCATCCCCAAATCAGACTCTGTTCAGGTCTAGGAGGTACAGGGAATGCTGAACCATGGGGGTGCTGGGGATGGAGGGGCTGCCCAGGCAGGCGCTGGCAGCTGTGGCTACCCTCAGCCTCACTGGGGACTGTCCCAAGCACAAGAACCAGCTCAGAGGTGAGAGGGAGCCATTGTTCTCCAGGCTCTGCAGCGTAGGAGAATGTGTGTGTCACGAGGCCTACCCCGTGCCAAGGCCTCTCGGCGGCGCAGCCTGGGACAGAGAGGGGACGCTGAGCACCAGCTATGTCCCCTGCTGGCCCCGAAAGGCAATGAGTGGGCCCGAGAGAAGGACAGACAGGGTCAGAGCAGAGTCCGTGAATGACCCCGCAGGGCTTGGCCTGCATCCTGGAGTCAGCGGTTGACTGGGGAATCAGGTCTTTCCCCTGAAACATGCCATGAGGTCACCCTTATCCTGGAAGCCCCAGCTTTCCACCCCACAGTGGAGGACAGCTGCCCGAGGATCTCCACAAAGGTCCTGCCTGTAAGGGGTCCCCAGTCTAGATGGAAGCATGATTGGGAAAATCAAGCCCCTCACTTCTCTGGCCAGGAACTCCCAGTGGGCACAGCAGCCCCTGGGGCTGCTCTAGAGCCAGGCAGAAGGAAGGAGCCTGATTAGAAAGGGCAGGGGCTGTCACGAGGCGGCTTCAATCCACAGAAATGGACTGTCTCTCAGTCCTGGAGGCCAGAAGTCTGACATTGTCAGCATCACCAGGGCTGGTTTCTTCTGAGGGCTGTGAGGAAGGGTCTGCTCCAGGTGTCGCTCCTCGGTTTGTGTTGTAGATGGCCTTCTCCTTCCTGTGTCTCTTCACACTGTCTTCTCTACGTGAGGCTGTGTCCAAACTCCCCCCGACCCTTTTTATTTTTTTTGAGACAGTCTCTCTGTCACTCAGGCTGGAGTGCAGTGGTGTGATCCTGGCTCACTACAACCTCTGCCTCTCGGGTTCAAGCGATTCTCCTGTCTCAGCCTCCCGAGTAGCTGGGATTACAGGCGCCCACCACCAGGCCCAGCTAATTTTTGTATTTTTAGTAGAGACAGCGTTTCACCATGTTGGCCAGGCTGGTCTCGAACTCCTGATCTCAGGTGATCCACCCGCCTCTGCCTCCCAAAGTGCTGGGATTACAGGCGTGAGCCACCGCACCCAGCCTAAATTCCTCCTTTTTATAAGGTCACCAGTCATATAGGATTGGAAGCCCCCACCCCACCAGGACCTCATCTTAACAAATGACATCTGTGGACAGGGCATGGGGGCTCACGCCTATAATCGAGACCAATCTGGCCAATGTGGTGAAACATCGTTTCTACTAAAAACATAAAAATTAGCCGAGCGTGGTGGTGGACACCTGTAATCCCAGCTACTCAGGAGGCTGAGGCAGGAGAATCAATTGAACCTGGGAGGCAGAGGTTGCAGTGAGCCGAGATCGCACCATTGCACTCCAGCCTGGGCAACAAGAGCAAAACTCCATCTCAAACAAACAACAACAACAAAAAATGACGTCTGCAGTGACTCTTTTTCCAGATAAGGTCCCTTTCAGACCTTACTGGTACTAGGGGTTAGAACTGCCTCTTATCTTTCCAGGGGACACACGTCAGCCCATGACACTGAGTGTGCCGTGACCCTCTCCCTGGCTCTGTTTACCCCAGGGTACTGGTCATTTTGAATGCGCTGCCTGCTTTATTATTTTTTTCACTGACACTCCACAGCTCCTCAAGGGGAGGCTTTAGTCTGTTGTGTCTACTACTGTTCTCCAGGCACCTTACAAGTGCCTTGTCCTTGTACGTAGTTGGCACTCACTACCTATTTGTCAGATGAATGGGTGAATGGAAGGAGGAGAGGGCTGAGTGGGAAACGCTATGGGTCTTCCTTCCTGCCAGAACTGTCAACCAAAAGCAAACCTTAATCTCCAGAGATGCCCAGAAATGGGTGCCACCCTCCCAGACCCCAAAGTTGCAGAGAAGGGGCCCCTCTAGGATTCCAGTCTCACTCCCACGTGTTGTCTGTGCGGAAGACAGAGAGTGTTGGTGATTGACAGTGGATTGAAAGATGTAATGATTCCAACTGCAGCTGTTCTTCCAGACGTGGTGTCCTTATTGGAGCCAATCAACAGTTATGATTCAGCTATTGATCAGGCAGCCACACCCACCTCAATCCCAATAAACAGAGAACATCAGAAGCAGGGTGTTGTTATTTGGAGAAATTGGCAGTATACCTCCCCACTCAGGCCTCAGGGTCCTGCAAACTCGAATTCGCTCTGCCACAATTTCATCCACATCGACTTTTTTATTTTTTTTTGAGACAGAGTTTCACTCTTGTCGCCACGCTGGAGTGCAGTGGCGCCATCTCGGCTCACTGCAATCTCTGCCTCCAGGGTTCAAGCAATTCTCCTGCCTCAGCCTTCGGAGTAGCTGGGATTACAGGTGCACGCTACCACGCCCAGCTAATTTTTTTTTGTATTTTTGGTAGAGATGGGGCTTTACCATGTTGCCCAGGCTGGTCTCCAACCCGCCTCAGCCTCCCAAAGTGCTGGGATCACAGGTGCCTGCCACCACGCCCAGCTAATTTTTGTATTTTTAGTAGAGACGGGGTTTCACCATGTTGGTCAGGCTGGTCTCAAACTCCTGACCTCAAGATCCGCCCGCCTTGGCCTCCCCCAGTGCTGGGATCACAGGCGTCAGCCACCGCGCCCGGCCTCGTCCACACAGATTTTGATTGTCTCTTAGGATATCACATCGTATGAATGATGCCACGTTCACAGGCCCCGGAGCCGAGGACCTAGATACTCTAGAGGCTAAATAATACACGTGTGGCCGGGCGCGGTGGCTCACACCTGTAATCCCAGTACTTTGGGAGGCCGAGGTGGGCAGATCATGAGGTCAGGAGTTCGAGACCAGCCTGACCAACATGATGAAACTCTGTCTCTACTAAAAATACAAAAATTAGCCAGGCGTGGTGGTGCACGCCTGTAATCCCAGCTATGTGGGAGGCTGAGACAGGAGGATCCCTGGAGCCCAGGAGGCAGAGGCTGCAGTAAGCCGAGATTGTGCCACTGTACTCCAGCCTGGCAACAGAGCAAGACTCTGTCTAAAAAGAAAAAAAGAAAAAGAGAAAAAATATACATGTGCTTGCCAAGAGATATATCCCATGAACATTTAGGGATTTGGCAACATTTTGGGGATCTAATGATCTGAGAACATTCTTTTCAAAGTAAAGGATGGGCTGTTTCACCTCCAGCACCATGATACACCGATGGATGTGTCAATTAGACATTGTCTTTTCCTTCAAGTAGCAGAAATTCGGAAGAACGATGATTTAACCCATATTTCTTTCAAATAACATAAGCACCTTGGTAAGAGAATCAGGATTGTCGTGGAGGGTTCTGAGTTTCAGCAGGAACCCAGGTTCTTTCTGCCTTTCTGCTCTCCATCATCACTTCCTCATGCTCCAAGGTGGCTGCAAGAGCTCCAGCCATCATTTTTTTTGTCTATTCTGGTCAGGAAGCAGGAGACTGGGACAGGGCTGGGGTAGACAGGAAGGACAAAAAGGATTTCCTGGAAGCTATGCAATAATTTCACCTTACATCTCGTTGGCCACCTCGCCTACCTGGGAAGCTGGATAAAATAGTTTTTCCTGTGGTCATATTGCTCAGCATTCAATTACTAAGTAAAAAGAGGAGAAGGAAGGAGGAGGAAGAGGGGGAGAAGCAAAGAGAAGAAAAAGGAA
The DNA here is from genome assembly GCF_000001405.40 of Homo sapiens. NCBI lineage: Eukaryota > Metazoa > Chordata > Mammalia > Primates > Hominidae > Homo > Homo sapiens. Next base: position 1,538,119 of record NC_000011.10, on the reverse strand, counting down.
ATGGAAGTAGACGTGGGGCAGCTAACCTACCCTCTCTGACCAGTACTTACTGAATGTGCTGTTCTTAACTAATTAGCAAGAGACCCAAGAGTGCATGAAAGCTTTAAATGTGCCCCAGATTGAAAACAATGTTTAGCTGGAGCTGCAGTACAAGCAGTTCTGTCAGTTGCCACTTTTTTTTTTTTTGTCTCATTCTTGCTGCCCACACTAGAGTGCAATGTCATGGTCTTGGCTCACTGCAACCTCAACCTCCCAGGTTCAAGTGATTCTCCTGCCTCAGCCTCCCAAGTAGGTGGGATTACAGGTGCCTGCCACCATGCCCGGCTAATTTTTGTGTTTTTAGTAGAGATGGGGTTTCACTGTATTGGCCAGGCTGGTCTCAAACTCCTGACCTCAAGCGATCCACCTGCCTTGGCCTCTTAAAGTGCAGGGATTATGGGCATGAGCCACCACGACCAGCCTGGGGGACAGATTCTTGTGACCCTTGTTAAGACTTTGGTAACCAAGTAATCCTCCAGGGAAGGATGGTGGTACACTCATCTCATGGGCCCCAGGCTGGGTCTGGGTGCCAGGGGAAGGCTGGTGAGGACCTTGGAGCTGCTGCCTCAGAGGGCCCTGGCCAGGGAAGAGGTGTTTGCCGTTGCCTGGCTGTAAAAGTGGGCAGTTCCAAGAGGGCAGTGAGATTTTCAAGTGGGATTAGCATGGAGTGCAGTTATCTTTGCATATGTGGTTTCAAATCTATTGGACGTTGTGAATCATGAATTCTTTAACAATTCCTTAAATATATGCTTCCCCCCCTCCTTTTTTTTTTTTTTTTTTTTTTTTGAGACGGAGTCTTGCTCAGCTGCCCAGGCTGGAGTGCAGTAGCGCGATCTTGGCTGGCTCACTGCAACACTGTTTCCCGGGTTCAAGTGATTCTCCCCTCTCAGCCTCCTGAGTCGCTGGGATTACAGGCGCCTGCCACCACACCCGGCTAATTTTTTTGTGTTTTAGTAGAGATGGGGTTTCACCATGTTGGCCAGGCTGGTCTTAAACTCCTGACCTCAGGTGATCCGCCTACCTTGGCCTCCCAATGTGCTAGGATTACAGGCGTGAGCCACCGCGCCTGGCTGTGCTTCCTGTTTTAAGAGGTACATTTCAGTGGTCAAGTACTGCTTTTCCTCCAGAGCCTGTTTTAAGCTGGTATACAAGGATGCAGGGCAGAGAGGGCCCAGGGACTACTCTGTCTCTCCTTCCCTCTGCTCATTTCACATGTTTATTGAGCATCTACTATAAAAATAAGTTGTAAAAGCTGAAGAGTGAGCGAGCCGCAGGGACCCACAGGTCTCTCTCATTCTGGTCCACTGCTCACTTAATCAGGCTCTGCCACTGGAGAGGGGTCAGCGGTGAGTGAAGAAGCTTGCTCCTATCTCAGCAGCTTTTGTGTGGTCATTGCCAGCGCTTTCGTTGGCCATTAATCCTTCAACTAGCTGTCAGTCTGGGATTGGGGAAATGTGTTATTTTTGACTATTTCTTGATATTTTTAATTAATTCAAAGCACTCACTGTCAGCCAAGTAGTTAGTTTGGAATACAGGTCTCTTACGTTTTAAAAGTTTTTGTTTAAAGAAAGGATTTCTTTGAATTAGTTCATCTCAGATGACAAAGTATGGACTTGACAGTAGCAGCAAACAGTGCCTTTGCCTGCCGTGTTCTCTTCTGATCACCGGAAGAGTGTTCTGTGGATGTGCAAGTGAAAAGCCATGTCTTCCTTGTCACTGGGAGAAGAGCTAAGAGCCTGGCCTGCTGAGCATTCTAGCAGCCTTATCATCAGCACTCCTAGCCGCTCCTGAGGAACGGGGGCCCTGCAGGGAAACCTGCTCGGGAAACCGGAACAGAGCCCAGCACGTCAGGACTGGTGATGATGAGCGTGGCTGGGGCTTTTCCGGAGAAGGTTTGCAGGCATGGCTCTCCACCATCTCTTTCTCGTAGGTTTCCTTTGCTTGGCATTGCTTTGAGTTTGCTGGTGAAGTAGCTGTAAAGGTAAACTTTTTTTTCTCTCTTTCTTCCTTTTACAAAGAGTAATTTGTAACTTGAAAGCGGTTTCCACTTTTTGTATACAAGCTCTGTTCCATTCTGGGCAGCCAGTGACAGGATGTCATCCCGCGCCACTGAGTTGTAGGCAGGTGGAGAGGAGAAGCTTGAGCTGCGGTGGTTTCTGTGGAGGCTAGGGAAGGGAGGAACTCTACCACACACTGTTTGGAGTTTAGGAGAAACTTTTGTCTTGTCTTCAACTGACAACAGGCATTTGTGAAGAGGTGTGTGTGCAGTCAGTGTTACCCAACGGAACGCACAGCCCAGGAGCAGCTGAGCATCTGGGAATACAGGAGAGGAAACACACTTCCTCCCCTCCCGACTGATGGGAATGTAGCCGCCCTCCTGCTGGCCCTGCACAGGGCCCAGTGTGGTGGAGTTTGTGGGGAAAGGCCCCTCTCCTCCAGGCACCTTCTCTGGCTGGCCACAGCCAGGGCAAGGGGGCACGTATCTCAGGCACCCTTCCTTGGGGCTCTCCTGGCTCCTTCTGAGGCCGCACGGTGCCTTGACACCAGTGCCCTGGTTACTCTCCAAGCAGCAGGTGAACTGTGGGTTAGCGGGCTCGGGCTGTGGCACCACAGTGCTGGTGATTGAATACAGACTGCAGGTGAATGGGGAGGGCCTCTCTGGGGCCGCTGGCCTGTGCTTACTGACTCAGCTCTGATTGAAGACAGACTGCAGGTGAGTGGGGAGGGCCTCTTTGGGGCTGCTAGCTTGTGCTTACTAACTTGGCTCTCCCAGCTGCCTTCAGGGGTCCTCCTCTCTGACCGAGATAAAATCTCGTGAGTGTGTGTCTCTGCAGGAATGTGAATGGAGTGATGATGACCTTGTTTTTCTTCTTTCTTTTCTTTGCCGCATGGGAGGATGTTACTGGTGGTTGACAATTGATTCTGATTATGAGGACACCCAGGCTGAACTTGCTTGAATCTCTAGAGTTCTTTTAACAGCCTCATTGAGGTATAATTTACATACCATAAAGTTAACTTAAGTTTGCAATTAAATAATTTTTGGTAAAATTACAGGGCTGAGTAACCATCACCACAGTTTAATTTGAGAACTTTGCTATCATGCCCCAGAGAAGCCTCATGTCCACTGGCACTGCTCCCCATCCCCACCTCCAGCCTCGAGGCGGCCACCAGTCTCCCGCCATCTGTGTGGGTGAGCTGAATCATGCAAATGGAATCCCAGTACACGGGCTGTGTGCCTGTCCTATGCGGCGCAGTGTTGCGAACGTCCATCCATGGCGTTGCGTGTGTCTGCAGCTCCGTCCTCTTCATCACCAAGTGCAATTCCGTCCTGGGGAGATGTGCATCTGCCACTCTCCTTCCACCACTGATCCGCGGTTTGTGACTGTGACTTTTAGGACAGTGAGCTGGGCCTGTTCCTCAGCCGGGGGCCCCAGATTCCTGAGTTCATGGGCTGCCGTGTACCAGGCTCTGTGCTGGGGCGGAGGTCCAGAGATGGAGACACAGCCATTCCCGCTTTCCTAGAGCTGTCAGGCTGGTAGAGAAGGGCCCCAGGCAGCAGGAGAATTGAGGAGTGGGTGAGTGCGGCCAAAAGCAGGGGGCTCGGTTAGAGCAGGTATGAAGGGCTTTTCCAAGAGGGAAGGAGGAAGGAGGTGGCCCAGGAAGAAGCAGCAGCACATGCGGAGGTGTGAGCAGAGAAGCCGGCTGGCCCAGGTCTGCTGTATCTCCAGCGGGCAGCCCTGGAAGGTCTGGTTTCAGGAATAGCCTCTTTCCATCAGGGCTCCACCAGGGCACTCTTAGGCCTGGGTTTCAGAGGTGTTTGCCTAGGGTGGTGTTGCATTCAGAGTCCTCTTCTTTAAAAAAAAGTTTTCCATCATCCCTCCCGTTTCCAAATTAACCTTAAAAAGAGCAGTGGTCGGCCAGGTGCAGTGGCTCACGCCTGTAGTCTCAGCAGTTTGGGAGGCCGAGGCGGGCGGATCACGAGGTCAGGAGGTTGAGACCATCCTGGCTAACACGGTGAAACCCCGTCTCTACTAAAAATACAAAAAATTAGCCGGTCGTGGTGGCGTGTGCCTGTAATCCCAGCTGCTCGGAAGGCTGAGGCAGGAAAGTCACTTGAACCCGGGACGTGGAGGTTGCAGTAAGTGGGGATGGCGCCACTGCACTCCAGTCTGGGTGACAGAGTGAGGCTCCATCTCAAAAAAAAAAAAAAGCAGTGGTCGTGGATACATGGAGCCCTTTTTAGAATGAGCCTCCCCGTAAACCCCTAGCGACACCCCTCCCATTTCTCCTGCTCGGACTGACTACTAGGAACCCTTGCACAAGTGTCCTTGAAGCTGGGGGTGAGCCCACCAGGGGAGCTGCAGACGGCCTCCCCTGGTCGGGGGCTGGTAGACAGCAGGGCTGCGTTTCTCATCACGAGTGTATCTGAGACAGCGCAGCCCCCACCTTTGCCACCACCAAGTGCCACCCTTGTGTCCTGGCTCATGAGGGCCTCTTCCCAGCCCTGGGAAAGCCAGCCACCCTAGGGGTCTGCCTGCCAAGTGCTGCTGTCAGATCGAGCAGGGGCTTGGTGTACCACCAGACCCCCTCTCCAGAGGAAGCTGTGGTCTCTGCTGCGGTCATCCGGTACGGGAGGAGGGGTGTTGAGGCCACTGTGAGGGAGGACCCCTGTGCCATGCCCCTGTCACCCCAGTGTTTCTCCTTTGTCCACACAGCGGTCTGGGTTAGAAACACCAGGGCCCACTGCAACTTTTGTTAGGGCCACTTAGTGCTGGTTGGGAGCCACAGGGCCGTGGCCTTTGTTTCTCCGTGGTGATTACTGCTTGTGCAGCCTCCTGCCAGTGCTAGACCTGTCTGGAAGGGAAGGGCGTGTGCTGTTCCCGTCTGTCTTTGGCCAGAAGAGCCTCCCATTCTTTGCCTTCACCATGTTTGTTTTTTTCTGCACAGGATTTCTCCTGGCTGGGGCACACCCATTGGTGTTCAGTGGAAGTAGAAACAATTGGAACAAACAAAATGTGGAAGCTTAAAGAGAAAAGAAGGAGATGGTGGGCAGGGCTTCCAGGCCACGTGTGATCTGTGGCACTGCTTGGCCTGTGGACTGTGGCCACAGTCGCGTTGCTGTCCCTGGCTCCCTTCTCTTTGAAGGTCTCCTTTGCCAGCGCACACGGCTCCCTGGGCTGGAATGTCTGTTCATTCATCCCTGCAGTTGTTTGCGGATGTCCCGGGGCTAACGTGAGTTAGTTAATGTGAGTGAGTTAAGTGCCGCAGCTCCTGTTTTTCGCCCTGCGTGGTGGTGATTTTGGTCTGTGTCATCGAGCATTTCGCTGTGGTGGGCGGGGAGGCAAAGAGCTCCCACAAAGGTATGCAGCTTTTCCCTGCAGAAAGCAGGCAAGCTGGAGGGTTGGAAAGCATGGAGGCACCATGCTGTTTCCCTTTTGCCCGTGACCTTTGCGGGTTGGGAGACTTTTCTTCCAAGCACCCTTTCAGCAGCGCCTTTTCCCCTCCAGACATGGTGGCTGTGCAGGCTGTGGGCTGGCAGACCCTATCCCCACAGCAATGCAATCTCAGGAGCCCAGGTGGGGCTGTTGTCTCGGGGTTTGGCCTGCACCGTCTACGGAAGCTCCTAACTCCTGCTTTGCTGGGACTTGTCCTCAGCCCATGGAAAGGCCTGATGGTGCCAGGTGGCCCTGAGGAGCCAGATGCCTGAGCCTGGGGCCAGGCCTGGGCGTGAGCCCAGGAGCATAAAATTAGCTCCGGCGTGGGTTGAAAGCTGCTGGCGTGAGCATGGCTTGTCTGTGTTGAGTTTGTCTTGCACAGCCCTGGCCTCTCCCCACAGCCTGCGGCCAGCCCTCTACATGGGCGGCCGCTCTGGGTTCCTCCTCCCGGCACATCTGCCCTTCTGCTGCGTGCCCTGTTCTTTGTGCCACATGTGACAGGACCATTTGTCATAGCAGTGGTGTCATGAAATACAAGAGTGTGGGCCTGAGAATCTGGGTTGAGTCAGGTTCCTGTTGGAGGCCTGCATGCGCGCAGCCTGCTCTGAGTGCTCCGGACACGCGTGAACAGAGGCAACAGGAGCCACCCCTGGGCAGCTTCCCCACTGCCGAGGGGGACGGGAGTAAGGAGGTGTGGGATGGGGTGCCTGGAGGGGGTGCGTGGGAGAGCTGTTTGAATAGGAGCTCTAGAAGGCCTCTTTGAGAAGGTGCTGTTGAGCTGAGACCTGCGGAGGTGAGGGAGGGGACTCGCCATGCAGGCCTATGGAGGGAGCCCTGGCTCCCTGGTGCTTTGTCTCAGAAGGGCTGCCTTTGCCTCCTCCCCCTCATGGTTCCAGGGACACGTGGGTTTTTATTTAATATTTTTCAGTCGATTGTCGTCTTTAATAATATTTTGATGAATGGGCTGTGTCAAATTTAGCCAGCAGGAGCGCATGTGACTCAGCTCCCGTATCAGTTGAATAGACGAAGGGGCAGGGAGGGAAGCCTCTGTGAGCAGGAACTGGTGAGCCTGGCTGTGTATCACCTGGATAACCTCTGAGCTGAAGAGCTGTGCCAGCAAAGCCCTTGAGCTCATGTGGGCATGGGGGACAGTCTGAGGACAGGAGGAACAGCAAGGAGACCTCAGGCTGCGCTCAGGAGGCTTCGGTGGCAGGTCAGATTGCTCTTACAATTTGGCAACCATCTTATGAATATTGTGGGTTAAAAGAAATAATCAGTGTCACCGGTAGCCAAGTTTTTAATGTTAAAAAAGATGACAATATAGAATAAAATGAACCCCTGCAGGGTTCCGTGGGGAGTATTACCATGAGAGCATCATTCTGTGCGTAGGCTGTGCTCCCTGCCAGCGGTGGGCTTCCCAGCAGGCGGCCTTGGCTCTGCGTGTGACATGCTCAGCCTGCAGCACCGTGTGCCCTCCTGAGCAGCTCTGCTCTGGTGGATGCTCTCAGCAGAAAACACACAACTTCGTGGTCCCCTCTTCTGCCCCTGGGTGGGCCAGGGTGCGGGTGTGCATCCCATGCCCAGGACTGCCAGGCAGGCCGCATGGTCAGCCACCAGGGTCAGGTGTCAGGCGCTGCTCCAGACGCGTGCGTCTCTGATCTTGGGCATGGCTCAGCAGCCTCCGGCTTGGCCGTGGGTGGTTCCTGCTCACCTGTTTCTGAGTGACCAACCCTGAAACTTCTGGGCCTAACATGAGGCCTCATCACCTTTCCCGCATCTGTGGGCTGGTGGGTGGGGCTCTGGCCCCACAGGTTATTCCTGCACTGCCACCCGTGGTGGCTGGGCTGGCAGCCCTCAGGGGCCTTGCTGTCATGGGTGTCTGCTGGGGTGCCACAGTTTCCCCCACATGGATCTCTCCAGGCAGAGTTTTATATCCTCACCCTAGAGCAGAGTTTTTGGACTTCTTGCTCTCAGGACCCCTTAAAGTCCTTGTTGAGGCTGGGCATGGTGGCTTCTGCCTGTAATCCCAGCACTTTGGGAGGCCAAGGTGGGAGGATCACTTGAGACTGGGAGTTCAGGACCAGCCTGAGCAACATAGGGAAACCCCATCTGTACAAAAAAGTAAAAAGAATTAGCCAGATGTGATGGTGTATGCCTCTAGTTCCAGTTGTTTGGGAGGCTGAGGCGGGAGGATTGCTTGAACCCAAGAGGCTGAGGCTGCGGTGAGCTCTGCACCGCTGCACTCCAGTCTCAGTGATAGTGAGACCCTGCCTCTAAAATTAAAAAAAAAGTCCTTATTGAGTTTACATGATGGAGCTATGAATATTCATCTTTCAGAAATTAAAATTGAGAATGTAAAACAACTTTAATTCATTTAGAAATAATTAAAAACCCAGTATATCTTAACATAAGTAATATTTTTAAAATTAAAAAAAAAACCTATTATCTTCTAGAGTCAAATAAATAGAGTGGCTTTACTTTTTGCAAATCTCGAGAGCTGGATCTGTCAGGTTCTGTGTTTATCCTGCTGTAATTTTACAGGCCAGGTGGCTTCCACAAGGCTTTGGCACATGGCACCTTTGTGGTACTGTAAAGACAGTGCTAACCTCATGGTCCCAGACCACACTTTGGGCTCTAGGACTCCCCACGTGGCCTCTCTTTGCCTCTGCCGGGACGGCCTTCATCCCAGGAGAGCCATCATGAAAATGGCTGGAAGACAATACATCCTTTCAGCCACCTTCTGTTGGTCAGGGAGTCACGGAGCCACCTGGATCTGGGGGTGGGAGTGGTTAAGAGTGGACAGCCTGCCTCTGGATGGAGGAGGGCTCTAGGAGGCCCTGGTCCTCCTGCCTCCTTCAGGAGGCCCTGGCTGGTCACCTCAGAGACCAAGGCCTTTTCTCTCTCCCTCTAACTTCTGGGCAGGGCTCGGCCCTCCTCACGGGCTACCTTCCTCTTCCTGCCATTTAGTTTTCCTCCCAGGGCGTGCAGCCCGGCACTACTGTGGGCCATGGGGTTGTGCAGGTGGGGCAGGTGCTGTCTCCGGGTACCACCGAGGGCTGCCGAGGCAGAGCCAACACTGGACAGCCCGCGTTTCCATTGCTGAGCTTTCATGGTGCCCGCTCAGGTGAGCGTCGGCCTGTGCAGGCCATGGCCCAACGTGTTCTGTGGCTTCACCCAAGCTTTCAGCTTGATTCAGTCCAGTGTCACTGTGACAGGGCTTCAGTGTGGCCCGGGAGACGCCTCTAGGGAGAGGCTGCTCAGGCAGCCCCTCGTTTAGGAAGAGTTCCTGAGCCCTAGTCGCCGGTCTGAGGGGGTGTCGGTACTCAGTGCTGGCCTGGACTGTCTTGGGAGGTATGGGGAGCACACCCCGGAACCCACCGAGCCACACTGCCTGGGACTTACCAAGCAGCAAGCTGGCCCTAGCAAAAATGGCAGAAATCGTATAAAACAGGCTACGAGCAGATAAGCTGCTCCTGTGTGGCTGTGTCCGCGGTGTTTTCAGAAGCCGCTGTTTGTGGGCTTTTGTCCTTTCTCGTGTTTGGTCAGGCTTCTCTGTGGAGGCACTGCACGCCCCTTCACCAGACGTCTCTCTGCACTGGCAGTGGTCTTACCAGCCCTGGGTGGGTTCCTTGGCTACTCAGCAAGACAGACCCCACAGGGCTTCCCAAGTGCCATTCTCTGACTCAGCAAACGGGACCTCAGCATGGGCCCAGTGGTCTCCAACAGGGAAGGAAAGGTGCATGGGAGGTGAGGTTTACTGAGCCGGGTTTCTGGCCCCACAGGGTGGGTAGAGGGAACCGCGGGCAGGGACAGCGGGACCCTTCCCTGTCACCGCAGCTCCCTCTGGGTTGATGCTTTTGTAACAGTGGGTAGCGCTGGCTGGTGGAGTCCAGGAGTGGTGCTGAGGGTGGGGCTGACCCGCACCTGCCTCTGGCTCCGCAGGGCCTGGCCTCAGGTTGTTGTGCTCAGCAGCCATTCATCTTCCCAGCACCCATTGGACCCTGCTGGTGTCCTATGTGCCTTGTCCTGCGGGGGTGGGGGGACCTTAGGAGGAAGGACACATCCCTGCTCACCTGGGACTTGGTGTTACATGTCCATTGTAGAGACACAAAATACAGGAAAAAAAACCCAGAAAATCAAAAGCAAATCCTCCTACCACCCAGCGATAGTCTGTACTTAACATTAAAACCAGCCTCACTCTGTAGTGGGACTCTTGCTACCCAGGGGAGTTGTCCACTGCTCCCCTGCCGGTGGGAATGGGGACGTTCCCAGGTTGTGTGATGCTTCCCAAGTCCCTGGGAAGGGAGCGTGGTGCCAGTGCTGGTGTTTCCACAGGTCGGTGCCCGCCACTTGTGTTGGTCTTTTCTGAAGAAGATCTTTGCCACGTTGACAGGCAGAGAGCGGTGCCAAGGTTTAGTCCGTGTTTACTGCAGGAGGGCTGATATGGCCGATGCTTCTATGCACGGTGGGCCATGCCATTATCTGCTTGGTCTTTGCCTACTTTGTCTTGAACTGGTCCAGTTTTCTTATGACTGGCATGGGTTCTCTTTAAGGGTATTAATCTTGAGTGTTAAGATTTTAGAGCTTGTTCTTAAAGAGAAAAGTAAAAGCCCAGGCGGAAACGATGGGAAGTGCTGGAGCCCGAGGCAGTGTCTCCACGACTCCCCTGGCCTGCAGAGGGGCAGAGGACAGGTACACTGCGAGCCAGCCCAGAGGGCCAGGGAGAGCCGGGGGCCGGGGGAGCTGGGGGCCAGGGGGCAGCCTGGGAGGGCGAGTGCCAGGAAGCCTTGGGCACCTGCTGGCCCTGGGCCCGCTCCTGCCCTTGGCTGGCGCCTGAGGGATGCTCTTCTTTTCACCATCCCTTACTTTTTATTTTTTATTTTATTTTATTTTTTTTTTTGAGACGGAGTCTCACTCTGTTGCCCAGGCTGGAGTGCAGTGGTGCGATCTCAGCTCACTGCAACCTCTGCCTCCTGGCTCCTGCCTCAGCCTCCCCAGTAGCTGGGATTACAGGCGCCCGCCACCACAACTGGCTTTTTTTTTTTTTTTCTTTTTGTATTTTTAGTAGAGACGGGATTTCACCAGGTTGGTCAGGCTGGTCTTGAACTCCTGACCTCGTGATCCACCCGCCTCGGCCTCCCAAAGTGCTGGGATTATAGGCGTGAGCCACCATGCCAGGCCTGTCCCTTACTTTCTTTTACAGCCTCCCACCTGCCTCCTTTCTGAGTGGCTGGAGCTGTGCGCTGGTTAGTTCCTCTGTCAGGAAGAAATCCAGGCCACGCTGGCACCTGACACCACTGACCTGTTCAGGACTTTGGTATGGCCTGGTACAGGTTGGGACCACGTTTAGTCACTGAGGCTCCTCAGAGCATGGAGACGGCAGTGGGCACGGGGCCACGCAGAGGGCTTAGGGCCATGTTTCTCACCGTCTCTCAAGAAACACTAGTCCTCCCAGACAACCAGGTGAATTCAGGAAGCCCCAGGTAAAGTCTGAGGCCCTCTTGGAAGCTCAGTGGATGGCAGTAGTTACAGGCTCTGAGCAAGGGAACCGTGGTTGACTGTGTGACCTGTAGTTGCCACTGCCCGGCCGCTGCCACCCGCTGTTCCCACCCAATTCCTACTCCCGTTGCCCGCCCTCAGCCTGTTCTTAGCTGTCAGAGGGGATGGTGGAACGGGAGCAGCCAAGAGAATTTAAAGCCGCCGATGGTCCACAGGCACCACCCCCAGTGCCGACGGGGGTGCAGGCCTGGTGTCTGCCCGGCTGTGCTCCAGAGGTGATTTTACTCCCCACCGGGGAGTCGGGTATTATGCCCTCAGAGATCCTCTTTTCATGCCACGGGGCCTCTGGGATGTGTGGCCTGAGACTGCCTGGGGCTGGTGGGTAGCTGTGTGGCGGGTGTGCAGTTGAGGCTTGCTGCTTCCTTGAGGGCAGAGTGGGCACCTTCATTTCCCAAAGCTGGCTATCTCTCCCTTCGTGACAGCAGCGTTTTCTGCTGAACAGTTTCCTGTGTCCTCCTTGCCTTCATAAATGTGTAACAAATACTGCTTCAGGGCAGGCTTCATCTTCTCCACAGACCCACACGTACCCCTGCTGTACCTGGCGTGCCCAGGGCAGGGAGCAGGCGCTGGATGGGTCTGACCACCCAGGGTATGCCTCTGCCTGGCCAGCTGGCTGCCTCCTGGACACCTGGACGCAGAGCTTTCTGAGATGAGCTCTGCGTTGGGATGCACAGAAGGGATTTGCTTCCTCTCGTGCTTGGGGTCTTGGGAATGCTTTTTTTTTTTTCCCCTGAGACAGGGTCTTGCTCTGTCATCCAGGCTGGAGTGCAGTGGCATAATCATGGCTCACTGTAACCTCCGCCTGCCTCCCAGGTTCAAACGATTCCCATGCCTCAGCCTGCTGAGTAGCTGGGATTATAGGCACATGCCACCAGGCCAGTGTAATTTTTTTTTTTTTTGGATGGAGTTTTGCTCTTGTTGCCCAGGCTGGAGTGCTGTGTCGCGATCTCGGCTCACTGCAGTCTCCGCCTCCCGAATTCAAGCGATTCTCCTGTCTCAGCCTCCCTAGTAGCTGGGATTACAGGCGTACTCCACACCTAGCTAATTTTTGTATTTTTAGTGGAGACAGGATTTCGCCATGTTGGCCAGGCTGGTCTCGAACTCCTGACCTCAGGTGATCCGCCCGCCTTGGCCTCCCAAAGTGCTGGGATTACAGGTGTGAGACACCCGCGCCTGGCCAAATTTTTCTATTTTTAGTAGAGATGGGTTTTCACTGTGTTGGCCAGGCTGGTCTTGAACTCCTGGCCTCAAGCAGTCTGCCCACCTTGGCCTCCCACAGTGCTGGGATCACAGGCGTGAGCCACTGTGCCCTGCCTTGGGAGTGCTTTTTGACATTCACTCCTGCACTGTGAGTGTGGAGACCCAGGGGCTTTTCTGGAGGTGGCCACTGTCAGGAGGTTTAGAAACCCTTTTTCATTAAAACCTTTATCTTCAAGTACATTCTGTTATTCCTGCTGGGAAGGCCTCCTACCTTTTTGGCTGAAGAAGTGCTGGGCCAAGCTGAATTGTGTGAGGGTTCCTGGGTATTTATAATTCATGTGAAAATAAAAGTGTTGTTTTCTGTGACCCCGTGCCTCTCCGAGGCCCTTACTCCAAGGCAGACCGAAGGCAGCTCTGTGCTGACGACGCAGGATCCTGGCCCACAGTTGTCCTCAGAGACTTCTTGGTAGGAGTGGTGGTGTCTCGGGTGCTCTCCTGCCCAGCAGTCTTCCCTCCTTTGCTGTCTTCTCCTTGTTGGACACACAGGTTCTAAGTAGCAGCATTTGTGGTTTGTCGGCTCCCGAGCTCTTCAGTGTCCCCCGGAGTGCAGCAGGTCCCAGGGTTCACTAGCTAAGTGTCCTGGCTCCTGAGCTGCCCTGGTGGTGGAACAGGGACTTGGGGCCTGGGTGCCCCCCGAAACGTTTGTGGAGCTCATATCCCACTCCCACGAGGGTCTGGACAGGCCTGGGTCCAGGGACTTGCTATGCCATGCAGTGGCTGTCCACGAGGCACCTCTGTGAGGGCGGGGCGGGAGGCCTGTTCTGTCTGGGCCCACGGTGCAGTGTGGACTTCAAGGGCGTCAGTCTGTACTATGCTGGGGCCTGTGGCCACCTTCCTTCCCCTTCCCCAGCAGGCTGGGGATCAGCTCAGGTGATCCGCCCGCCTCAGCCTCCCAGAGTGCTGGGATTATAGGCGTGAGCCACCGCGCCTGGGCAGGTCATTTCATTTCTAATCAAAATAATGAAATGGGACCCGGTGGCTCACACCTGTAATCCCTGCAATTTCGGAGGCCGAGATGGGTGGATCCACCTGAGGTCAGGGGTTTGAGACCATCCTGGCCAACATGATGAAACCCCGTCTCTACTGAAATTACAAAAAATTAGCCAGGCGTGGTGGCATGCGCCTGTAATCCCAGCTACTCGGGAGGCTGAGGAAAGAGAATTGCTTGAACCGAGGAGGCAGAAGTTGGAGTGAGCCAAGATGTGCCACTGCACTCCAGCCCGGGCGACAAGAGCAAGACTCCATCTCAAAAAAATAAAAAATAAAATAAATAAAATGTCCCCCAAAATGACGTGTGGAGGGCTCTAGGGTGAGGATGGAGCCCTTTCAGATAAGGACCTTTTGCGTGGGTAGGTCCCTGTTACAGAGCCTGAAGTTGTGGTGGTGGCCTGTGTGTCCCGTGCCTCGAGCCTGCTGCTCAGGAAGGCCACGTCCTGCCTCCCCTCACGCCTCGCCATCCATGCCATGGGGCTCCATCCAGAAGGCTGTGAGGGTTTTGCTGGATTCCCTAAGCAAGCCCGCAGTTCCCTGGGCTGAGGCCTAGGCTCTTATAGCCATAGGCACCTGGCGGTGGCGGGGATGTATGTCCTTATCTTTGACTCATGCTCCACACAGCCACCTGAGAGGATCCACATGTCATCCTCCTATATACAAGGCACTTTGGTGGACCCCCATTGCCTGTGGGGTGAAGTCCCCTGTCTCTCTCCAGCCCCACCCTGTGTGGCCCATGTGCACTTCAGCCTGGCTGGCCCTCCAGTGTCTGCAGTTCTGCCGAGACACCTGGCCTGTGTGCACACATGTCCTTGCTGTGGCTGTTGTCAGGTCTCTGAGCTTCTTTCCTGCCACCTGTTGTGGGCACAGGGCTGTGACCTGCTGACTCCCGTCTGTCTTTCTGACCCCGTGCAAGCTTCTCTGGCTGTGGGCTCTCAGGCACTTGAACTCCAGCCTCCCTTGTGTCCTGAGCTTCAGGACTGAGACATAGGTGGGGGCAGGTGGAGCTTTCTAGTCACCGTCTGGAAGATGCTTGTCCTTCCTCTTCTTCCTGCCTTCCTGCGGCTCCTCGACAGCCCTTGGTGAGAACAGGGCTGCCCCATGGCTGGGGCCCCAGGAAGGTGTTGGAGGGTGAAGTTTGACCCCTGCCCTGGGCTAACACCAGGGAAGGACTTGGGGCCTGGGATGGTGGGCCTTTGTCCCAGCAGCTCAGCTGTACTCACAAGTCAGCATGAAGATTTCAAAGCCAGATTCACACATTTCACCTGACAGGAAGAATAGGGAACCCACCCCTGACAGGCTGTGTGCCCCCTTTACACGCTGATGGAACGTTGACCAAAACCTCCGCTTATCTCGGTGAATTGAATTCCTCTGGAGTGTGCTCTTGACCCAAGTGGAGTTAAACTAGAAATCAGCAAAGTGATACTCCTAGTATTTAGAAATTAGGAAGCACACTTCCAAGTAACCAGTGGGACAAAGAAGAATTTGTAATGGAAATTACAACATACTTTTTAGCTGAAAGATAACAAAAATATGCCATGCTGAGACTTGCAGGGTGCACACCGGCCAGGAGCGGTTCACAGCCCTCAGGTACTCGTCACTCTCGGAGCAGTAGCTGGGCTCAGAGACGGTGGATGGAGGGAAATGAGGCTGGAGCAGAAGTTAACAAAGCAGAAAGTCAGTCTCCCACAGATATAGTCATCGAGGCCAGAGTTGGATTCTTTGAAAACAGGAATATAGTGGAAAATCTGGCAAGAGTGATCAAGACAGGGAAAAAGAGATGGCACAGATAGCCAGTCTTTTTCATAAGTCATGCTGGCCAACCAGATAGCCATATTTAAAAAAACCTTGGCCTGTACCTCACACCCTACAAAGAATAATTGAGCCCAGTAGAATGTAGGTCTAAGTGTAGAAGGTTCTGGAACTGCTGTCCAGCACGGCCTCCAGCCATGTAGCTTGGCAGCGCTAGAGATGTGCTGAGTGTAAAATACGCTAGACTGAAAAAAATACAGTGGCACCTTGTATTTTCTGTATTGATTGTAAGTCGAAAATATTTTACATCTGTTGGGTTAAATAAAATTAATCTTGGCTGTTTCTTTTACTTTTCAATGGGGCCATTAGAACATTTAAAATTATATCCATGGCTCAGATTATGGCTTGTGTTATATTTCTCTTGAACAGCACTGTTATAGAAGATGCTATTCTTGACCCATGGGTTAAGAAAAGTTTTTTTAAACAGGACTAAAAAGTACTCATCATAAAGGAAAAGATAGATAATTTGGTTTACATTAAAATTAAGCAGCTCTGTTTATCAAAGATATTCCTCAAAAACTGAAAAGGCTGGCCGGGGACCGTGGCTCACACCTATAATCCCTGCACTTTGAGGGGCCGAGGCTGGAGGACTGCTTGAGCCCAGGAGTTCAGGACCAGGCTGGGCAACATAGTGAGACCTCATAAATAAATAAATAAATAAAAATAAATTAACTGGACGTGGTGGCATCCGCTACTCAGGGGGACTGAGGTGGGAGGATCCCTTGAGCCCAGGAGGTCGGGGCTGCGGTGAGCCATGATCTCACCACTGTACTCCAGCCTGGGCCACAGAGCAGGACTCTGTTTCAAAAAAAAAAGAAAGCAACTTTTGCAGGGGGAATTTACCATACCTAGAACTTACCGGAGCTCAGATCCAGACTTCCCCACGGGCTCCAACAAAGAACAAGAAACAGCTCGTCCCGTAGAAGATGGGCAGAGGCTTGAACAGATGCCTCATGAAGAAGGACGTGCAAACGGCCCCGAGCCCTGGGAAAGAGCCCTTGACCACGTCTCCCCTGGGGTGAGCCCGGGAAAACCCCAAGCCTTAGACGCACTGCACGTGACAGCGGGTGTCTAGTGAGCACCGCGCCACTAGAGCGGGTGTCAGGGCGCCTTGCTAACCCTTTCCACCTGGTGTGCTCGCTGCTGTGTGGAACTCCCATCTTGTGCTTTTCATCTTCCCATGCTTTGTTTGAATTTCTTCTTTTTATTTTTTAATTATCCTTCTTTCAAATTGCCTTGGAAGTTAGGTACTTTATTTTATTTGATTTTTTGTAGAAGCAGGGTCTCACTGTGTTGTCCAGGATGGTCTCAGACTCCTGGCCTCAAGCCATCCACCCACCTTCACCTTCCAAAGTGCTGGGATTACACTGTGAGCCACCGTGCACACCCTCCTTTAGTGGTTTTCTTACAGCACACGCTAAACCTCCAGGGTCTGATGTTGATTAACAGCTTTATCCGCCTCCCCGAAGTACCCAAGATACTAGACCGCTTCTGGGTACTTCCCCTCTTGAGTTGTGAGCACTTGCTGTGTTTTAAATTCTGTACACTTCGGACCCCCACATGCTACTGCTGTGTTTTAAATTCTGTACACTTCGGACCCCCACATGCTACTTGTACGCTGGTATTTATTTAGGTTGGCTGGTTTTGTGCTCCATCTCTTTGGCTGTACCCTCTCCTTCCTCCTTTGTCCTTCTGGGTTTGTCCTTTTGCGTCTGTGACCAGTTTTCCTCTGCTTGTGCTGCAGCCTTGAGCTTTCTTGGATTTTCTTTCAGGTGACTCTGCTGGGGGCGCCCTCTCAGTCTCTGTCTGAAAATGCCTTCAGTTGTCCTTCATTCTTGGCAGAGCTTTTCGCTGTGTGTCGTGTTCTTGGTTGGCTTGCTTTCAGCCCTCTTTCGACGTGAGGCCGCCGACCTCCGGCTTCCGGCGTTGCTGTGGAGAAGCGGCTGTCAGATGCACTGCTGCTCCCTCGAGGGTATCTGCCACCTCCTGGCCCCAGCTGCTTCTGACGTTTATATTTTTAAATTTTTACATAATTTCAAAGTTAGAAGTTGCCAAAGTAGTGTGAATAATTCCTGCATACCTTCTCCCAGATTGGCCAGTGTCAGCGTTTCTGCCACATCTGCCTTGCCGTTTTCTCTCTCTCAGTACCTGCACGTGGGTCTTTTCTCAGCAGTTTGAGAGTGACTTGCATCTTTACCCCAGCATAGGATAGAATGCACTTCTGCAGGGAGACACCTCGGTGCACCCACACAGAAAGAGATGGTGAAGGGGCCAGACTGCCCGCCCTGTTCAGGATAAACTTTGAAACAGGCTCAGAAGTTACTTCATGTGAGATGTGGGGGAGACACGGAGGCATGGTGTGAGCGAGTGATAGCAGATCAGGCTTGCTGCATACTGGGAGGGGGACTTCAGTGGAAACTGCCAGCACAGAGCAGGACCGTGAGGATGGAGGGAGCCCGGGGGTGGCCAGCCCGATGGCCAGCGTCTCAGTGGCATCTCCCTGGGCTGCAGCCTGAGAGGGGCAGGGCAGCAAGCACGGCTGCTCTCTGGAAGCCCCACTCTCAGTATTGACGTGCAAGTTCACAGTCTAGTTCCTGACGCCGTGGAGACCAAGCCCTTCCCTGGGGACTGGAGGAGAGATGAGCAAAGGGAACAGAACACGACCCTGAGAAACTGGGGATCTGACCCCGGGCCCGCAGAGTGAGCTGCAGAAACAGTGGGCAGTCCCCACATGGCCTTGTTACAGCCTAGATTTCTTACCGAAATAGTTTTTTTGTTTTGGTTTTTATTTTTTGTTTAGAGACCAGGCTGGAGTGCGGTGGTGCAATCACAGCTCACTGCTGCCTTGACCTCCTGGGTTTAACAGATCCTCCTGCCTCAGCCTCCTGAGTAGCTGGGACCACAGGTGCGCACCACCGTGCCCCACGAATTTTGAAAAAAATTTTTTTATAGAGGCAGAGTCTTGCCGTCTTGCCTAGGCTGGTCATAAACTGAAAGACTTAAAGCAGTCTCCATTAATGAAAATTAGCAAGACTCTGTTTTTCATTTCTCCACTGATTCAATAGTATTTAGTTTTACGTTGTTTAAAAGGAACATTCAATCTCCTTTGCAGTCATAGTTCTTGATTTCATATTACTGAATGGTTGCATTAAAATCCCTTTTGACTAATTATGAGGTTGGGAATTCTAAAGTCTGTTGAGCAGACAGCTTGTGTCAAGTGAGGCAGCTGGTGATTTCTGGACACTCTTGATTCCATCTGAGCTTCCTTTTCCAGCACAGCCTTATCCTGAACACCTGATTTTGGGGTAACTTCTTATAAAGCCCACTGTGTGTTATTGTGGACACGGTCTCCTGGTGTCCCCCCTTGTGATGACAACTAGAATGCCTCCGGGTTTCCAGCACTCGCCGTCCTCACTGGTGTAAAGCTTACCGCTCTGTTCCGTGTCCTGCATCTCTGGTCAGCACCGCAGTCTGTTTCCTGTGCTTCTGCCTGGGTGGCCAGGGGCTGCCCAGAAATGACCCAGATTCACACCCCAGCCTCCTGCTCCCCTGTAGCATGCTGGGTTTCTGTCCATGGTAGCATTTGCTGGAAACATCTGTTGTTCCTTTCCATCCTGGCCTTCGTTCCTTCACTTGCTGGCCTTCCCTGGGAGGCAGGGGCAGTGAGTTCTTGGGTTCGGAGTCCCAGGGCAGTCCTGGGGCAGGTGTCCAGTGGATGGATGTGTGCTGGGGGTGTGTGGAGGACCCTGCAGAGCATGCATCGAAGTCCCTCTGCTACACTCACTCACCCTCAAGGGGAGTCTGCTGCGTGCCGGCACCGTGCCGCTGAGAACTGGGTGCACACGGCCCCACTTGGTCCCCATTGCATCTCTGCCCCAGAATGGAGGTGCAGAGAGGCCAGGTGTGTGCCTGGCGCTGTAGGGCAATGGTTCCCCAGGTGGGGTGTGGGCACCAGCAAGGGCAGTGATAAAAGAAAAACTTAATGTAAAGGTCTTTAATTGAACAACAAACGATTCTTGGATTGACAGCCTCTTGAGCCAGAGTAGGCTCATAGACTCCAGAGCAGCCCTGTGGGGGAAGATTTATGGAAAGGGAAAGTGACCTACGGAAAACGGAAGTAAGGCATAGAAACAGCCGATTGGTTACGCTCGGCATTTGCCTTATTTGAACACAGCTCGAACAGTTACCTACATATGATTGGCCAAAACTTGGTGATTGGCACAAGTATAGGCTATGATCTGTTTACACCTGTACTTGTCATAGTTCACGATGTACAAAGAAACCTTTAGGTGGAACTTAAAATATGTAAGGAGGCAGCTGTAGGTGAAACTTAACAGTGGGTTGCTTGGGACCTTGTTAGAAATGCACGTTCTTGGGTTCTACCCGGAACCATTGCTGCAGAGACAAAGGGTGGCCCGGCTGGCTGTGCAGACGAGCCCTAGGCAGGCGGCTCCAGGGACCACGGGGGCCCAGCTCCCCGCAGGCTTGTCTGGCCCGGAGGTCCTGCTCCCCTGCTGTCACACGCGTGAAGCCGTCCCTGTGCGCAGGCCAGTCTCGCGGGGGTCACCACGGAGCGTGTGCACCACACTTTCCCCATCCCTTGATCCATCATTGGGCGTTGAGGTTTTCCCATGTCTTGACTGTTGTACCTGGCGGCTCTGCGGAGTAACCGCTGCGGACACACAGTAGGACGGGAGGGAGAAGCCATTGCGTTTCACCCTTTCATGGCCCTTCCTTTCCCCTTCCAAGTGAGCTCTTTGAGGTGAGTCATGGAGGGCAGTGTCCCTCTGCATCCTGTCTGGGGTTGTCAAATATGGCCAAGTGGGCTCCATCGGGGCAGCGGGTGGGGTGGGGGGTGTCTGTCAGAGCAGGCAGCATCTTCCTACTGTCCCCAGACCCTTGTTTCTCAGCCACCTCCTTTCTCTGTGGTTATGTGGCTAGTTAGGCCTATAGCTGTGACATCAGGCAGAGTCACAGTGGGCACAGTGCTGGCACAGGTGCTGCCGTGACCAGCCCTGGAGTTCCGACTGTCCCCCTGCTCACCGCCACACCCTGCAGGGCGCTTACCGTGACCCTGTTATGTAGGTGGCAAAATGGAGGGACAAAGTGATAGGAGCCTGCCTGAAGAACTGAGAGGTGGGAGTTGCGTCTGGCCCAGCTGTGCTCGACCCCCTTCCAGGGTGCTCTGGCCGATAACGGAGGGAATTGACAAGCCTCACTCTGGGGAGGGAGGTGGTGGAGATGGCGGCCGGGAGTCCCTGAGCAGTTGTGGTGGGGCATCGTCTGTGGAGAGATGGCAGGCGTTGGGGGCGCCTCTCAGAGGCAGACACGGTACCTGTGTCAGACATCTCTGGACACAGTGAACTGGAGGTGAGCTGTCTGGTATACCCTGAGCGTGCTGCCTGGGGGAGCCAGAGGTGGGGGTAGCGGTGACAACAGGAAGAGCTGGTGCGAGAGAGAAGGAGCTGGAAGGAGCTGTGACGGGTGGCTGCAGGGGAGGCCATGATCAGCCTCCACAGGTGCCTGCCCTGTGTTACAGGGATGGGAATTGAGGACACGGCCAGCTGAGGGTGGCCTCAGCCAGAGCTGTTTGTGGCATGGCGGAGGGTGGTGGAGAAGGAGAGGCAGGGGGTTGAACCCCCAGAAGGTGAGGGGGTGGAGCCGGCACATGAGGGTAGCGTGTACCCATTGTGGCTCTGGAGGGCCGGAGAGTGCTGCTGGCCGGGGAGGTGGGGCCGGGCAGCCTGGCCCCTGGGCACTCTCTGCCCTTTGCATCCTCTCCAGTGAGCCTGGGGTCGTCCTGGAACGGGGGCCACAGAGGCTGGGCACTGGCCCAACTGTCCTGGGGGGGCTTGTTGTGGCTCTGTGTTTTATTTTTTGGTTTATGTAATGTTTTTCTTCATCGTTGGAAGAGAGACTATAAAAGTAAAGTCACATGCTTCACCTTACAGTGGTGAAAAGTAGCACTGAAGCCTCCATCCCTCCCCACAGGGGCCTGTGTGCTAGACCGGGACATGCCTGTCTTCCTTTCTTTGTCTGAAACAAAAATGGGTTCCTCCTCTGTTCTGGATCCTGCCTAACGGCATCCCCTGCAGGCTCTGCATTTGAACGCAGCCCTGCTGCAAACAGGACTGGACTCCGATTTCTCTCTCCTTTCTGCCTGTTTGTGGCGGTCCACTCCACCCCACCGTGCAGTGCTCAAGCAGCAGGGCCCGCACTGGCTCGTCTCTCCCTTGCTTGTGTCTAAGAACGGGCACCCGTTCCCCCTCTGGCCTGATAGGTTTCACCACTGTCTAAGTGTCCCCTTCCCCTACAGGGCAGGTGCCACTCTTTCCCTGCCCCCCGCTCCATCAGTGGCATGTGGAGGTTTCACCACTGTCTAACTGTCCCCTTCCCCTACAGGGCGGGTGCCAGTCTTTCCCTGCCCCCCACTCCATCAGCGGCATGTGGTTTCACATGCATCAGGCTGCTCTGTTTATTGGTGAGGCCGAGCATATTTCGTGTCCTCATTACCAGCCGTCTCCTGTGATTTGCTTACCATGGCCTCAGGATGCCGTGCTTCTGATTCATGTGGCCACCGCTGAGCAGTGGGTGTTTTGGGTACTGCCCTGGGGCTGATAGGAGGGGGATGACAGTCAGACCTAGAGAGACCTAGAAAGCAGCCAGTACTTGGCACCTTCTGTTTGCACAGCTAGAAGATTCAGCTTCTTCATGGCCACTCGGAGCAGAGCTTGCCATAGAAGTGCCTTTTTTCTCGTCACCTTGGTTCTGTTAATTTTGAAGATGATTGCCCAAATGGTGTGTTCAGAAGCACTCGGGTCACTGCTGCCCCTGTTGGTGTGGACACTCCTTTTGGGCAGCTGGGAGGTGACTTTGCTGGTCTTGCCATGCCCAGGAGCATCCAGGGGTGTCCAGGGGCTGGTGTTGGATTCCCCGGGGAGGGCCACAATCTTCTACCTGCTCAGGACATGCTGGAGGTCAGCATTCCCATTTTATAGGTGGGAAAATGCAGAGAGGTGATGTCACTGGCCAGGGCCCTGCAGCTGGGAATTGAGCCCAGGCCGTCTGGCTGATAAGTGGCAGCCTCCTCTGCTCCAAAGCCCCTCGTGCCTCTGTGAAGGCTGTGCCTCTGAGGAAGGTCCAGGCAGATCCCCTTCTCTGCTTCCAGGAGCGCCCCTGAGGCCGGTAATTCCTGGAGGGCCAAGGAGTGCAGGTGTGGAGAATGGGCGCCAAGGACCCTGCCAGGGCTGAGGGAGAGAGAGGGGCCTCCTCTAGGACTTGGGGACTAGATGGACCACTGCCGTGGGAATGCAGTGCCGCGGAGGCCGAGCCAGTCTCCACCAGAGGGCGCTGCTGGCCACTCGGAGGGAGCCGGGCGCTGGGCAGGGACTGCCGTTGGCCCAGCCTGCTCGGTCCTGGCTGTGAGCATAGTGGTTGGGGTTTCGCTCTGGAGCCCCGACCACGTTAGTGTGACTCCCTCTGTGAGGTCTCTCGTGTTGCTGGGGGGTCGAGCCGGTGAGCACCGGGGAATGCACCAGCTACCTGGGGCAGAACAGGAATGGGGTGCCAGTGCTACGCAGCACACATGTGTGCACACGTGCCTGAGGAACTAGACATCCAGGGCTGTCCCTTTATCAGGCATGTGGTGCAGCCGCGGCGGGAGAGCTTGTGTGCTCACCTGAGTCGGCGCCGGCTGGCATCAGTGCCTTCGCCTCTGACCGTGAGCAAAGGTATTGTCTTAGTTGAACCCCTCTGTCCTGTTTACTTTAACCTCCCCACCCTAGTGCTGGAGTCTTGTGTGAGGGCCTTCTGGCACCTCCCAGGTCGAGGGCCCGGGATTGGTTCCCCTCCCGAGCTCCAAGCCCTGGAGGCAGGTAGTACCCATGCCTGGTTCCGTGCCCAGCTCATGATGGGAGCCAGTGTTTGAGTACCTTTTCTGAAGGGGGCACTGGGAGGAGGTCTGCGTTTCCCCCAGGGTCGACCTTGGTTTAAGTGTTCACTTGTCGAGGTCTCTCTGAAGGTTGTGCCCTGCTCAAGGGCTGCTGTCCACCGCTGTCCCCACTCTCACGGTACGTGGGGACCTGGAGCCGGTCACTGCCGAGATTGGGGCTCCCTGTGGCTCTCCCCGTCGGGGTGGGACTCTCCGAACCTCACGAGCTCATTCCACGGTTATTGCCATTAGACGCATGGCTGAGCTTGCATGCAGGCGTGGACTTGGGCCAGCACACTCTGTGCTGTGGCTCAGAGCTCCTGCTTGGCGGGACTCCTCATCAGTCCGCTGTGTGAAGAGAGAAGCGGTGTGGGTGTCGCTCAGCAGCTGTGGTTGGGGGCCTCTGGGAAGGACAAGCGCCGTGGCCTGCGGTGATGAAGGGCTCCGCGTCATGGTGCACTTGTGTTCCCTGGGTGCTCCCGTCCCACTAGGATGCTGAAGAGCAGAGAGACAGGGCTCTGGCTGATGAGCACCAGTGAGCCTCTGTGCTGGCCCTGCTTCTCGACCCCACTTGGATAAGCGCCCAGGGAGTTTCGGAGAGGCAGAAATCTGCAGGAGCAGAGAGTGCAGAGGAGACGAGAGCAGACACATTTTGGAAGTTGGAAAGCTGAGGGTCGGGTGGAATGAACGCAAACTCAGGAAAGCTGAAATCTGACCAGCAGGGGAAGTGTTTTCACTGAGAAACTGTGGATGGCTCCCATGGAGTCTGGGAGCCCCTTGGATGGTGGAGCTGAAGACAGCAGAGCTGGTCTGGAGGCTGGAGGTGTGTTTAGAAGCAGCTGGACACCCCATTCATGTCTGATCTGTGTCTGGAGGATTAGTCCGAGCACGTGGGATCATAGCACTGTCCGCTGAGACCCAGGCGTAGTGGAGGGCATCATCCTGCACATGAAGCCTTGACAGCTTTCCACATCCACCAGGGAGGTCCCCTTCTGCCCCTCCCACACCGGGTCCTCAGGACCCCAGCAGCTGAGGTCCACCCTCCAGCAGAGAATGGGAGTCTCCTCAGCCAAGAGAAAAAACCCTTGGGCACTGGGAGTGGGGAGGAGGGGCCACCCATGTCCCTTAGTGTTCTGAAATGTCAGTGTGTTCCCTGATGTGGCCTCTGCATTCAATGACGTGGATGCTGGGTGAGTCCCTTCAATCTGGTAAGTCGTTTCCTGTGATGCTGGAAAGGTGTTGAATACAGCCAGACTCCCCCAGCGAAGCCCCCTCCGTGCACCTAGAGCCATCAGTGAGCTTTGCAGTGCCTCCTGCCACATGTGATGTGAGGGGGCAGGGGTCACCAGATAGACCAAAGCAGATGAAAAAGCAGGAAGCCAGCCCAAACCAAAGAGTAAAGCATAGCGTTCGTGGGTCTCCTCAGAGTTGTAAAGACCACGTAGCAAGAGCAGACTTGTACAGAAAGGAGCGTCCGGTGCACAGCAAAGAGTGCCTGAGAGAGGAGGATCGGACAGCCAGTGAGGTGTGGGAGATGGTGCTGCGCGCCCTTCCCAGCAGGCCGACTGCGCAGGGCGGGTATCAGGCATGGACACCAGGAGCACAAAGGTACGGAAACCGAGCATCAGGCAGGGGTCACTGTAGCTTGGTAGGAGTTCCAGGAAGAGCAGGAAACAGAAGGGAGGAAATCACCAAAGGAACGCCACAGTTGTCCAGAAATGAATTCACAGATGAAATGGGCTCACACAGTGTCCAATGCAGTGAATGAAAAGGCGACACCAGAAGACACCAGGGATAAAGAGCATATTTTTACAACTTCCAGAGAGAAGAACAAAGCAAAACAAAACCCCTTCGTCTGTTTGTGCCGCTGAAACAATACCTGAGACTGAGTGGTTTACAGAGAACAGAGGTTTATTTCTTACAGTTTGGAGGTTTGGAATTCCAAGATGGAGGGTCCCATGTCTGGCAAGAGCCTTTGTGCAGTGTCACCTCGTGGGGAGAGGTGGAAGGGCAAGAGGTGGAACTCACAGCCCCAAGCCCTTTCAGAATCACATTAATCCATTCCTAGGGCAGAGCATCCCGCATCCCTAATCACCCCCCACCAGGCCCCACCTCCCAGCCCCACCCCTAATCACCGCCCACCAGGCCCCACCTCCCAGCCCCACCCCTAATCACCGCCCACCAGGCCCCACCTCCCAGCCCCACCCCTAATCACCCCCCACCAGGCCCCACCTCCCAGCCCCACCCCTAATCACCGCCCACCAGGCCCCACCTCCCAGCCCCACCCCTAATCACCTCCCACCAGGCCCCACCTCCCAGCCCCACCCCTAATCACCCCCCACCAGGCCCCACCTCCTAGCGCTGCAGCACTGGGTGTTCAGTTTCCAGCACATGCCTTTGGGGGACACATTCAGAGCGTAGCACCAGGTTATCTACAGTGTACTGAGAACCAGAATATGAATTCCAACCTGGAAAGTAGAAGATGGTCTTCAAAATGCAGTCAGAAAAGGATTTCCAGAGTAGACTTCAGCATCAGTTAACCTGTCAATGATGTAAGAGTAGAATGAAAATATTTTCTGATGTGTGAGTTCTGAAAGAGTTACTTCCCAAGCACCCACTTCAGGAAGTTCTGAGGAGGTCGAATGTGAGGAGAGAGGAAGGGTCTAAGGATGCGGAGAGAGTGGGCAGTGGGCAGCAGGACCACCGTGTGTGGCTGTGCCAGCAGTGGGGAGTCAGAGATGAGACTTTGCCCCTGGTCGTCAGGAACCACTTGGAGTCTGCCGGGGAGGCCCAGGGCTCTTCCCCAGCTGTGTTTCGCTGGGGGGCCACCTCTGCCACCTGTCTTGCCTCAAGCCCATCTTGGGTCTTCCACATTCTGAACAGGCTGCACCTGGCTTCAGTGTAAGCAACTAGAGTGACGGCGCCTTACCTGAGACTGGCGGAGGGGTGCCTGTTGCCTGCAGTCCTGACACACACATGTGTTCATGGTACCCGCCCATGCTTTTCATTCTTCCTTGTTCTACGTGCAGTGTCTACTTGTTAAAGACAGTTTGAGGGGAAACCATTTCCCTTTGAGGGAAAACTAGTTTACTTCTTAAAACGGAGGAAAATTCAACCCTAGCCCTGTGTTCCATCCTGAAGAAAGTTCTAATGATGGAGTGAGTTGTCCCGGCCGTGGTACCAACCACCTAGGAGCCCACCTGATGGGGGTGGCCGCCCAGCCCCCCAGCCCATCTCCACAGCCATCACCTTGTTTGTGCTTCAGCAGCTTCTGCTTGAATTGGAGAAGTGTGCGTGTGAGCAGCTGGTTTTTTTTATGATACAGGATTTTGCACACCCACGGGGGGGCCACATCCAGAAGCCCAGCAGCTTCAGACAGCCCCAGGAGGCAAGGCCGGTGACACACCAGGCTCATCCCCTGCAGTGTGAAAAGTCACGATTCCCAGTGATAGAAACATCCCAGGAGCCTCAGCCTCCTGAGTAGCTGGGACCACAGGTGCACGCCACCATGCCTGGCTAATTTTTATTTTTTTTGTGGAGATGGGGTCTCACTGTGTTGCCTTGGCTGGTCTTGACCTAGGCTCAAGAGATCCTCCTGCCTCAGCCTCCTAAAGTGCTGGGATTTCAGACGTGAGCTACCACACCTGGAAGCAGCTGTGTTGAAGGTGTTGTTTACATACGGCAGAATTCTGTGATTTCAGGCATGCAATTCAGCAAGTTTTGGTGAACCTACAGGTCTGTGTGGGCAGTGCCTGCAGCCTGTGCCATCCTCAGGAAAGCTCCTCGTCCTGCTGGAGGTTTTGCCTGTTCTAGAATGTGGGGCGGATGCTCCCCATGGCCCCGCTGTCTTCTGTGTGGCTCTCTCCATTCTAGAATGTGGGGTGGATGCTCCCTGTGGCCCCGCTATCTTCTGCGTGGTTTTCCCACTCTGGTGAGTCAGCACACTGCGTGTGGCAGTTGGTCCTCTTGGAGCTTAGTGCAGATTCGGTGACTGATGTCCCTGTTCCCCAGCAGTGAGCATCTGGGACCCAGTTTTCAGCCATCACTACCAGATTCCTTTGATTCCTCGCAGACAAGCCTCCAGGCGCGTAGTGAGGCAGGCATCATCGAGTGTGTGTTTAAGTTTTTAGGAAACTGTGAAATGTTTTCCTGTATGTACTTCTCAAAAATCTGTTAGAATGTAGATAGTGCACTTTTTTTTTTCAATTATAAAAGGAAGATTAGTGAAAATTTGGAAACTAGAATAAAATGCCTCCTCTGGGCATTTTCTTTGGAGGTCTTTTCACTTTTCCCAAAATTAAATTTTTTTTTTCTTCTGATTGTGGTGATGATGTATTTTAACATGGAAAATTCCAACAATTCGGAGAAATATAAAGAAAGTAAAATACACAGGCTTACCCCTAAAGCTCTGGAGGTGTGTACCTTCCAGCTGTCCCCCAGCAAGCCTGGCTCTGACCTTCCGGGTCCCCCGGCAAGCCTGGCTCTGACCTCCCGGGTCCCCCGGCAAGCCTGGCTCTCACCTCCCGGGTCCCCCGCAGCCCTGGCTCTCACCTCCCGGGTCCCCCCGCAGCCCTGGCTCTCACCTCCCGGGTCCCCCCGCAGCCCTGGCTCTCACCTCCCGGGTCCCCCCACAGCCCTGGCTCTGACCTCCCGGGTCCCCCGCAGCCCTGGCTCTGACCTCCCGGGTCCCCCGCAGCCCTGGCTCTGACCTCCCGGGTCCCCCGCAGCCCTGGCTCTGACCTCCCGGGTCCCCCGCAGCCCTGGCTCTGACCTCCCGGGTCCCCCCCGCAGCCCTGGCTCTGACCTCCCGGGTCCCCCCCGCAGCCCTGGCTCTGACCTCCCGGGTCCCCCTGCAGCCCTGGCTCTGACCTCCCGGGTCCCCCGCAGCCCTGGCTCTGACCTCCCGGGTCCCCCCCGCAGCCCTGGCTCTGACCTCCCGGGTCCCCCCCGCAGCCCTGGCTCTGACCTCCCGGGTCCCCCCCGCAGCCCTGGCTCTGACCTCCCGGGTCCCCGCCGCAGCCCTGGCTCTGACCTCCCGGGTCCCCCCCGCAGCCCTGGCTCTCACCTCCCGGGTGCCTCGCAGCCCTGGCGCTGACCTCCAGGTCCCTGCCCACTGGGCTCTTCTCCCTCTTTGATGACTGCATAGCAGGACTTGCTAAGGAGACCCTGCGAGTGTTAGGCAGTTTCCAGCATTTTCTTTTATGAGCAATGCTTCATTCAGGTTTATTATTCATAGTCATTCCGAGTTTGAATACTTGAGATAAATTCCCATTTTACATTCTCAATGTTCTGAGGAGCTTCTCGGCTGGGGGTGCCTGGCACTGGCTGTCATTGGAAGGTCTTGTCTTCAGTTGCTTCTAAATTAGGCAAGTTGATCTTCTTATGTTTATTAACCATTTGTAGTTATTTTCTGCCTGTGAATGGTTTTTTCTTTGCCCCTTTTTTTGGGGAGGGGTGATGGTCATTTTGTTCTTATTGGTTTGCACACATTCTTATTTGTATATGAGCAGCTCACTCACTCAAACGCTTTCAGGTTCCAGCTGCCAGCACTGCCCCTGTTCTCAGCTCCCAGGACAGAGCAGAAAATCACTGCTGCACTCCTGCTTCCGCTCCTGTTGGACTGTTAGGACCCAGCAGGACACAGAGCGGATGGCATCTCTGGTTGAGGTGGAAGCTGGGGTCTCCTAGATGACATTGGGCAAAGGCTGGCAGTAATGATGTTGGGGGTGGGAGGAACAGTCTGGAGGCTCCTGGGGCTGAGGACTCCGGGGTAAGGCTGGCCTCAGGGGGCACGTGCATGACCCTGAGAGGGAGAGGCAGGCCCTGGTGACTTGGGTTTGAGGAGGATTCTCTGGCTGAGGCCCGAGGCTGGGTCAGGGTTGGCTGGGTGGCCAGTGCAGAGGCTGCGTGGAACTCACTGTGCATGAGGGACCAGGCTGCCAGGCCAGGCCTCGCCCTGTGTGGGGACAGCTGTTGGCACCCCTCTGCTCCCAAGGGCACCCTGTGCTGTGTCTCCTCCCTGCGCAGCCTCAGCCACGGACCCCACTTGAGGAATCTGAAGTGTGGGCCGTGGCGCCTCCCGCTGTAGTTTCTCCTCTTGCCTTGGAATGTGGGGTTCTCCCGCATGTGACGCATTTTCTCCAGTTTCACAGACAAAAACAGCGTTTCCTATTAGAGGGGAATGTGCCCCTGCAGGAGCAGCCCCTGCCCGCCCGGTGTCCTTTTCCCCTGGGAGTGGGCTTCCGGGTCTTCAGTTGCCTTCCTCCCAGCCTTCTGGAGTCCACCCTGTTACCCGCTTTACCAGACACCTCGGGCCAGAGCCCTGTCCCAGGCGCACCCCACACCAGCGTCCACAGCAGGACAGGGAGGATGGTGTTTGTTCGAACTGTCACCTCAAGGGGGTCTGTGCAGTGACGTTTGACCACACCCTTTGCAGTGTAGCTGGTGTGTGCCCAGGAAGCTGCCCTGCCCACCCAGAGCTGCCTGCGTGCACATCAGGAGTGCCCGTTCTCCCGCAGGCCTATGGCGGGTGGCTTTGCTGAGGGCTGTGAGGGGGAGGGCAGGGCACCAGTCACCTCCATGCATATCTCGGGGTTGTGTCCGTCTCTGGGGACCCCCACCCACCGTTCCAGAGCGCAGAGGGGCGGGCAGGGCACAGTCACCTCCATGCGTCTCTCGGGGTTGGGTCCGTCTCTGGAGGCGCCCCCCCCCCCCCCGCACTGTTCCAGAGCGCAGGGGGGAGGGCAGGGCACCAGTCACCTCCATGCGTCTCTCGGGGTTGTGCCCTTCTCTGGACCGCCCCACCCCATTCCAGAGCGCCAGGGCACGTTTCCATTTCTCTCTGGCATTTTTCTAAGGAAAAGCTGTTTCTCGACTGATCTCAATATTTTTTGGGGAAAAAAATACTGACAAAAACATTGATTTCCAGTTTTTCTGTTTGAGCCCCTGCAGGCCAGGTGGCCATGGCAGCACCCGGGGTCAGGCCCGTGACCAAGAGGGTCCCCACAGCCAGGCGTCCTCAGGAGCCGGCGAGTGGGCGCTTCGGGCTGACTTCTCGCCAGCTCCAGGGGGCCGTGGGGTGGGGGTTGTGCTCTCGCAGGCCACTCCTCCTCCCTTGTGGGGCTCCCAGCTTCCTTCCTGTGGGACTCAGGGACTCAGCCTGGACTAAATTTTGCAGCCAAGGTTTTTATACCAGCCAGAGAAGGGCAGCGTGGCCTGGCAGGGCTCCACCACCCTGTTCTTAGGCGGCCTGGGCCCTGCTGGGCTCTGTGAAGCTGGGGGTGGGGAGAGCGCAGAGTGACAGAGAGGCAGGGTCTCACCTATCCCCTGGCTTTTCTGAGCCTGTGAGCTCCTGAGGGATCGTGAGCGCTCTTGTTTGTTTTAACCATCAGTCCACGCCCCACCGCCTTGCTGTGAGCAGGTGAGTGTGGGGGCTCCTCCACTTTTTTCAGCAGCATGATAGATGGGGGCTCTTAAGTCCTACCTGCCCCCCAGCCCAGGGGTTTTCCTGGATGAGCGAAATGCAGGCATCAGGAGGGAGAGGGGTCAGAGATCCCTGGAGGCCCCTGCCCTCCCGCAGTCAGTGGTGGCTGGGGGCCGGGAGAATGACTAGGCAGGCTCCAGTAGCCACTTTAATTGTTCAGAGTTTGGCTTGACTTGAGCTTGAAATGGACAGTTTTGGAGGTGCGGTGGTGCATTACTCTGCCTTCTAAATTTATACCGAAATCTCGGCCCCCAGCCCCACCGCCGATGGCTCCAGGTGGCTCCTTCTGCATGGCCTCCACCTGGCTCTTGGCCTCCTGGCAGTCTCTGATCACCCTTACCCCAGGAGGACCCTTGACCCCCAGCCTGGCCCCCCTTGTCTTCCTTCCTGGATGTCCCCTGGCCCACGGGCTGTGCTGTGCTTGGAAGGCATACTGTCTGAGGGTACGAGCCCTGTGGCACTGCCTGGGACTTCTTTCAGGGCTACGATGGCCCTGGCTTGCTTCAGTCCTTCTCTGCATGCTGGCAGCGCCACAGCCTGTCCAGGCCCCATGGACGTTGGCACCTCCAGGTCAGCTGTGGCAGAGAGGCCCCTTGCACTAGGAGGAGAGGCTATCACTGTCTCCTACTAGGGTGGCGTGGAAGAAAGCTGTTGTGTTTCGGGTGCTTTCCTGTTTGGTGTGAGGCTTGTTGGCCAGCTTGCTAGGAGCAGGGGTGGGTTTGGGGTAGACTTGATGGCATTTTCTCCTCCTCTGCCTCCTCCTCTGCTGACTGGGCTGTGGGAACTAGGAGGGCAGTGCCCCCCTGGGAACAGGAGGTGAGCCAGGGCAGGATGGGCTTGTGCTGCGCTCTGGGCCGGGCATGTAGGAATAAGCTCTTTCCCCTTCCACATGCTGCTGTCCCCTCTTGGGGGACAGTCACGTGTGAAGGCTAGAGCCAGGCTGCCAGCACGGGGGTCAGCACAGAAATAGCCTTGGCTGCTGTGTGAGGGGAAGTGCGGGGCTTAGGGGGCCATGTTCACCCCTGCACCAGTGGCTCTCCCTGCAGAAACCTGCCCCATCTGCCCATCCCCTCCTAGTCCAGACTGCGTCTTCCTCATGGTCTGTGGTCTCCTTTTGATTTGTGTTGCCGATGGACATGTGTGTCCTGAGTGGTCTCTCCCCGACTCCAGCCGGGGTTTTACTTGCTTGGCAACTCCAGTTTTCCCTGCCTCTGATGCACAGTATGGAGGCTCCACGTGGACGTCCAAGGCTCCATGCAGTGCTCCTGACTGTCCGAAGTCATAGAGCAGCTTTTCTCAGGTGGCTCCTGAGACGTTTCTTTGTTTTTGTTTTGTTTTGTTTTGTTTTGTTTTGAGACGGCGTCTCGCTCTGTCACCCAGGCTGGAGTGCAGTGGCGCAATCTCGACTCACTGCAACCTCTGCCACCCAGGTTTAAGCAATTCTCCTGCCTCAGCCTCCCAAGTAGCTGGGACTACAGGCGCCCACCAGCACGCCCGGCTAATTTTTTGTATTTTTAGTAGAGACGGGGTTTCACCATGTTAGCCAGGATGGTCTCGATCTCCTGACCTTGTGATCCGCCCTGCTTGGCCTCCCAAAGTGCTGGGATTACAGGTGTGAGCCACCGCGCCCGGCTTTTTTTTTTAAAACCTTCTCTGCCCCTGCCGCTACAGAGGTGGTATTCCAGGACTCTAGGGAGGCTTGGAACCTCCAGTGGTACTTTTCAGTGTTTGTACAGGGTCTCTTTTCTAGATCCGAAAACGCCATCAGCGGATGCCAGGACCCTGTATGAATATCCTGTTGAGCTTGCTTCCTTATCAGTAAAATGGGCAGGGACAGGTCTCGGGGGTGCCAGTTGAGGAAGTCGAGGGGTTCTGAAGCCTGGTTATTCAGAGCTGGCTGGAGCGCTGCTCTTGGACTGGCTGTTCTCAGAATCCAGCTACTCCCTTCTTTGGGCAGGCCCTGTAAGAGCGCCCCTTCAGGTCAACCTTTAGCTTGATGTGGGCGTGGTTCCTTTCTGGGTAGTGTTGCCGATCCCTACCTCGGGGCTTACTTGCTTCAAAAGCCATTTTTGGGGGTCCTGGAACCAAGTTCAAAGGCAGTGTGTTTGGTTCCTAAAACGCACATTTGTGTTTCCTTTAACTATCATTGATTTATTTAGAGAGTCAGGGTCTCGCACTGTCACCCAGGCTGGAGTGCGGTGGCGCAACCATAGCTCCGTCGCCTTGAACTCCCGGCCCCAAGCAGTTCTCCCACCTCAGCCTCTCAAGTAGTTGGGGCCACAGGTACACCACCACGCCCAGATAATTTTGAAGATTTCTTTGAGATGGGGTGGGGGGGTCTCCTTATGTTGCCCAGGCTGGTCTCAAACTTCTGACCTCAAGTGATCCTCTCACCTAGGCCTCCCAAAGTGTTGGGCTGGGGTGGCTAAATTTGTTTTTTCTGCAACAGGACCGTGCTTTAGAGGGAGGCAGCCTTGAGTTCCAATCAAAGGCCTCCTTGGTAGCGGAGGGTCCGGTGAGGCTGTGCACGTCTGTTCAGGTCTGCCCTGCAGCGGCCTGTTGGCTGAAGTCGGGGGATGCCTGGGAAGCACACGCCAATGTCATGCGAGGCCTGGCACTTAGAAGGTTCTCTGTGAACGAGTCTCTTTCCCTTCCCTCGCGTTTTATTCCACGGTTTGCCTAGAGTCTTCTGACAAAGCCAGCCATTCGGTGTCTGTGCCTGGCGTCCGTGCCCCAGTGCGGTCCCCTTCCCCTCAGTTCACCCTCGGGTGGCTGCCGGGCTTGGTGTGTGGTCAGGAGAGCAGGTCCCCGGCCTAGCCTAGGCACTCTGTGCCGCAGATGTCTCGTGACACAGCTGCTGCGGAAGCCCTGGGGGTCTTCTGGGAGTCCCGAGAGTGCCCTGCCCTGGCTGTCTTGGACTCGCGTGAGTGCAGACACAGCGTGGGTTTCTCCCCGCTCGCTGCAGCCTCCACCTTGAGTTCTCTAGCTGGCTGAGTCTACTCTGAAGGGAGCTGTGGGGAAGAATTCACACATGGGGCTCTCCTGTCACCTGGGGTTTTTCAGTGCCCCTTGTTTAACAGTCTTAGCTTCTGGGGCAGCTGAGAGCATAGCGTGGGTGCCAGGAGCCGCCAGCCATGTGGGCTGCCCAGTGGGCAGGTGCTGTGAGCCCTTCCATGGACAAGGCCCTGGCGGCCCCAGAAAACTGCCTCCTGAGTCCAGACCTCCCTTCTTCTCGCCCTCCCAGGGCTGACATCCCCCTTGGTGCAGCTGTCATTGTGATTTTCGACCTCATGGGCCATTTCTCAGCTATAAATTGCGTAAGCTGCTGAGAAAGGGCAGCGGATGCTATCTGGAGTGCAGCTGAAGGCTGCTCCCTCCCACCTCCTTGCCCCTGCCAGTCTCCTCTCCGTTCTAGGAGCACTCTGCTCCCATCATGGGTGGGCGGGCCAGGCAGTCACCCTCTCTGCATCCCCTGGGCTCTCTGGCCTCCTTCTGCCTGGGGGCATCTCCTTTTCTGCAGGCTCTCAGCTGTGGGCTTCTGGTGACTGGAAGGCAGGAACGAGCTGCCCCAGCCAGGGCTGAGCGGGTGGCGCTTTCTCTTGGCAATCAGAAGGCTGCCGCTCATTCTGGACCTCTTCCTGAGAGTGCTCTCCCGGGCATGCGGCTTGCGAGGAGTGGCTCCCACACCCCAGCCGGGTGCGCCCTTGGCCAGCGCCTGCCAGCCACCTCTGTCACTTCCAGTGAAGTCCAGGAGCCCACAGGGCCAGCGGGTGCCATGTGACCTTGGAGACCAAGGGCCCCTCACCAGACTCTCCCATGTGCTCTGGAGAGCGTGCTGGCCATGCTCACTCGTGACAGGCACTGAGAAGCCGCTTTGCCATTGTCTGTGCTTTCCTGACAAGTGGATCTTGCCCCAGGAACCCGATCCAATTGTGAAGTTGCCCCAGATGTGGCCGTTTGTAGACATCAATGTATGAGAGTGTGTGGGGGACACCTGTGCCCACGCAGGGGCCCTGCTTTGGGGTGCCCGCTGTTCTGGGGACCCACGGTAGTAGCTGTGCAGTGCGGCAGCCGGCTCTGTGGGCTCCTGTGGCCTCTGTGGTCTTGGCCATCTGCCCTTGTGTCCGGCACTACAGACCATGTGTGCGGTCACCTGGACAGGGCCCAGTCTGGAGCCAGAGGAAGGAGCTGTTTGGGGGTGTCTCTCGGTTGACCTGGGGCTGCCTCATTTCTGTCTCCAGGGTGGGACAGGGCCTAGGTAGGGATTCCATACTTCTACATGGGGATGAGCAGTGCCACCTGAGGTGACAGTGTGCGTGGTGTGGCATCCAGGATGTCCGGGTCAGGGCCAGGGCCTGGCTCCAGCCCTGTTAGACGAGCCTCGCGCCCATGTCTGGCTGCGGCCCAGGGCTGTCTGGATCTGTCCACTTCTCCGTCTGCCTCCTCTGGGCTGCCAGCCTTCCCCTCCCCATCCCTTCTCCACAGGCTCTGCAGGCTGGGCAGCCTCAGCTTTCTGTGCCTTGGCCAGAGTCCAGAGCCGAACCTCACACACTTTCCGCACCCCGCCTCACTGTGCTTTTGGTGGGTGGATTTAAAGCCTCCTCCCCAGCTCTCTTCTGCACATGCCTCTCTCCAGCCATCCAGAGCCCTCCTCCTCTTTGTCGCCTGAGCCCCTCACCCCTGAGGCCTCCCTCATCCCACGCCCTTCCCCTTCCCTGGTCGCCTCTTCCCGCAGCCTATCGGTTTGGACATTCAAATGCTGAGACCCTGGGCTTACTGGCCACAGGTCCGGGCTGTGGTGGGCTCGCCGTGAGCAGAGGGCGTGTGACCTGAGCTCAGAGGGGAGCCTGCCCGGAGCGCCCCCGGCACGCTGTGCCTGGAGCTCCCCAGGAGCAGCACTCTGGCCTGATGGCCCCACCTGGGCTGTGGGGGAGCTGGGATGGAACCCAGGATGTCCTGTGGTGCCACATTTTCTCCCTCAGGGCGCTGGGGGCTGCCAGGGTGTCCTCGCCTGGCCGCGTGGTACTGCCTGGAGCAGGTATCCATCTGCTCATAGAAGGATCTGCAGGAGAGCAGGGTGTCAGATGCTGGCTTTTCAAAGTCAGGTGCCCAGGAGCCAGTAGGTCGTGCCTGGTGGGAGTCATGGGGGCCCAGGCCTGGGGACAAAAAGCAGGGCCGTCTCCCTACAGCACCAGGCAGGACACTGCAGTTCGAGGGCCTGTGGACCTATGAGGCCACATCTTCACCTTGGGCTGACCCCGGGGCTGACCATCAGGCCTTCCTCCCTCTGGTGGCACCTGAGGCCCCTGGCCTGGGTGGGCTGGAGGAGGACGTGGGTAATCCATGGAACAGGCCTTCCTAGCTGAGGTTTGATGGGACCCCAGCCCAGCGATGTGTGGAGCTGTGTATCTGTGCACTGGGTAGGGCTGGGGCTTCAGCGTCTGGCAGCAGGCCTGGGGGATCTCCAGAGCAGCCCCCTCATGTACAGTTGTCCGGCACCCTCATCTCTGTCCCTTAACACAATTGCAGCTAGTGATGAATGCTCAGTGTCACCGGAATCGTCCAGTGCAGGATCAGGCACGAGGAAGGCCGCAAGTATGAACAGATGGCTGGGCTGAGGGTTGACTGTAGGCACAGAGAGACGGTGGTGGTTCTGGCTGGGTGTGGAGGGGTGCAGGATTCGTCCCCTGGCCTCCCATCTCCATGGCAGGCGCAGTGGGGTTGGAGGCAAATCAAAGGAGGTAGAAGCAGATGAGAGGTAGCAGTGCAGCCACAGGAGGTGGTTGTGTGTGCAGATGTGCACTTGCGGGGTGGCGGGGCGGGAGGCAAGCCTGGAGGGACGGGAAGAGCCGCAGACCCGACGCTCACTGCCTAGCTGGCCACCCTGCCGCAGGCCCTTTTCAACTGGGCCAGATCCCACGTTCAACAGACAGGGCACGTGGTTGGCTCTCCCCCAGTCCCTTCCCTTGGCACAGGTGCCACAAGTCCCGAGGTCTGCTTCCCCCAGATGCCACCATGGCCAGTGCCGGGGCTGTGGTTCCCTTCTAGTTGAGTGCGCATTTAGTGCTGGCGTCCGCCCTAGTGTGGGTGACTGAGCCCTGGTAAGCACCGGGGCAGAGTGTTTCGTGCAGACATCACACCTGGCTGGAGAGGTTCAGCCCCCCTGAGGATCCCCTGGCACCCTGGGTGTTAGCATTGCCCTGGATGTCACTGTGCAACTGCAGGGCACGGGCATGGACTGAGAACATGGGTGAGAAGGGGAGACAGGTTTCATTCGCTTGCCCTCCACTCACCCAGCACCTCTCTGCTTTGAGAGCTGCTTTCTTGCTCTGATGCTGACTTGGCATTTCTTCCGTTCATTTAGCAAATATTGACTGCCTGCTGTCCCCCTGTTCCGGGTGCCGGGAATATAGTGGACACAAGACCCCTGCCCTCCTGTTCCGGGTGCCGGGAATATAGTGGACACAAGAGGCCTTACATTGTAACAGGAGTGCTGGACAGATGTGCCTGTCTGTCGCAGGCTGAGGAGCGCCAGGTAGGGCAGCCAGAGACGGAAGAAATGAGTGGCCGACCGGAAAATGGGATGTCTGAGGAGGAGCGCTCCAGCCACAGCAAAGGACAGGTGGCCAGCCCCGCGGTGCCAATGTGCTGGGTGCCCAGGCCACAGAGGAGACTCGAGGGACCAGAGCGAGGGGAAGTGGGGAGGGCACAAAGGCGGCGTGGGGAGCACTCAGGCTCATTCGCTGCATGGCGCAGGAGTCGTGAGGGGCTTTGAGCAGCAGGGGGTGGGATCAGAGCTGACTTGCCAGGATCACACTCCCAGTCATGTGGAGAGTGGATTGGAGGGTGGGGGCACAAGGGGGCCTGCCTGAGACCATGGTAGTGGCACAGGAGGCCCGCAGGGGTGTGTGGGTGAGGGACGTAGGGGGAAGAGACACCCCCCGGCGTGTTTTGTGGGTAGAGCCGTGAGGACCTGCTGATGGATGGATGTGGGGTCTGAGAGGGGTCCAGGGAGGACTCCCACATTCCTCTGAGGCAGTGGGAGGATGGAGCAAGTGTCTCTGGAGTTGCAGAGGACACCCGAGGAGCCAGTTCTGGAAGGAATGCCTCAAGTCTGAGATGCCCATTAGTCTAATGGGGACAATGGGCAGGCACTGGGCCAGGAGCCCAGAGAGGAGTTGCTTTTCTTTTAAACCTTTACTGCAGTCTGCTTGACATACCGTGAACCGCCTGTGTTTAAAGGGTGCAGCTTGACAAGTGTGGACATATGCATGTGTATCCCTGAAGCCACAGCCACAGCCAGGGAGAGGAACACACCCATCACCCTGGGGTTCCAGTTTACTCCTGCCTTTCTGTGACACTTCTCTCCCCCACTTCCTCGCTCCCAACCACTGACAAGCTTCTGTCATTGTGGTCACACCTTTATGTTTCCTGGAATTTCCCGTGAACGGAATCACAGTGTGAACCTGATGTTCACCTGGCCTCCGTCACTCAGCACACTTGCTGTAGGAGTCTTCCGTGTTCCGCGTGTCTCCCAGGCCACTCCTGTCTGTGGCTGAGGCGCGGTCCGTGGATGCTGAGGCCGCACTGTGTCACCTCCCCATGGTGGGTGTGCAGGTTCTCTCCTTTCTGACCAGCACACTTGCAGCTGCCGTGAACATTCGTGTGCGAGTCTCAGTAGAAATGTGTGCTTTCCATGAAGTAGCTGAGAGTGCAGTGCTCAGACCGTAGGTGGATATAGGCTTAACGCTTGTAGAAGCTGCCCAATTGCATTCTAAAGCAGTTCCAGTTCCACCATTTTGCATCCCCACCAGCAGCCTCAGGGCCCTGCTTCTCGGCACAGTGGTGGGCACGTGGCAGGCATGTGGCATGCTCATCCCATGGTCATCCCACAGGCATGTGGCATGCTCATCCGTGGTCATCCTGCAGGCACGTGGTTTGGCTGTCCCATGGTCATCCCGCAGGCATGTGGCAAGCTCATCTGTGGTCATCCCGTGGGCACGTGGCCTGGCCGTCCTGTGGTCATCCCGCAGGCATGTGGCAAGCTCATCCGTGGTCATCCCATGGGCACGTGGCCTGGCCGTCCCGTGGTCATCCCGCAGGCATGTGGCAAGCTCATCCGTGGTCATCCCGTGGGCACGTGGCCTGGCCGTCCTGTGGTCATCCTGCAGGCATGTGGCATGTTCATCCTGTGGTCATCCCACAGGCACGTGGTGTGGCCATCCCGTGGTCGTCCCGCAGGCATGTGGCATGCTCATCTGTGGTCATCCTGCAGGCACATGGCCTGGCCGTCCTGTGGTTGCAGCTATCCCTTGCGTGGCTGCAGCATCCTGTGCTCGTGTTTGGCGTTCTGCTGATGGCCAGTGATGTTGAGCATCTCTTCATGTGCTTCATTCGGCTAATCATCTCTCTTCTTTGGTGAAGTTTCTGTTCAGTCTTTTGCCCATTTTTTATTGGGTGACTTGCCTTCTTGTTATTGAGTTGTAAGAGGTCATTATCTGTTTTAGATAGAAGTCCTTTATCAGATCTGTGTGTTGAAAAAATGTTTTCCAGCCTGTGGCTTGTCCTTGTTAGGTGGCCTGAGCTCAGGCATGGGCTGTTCATTTTCAGTCCTTTTCTGCTCTGGTTTCCTCTGCAGAGTTGCCGCTGCTGTGTCTTTGAGTTCAGCCACCTTGGCTCTGCAGCGGCCCCCATGGTGCTCATCTCAGACATCTTCATGCCCACATCTGGAAGTCCAGTTTGGATTTTAAGAAAAATCTTCTTTATCTCTGTTTACCACGTCTCATGTTTCTTCTGGCTTTCTGGATGGGTGGGATACAGGTAGCCTGACTTAAAATGTCATCTACTAATTCTGCCATTCGGCCATTTATGGGACTTTTCCTGTGGATCGATTTGACTCCTAGGAAGGGATTATTTTCCTTTCTTCCTTGAACACGTGGTGATCTTTGATTACAAGCAAAACACTGTGACCTCTTGGCTTTGTGCTGATGCACACACAGGCACACGTGCACATGCATACACACACACATGCACACATGCACATGAGTTTTGTGAGCCAGCAGTGCTGTGCATGCACCCTTGCTGAGAAGAGCTCACATCCTCGAGCCACACCTGACCGTAGAGCTCTT
Source organism: Homo sapiens (assembly GCF_000001405.40). Taxonomy (NCBI): domain Eukaryota; kingdom Metazoa; phylum Chordata; class Mammalia; order Primates; family Hominidae; genus Homo; species Homo sapiens. The sequence continues at coordinate 1,498,483 of NC_000011.10, read as the reverse complement.
CCGTTGTGGCCCCATGATGCCCCCACCACGGCTGCGACGCTGCGATGGAGTATAAATCGCTAAGCTCAGGTAGCTCTGCTGTTCCGAGGAGCCGGGAGAACCGATGGAAAGCTGTTGTTAGGGAAAAGACTAGTTGGAGTGTTCACGGGGCAGCTTCTCTCTGGAGAAATTCTGTGCATGTCTTTGATAGAGATTGGATTCATGAACTGATTTTAAAAGAAGGGTGAGTGATTTTGGTGGGTACGTGTGTTCAAAGCCACACCCACCTCAGCTGTAATTTTCCCGCATCACCCAGATGATTTTGAAGGAAATTCTGAACATGTTTCATCCGTGACTATTCTGTATGTCTGTAAAGGAGAGGGATTCTTTTCCTTAAACATAAGATGTTTCATTATCATACCAAAAGTAGTGATTTCTTCATAACATTGAGTATCAAGCCTTTATGTTTGTCTGGTGTCTCATGACTTGTTTTTAGAGTGTTGAATGTGGATTCAAATAAGGTCCATGCGTTGCACTTGGATGACAGATTTTGAAACTCTTTAACTTTCTATTTTGAAATCATTATAAATTCATAAGAAGTTGCAAAAATAGCACAAATTCCAGGGCCACCCTCAGCTAGCCCCTACAGGGACAGCACCTTACACACTGGAGCGCGACATTGGACCAGAGGTGATGGGCACAGGTGCCGAGTGGTGACCAGGCTGCAGGCTCCGCCCCATGTCTCTGGATCCACTCCACCCTTCCTGTTTGTTTTTTTTCCCATCCACTTACTTTGTTAGTGGAGCCTGCCTGCTCTTCCTGTGATGTCTCCCAGGGTCTGAATTTTGCTAATTGCATGCTGTGGTATTGTTTAGAACATTCTTTTTATTTCCTGTAAATTGGCAGCTAGATTTAGACCTTGATCGCATTCTCATTCTTCTTTGGAGGCCAGTTGGCTCCGCTGGTGGCTGTGTTCCACCACAGGAGGTGCATAATATCTCGTTGTCTTTTTGTGTTGTTTGCAGCTACTGCTGACCTCTGCCTAGAACCTTCCTCTCAGTATAAGGCCAGTAATCCTATCTGGGGGGCCCCACCCTATTTCATGACTTCATCTAACCCTGATTACCTCCAGTGGTGCCATCTCCAAATAGCATCACAACACTGGGGGTACGGGCTTCAACCTGTGAATTCGTGGGAATTCCATCCATGACAATAGCCTTTTGATTTAAAGTGTTACTGGTGTCTAATGGAAATACAATTTTCTTTCCTTTGTATGCAAACTTACCTTTTATCAAAGGACTTTCTGTTCGTCATAAGTCTAGTAATATTACTAGAACGCCTTGGTGTGAGTTGGTCTGAGGTGACATGTGCCTTTTCCATATGTAGTTGCAAGTGTTTTTTCCCTTTAATTTTGTCTGCCATTTTCTCTTAAATGCTTTCTCTCTTTCCTCCTTTGTAGAAACTTTTAGTTTTTCAGAAGTTGACATATAATTTACAAACAATGAAATGCACGGATCTCAAGTATTCAGTTAAGTGAGTTTTGATGAATATGAATTCCCCTGTAGCCCACACCCCTGTCAAGATGCAAAATGTTTCCGTCTTCCCGGAAAACACCACCACATGCCTTACCAGTCAGCCCTGTTTGCCTGCCACCTCCCCTCCCAACAGGCAGCCACTGTCTGATTTATTTTCATCAAGGACTAATTGGGCCTTTTCTAAACATCAGATACATGGAGTCTGATGGTCCCCGCTCTTGTCTCTGGCGTTTTCCCACTGACATCACATCTGTGGGGCTTAGCTGTGCATTGCATCTTGGTGGTGGTTTTATGCTTTGGGTTGCTGAGTGGTGTTTTGTTGTATGAATATACTGTCGTTTGTTGAGCTGTTCTTCTGTTCATGGACTTTGGGTTGTTTCCAGTTTCTGGCTATTGTGAACACTGCTGCTGTGAACGTTCTTGTAGGAGCCTTTATGTGGATGTATGTTTTTGTTTCTTTTGGGTCAGTACTTAGCCATGGAATTATGGAATCCTACATGCATATTTAACTTTCCAAGAAACTGCCAGCCCTTTTCCTCAGTAGTTGTGGCTTTTTCCTCAGTAGTTCCTCGCCCTGCCTGTAGCGCATCAGTCTCCTGGTTCCTGCCTCCTCCACACCTTGGGTGTTCTCAGTCTGTGCAGGTTTAGCCATTCTGGAAGGCGTGGCACTTGCTCTTGTACTTATCGGCCATTATTTGTCTTCTTATGTAAAATGTCTGTTCCAGTCTTTTGCCCTTTTTAAATGTTGAGTTGTCTCTTTTATTGTTGAACTGTAGACCTGCTTTCTATAGTTTAGCTAGAAGTCTTTTGTTGGATATATGCCATCCGTGGCTTGCCTATTCATTTTTCTTAACAGTATATTGAATAGAAGTGTGTGTATGATTAAATTTTGATGAAATGTATTTTGTCACTTTTTGGTTAGTGCTTTTTACATTCTAGGAAATCTTTGCCTACTTTGAGCTTGGCACAGATACTGTCCGTGTTTTATTGTAGAAGCATTGTAGTTTTGCTTTTATGTCTGAGTTTCTGATCCGTCTTGGTGTGAGGTAGGGATTGAAGGTTTCTTTTTCTTCAGAGATACTCAGTTTTCTCCAAACTATTTATTTAAAACATTTTCCTTTCCCCCTTAGATTGATTTCACACTTTTATTGAAGTCTAGTTGACCATGTAAGTGTAGGTCTAGTTCTGAACATTATTCTGTTTTATTTATGTTTATTTCGGTGTTTAATACTGTAGCTTTAAGGTAAGTCTTGAAATTCGTGTGAGTCCTGCTACTTGGGTCTTCTTTTGCAAGAATGGTTGGATCCTTCAAAGTCCTTTTGCATTTCCACGTGGATTTAAGAATCCTCTTGTTAGGCCGGGCGTGGTGGCTCATGCTTGTAATCCCGGCACTTTGCGAGGCTGAGGTGGGCAGATCACCTGAGGTCAGGAGTTCGAGACCAGCCTGGCCAACATGGTGAAACCCCGTCTCTACTAAAAATACCAAAAATTAGCTGGGTATGGTGGCGGGTGCCTGTAATCCCAGCTACTGAGGAGGCTGAGACAGGAGAATCACTTGAACCCGGGAGGCAGAGGTTGCAGTGAGCTGAGATTGTGCCATTGCACTCTAGCCTGGGTAAGAAGAGTGAAACTCCGTCTCAAAACAAACAAACAAAAAACAAACAAAAAACCAAGAATCTTCTTGTTAATTTCTTTTAAAAATAAGAAATTATCCCGGGATTTTGATAGGATTGTATTTAATTAAGAAAATTGACATCTTAACAATATTGAGTCTTCTAATCCATGGCCATGGCAAATTTTTTTATGTGTTTAGGTCTTTAATTTTTCTCAGCATTGTTTTGTGCTTTTCAGTGAGAGGCTTTGTACATTTGTGTTAAGATTATTCCTAAATTTAAAAATTATATTGTAAATAGCAGTTTTATAATTGTATTTTCCATTTATTTGTTGCTATTATATAGGAATAAAATTAATTTTCTTTACTGACCTTGTGCCCTGTGATGCCACTAAATTTACTTATTAGTTCTAGCAGACTTGCCCCAGTTTCCTTAGACTTTTCTGTTTACATAACCATGTTACCTGCCAAACAAGACGACCTTTTCCTTTCCAGTATTTATGCCTTGTATACCTTTGTCTTGCCTCATTACAGTGGCCTCATTGTGCCGCTGGTATAAGAGTGACACCGAATAAGAGTGGTGAGAGTGAGAAGTGCTCAGAGCCCCTTCCTTGTTTCTGATTTTAGGGGGAAAATCTTTACTCCATCAGCAGCATTTGATGTTAGCTTCAGATTTTTTATAGGTGTCCTTTCTCAGCTGAGGATGGTCCCTTCTGTTCCTGGTTTGCTGAGAGTTTGCATACACGTTTTGCCATGTGCTGTGTCTGCATCTAATTGAGATGGCCATATTTTTTTCTCCTTTCATTAATGTGGTGAATGACATTGATTTTCAGGTGTTAGCTAAGCTTACATTACTGGGTGAATCTCTCTTGGCTATGCTGTATTATCCTTTCAATACGTTGTTGAATTAGTTTGTTACTATTTTATTACAGAGTTTTGCATCCACATTCATGAAGGATATTGGGCTGTAATTTCCCTTTTCTAGGAATGCTGTTGTCTCACTTTGGCAGCAGCATTATGCTGGTCCTCCTCCTCTGTTTTCTGAAAGAGTATGTGTATGGTTTGTATTATTTCTTACTTATATCGTGTGTAGAGTTCATCCGTAAGCCACCTGCACCCACCATTTCCTTGTAGAAAGATTTTTAATTATAAATTCAGATTTTCTACTTCTTTGTATGTCAGTTTTGGTAGCTTGTGTTTGTGAAAAATTTGTCTGTTTCATCTACATTTTCTCTTGGCATTCAGTTCCTTATAGTGCTTTGTTACCCGCTTAATATCTGTAGGATCTGTAGGAATGTCCCTTTCATTTCTGATATCGGTAATTTATGCCCTCTTCCTCTCTTGGCTCTCTGTCTCTTTTCTGCTTAGTCTGCTTGGGAAATTGATCTTTTTTTTTTTTTAAGTTTTCCAGGCTAACTTTGTGTTTAATTCTTCATTATTTGTCTATTTTTCATTTCATAGATTTCTGTTATTTCCTTCCACTTTGCATTTAATATGCACTTCCTTTTTCTGGCTTCTGAAGGTGGATGTATGAATCACTCATTTTAAGCCTTCTCTCCTAATATGAACATTTATAAATTTCTTCCTCAGCTGAGCTTTAGCTGCATTCTACACATTTTTATAAGTGATGTTTTTATTGTAATCTTCTCTTTAGCACTGTTTAATCTGATGTTCATTTCATCTCAAAAATTTCATTTTCGATGTATTCTTCAGTTCCAGGAATTTTTGTTTATTATTTTGTGGAGTTTCCGATTTTTTCAGAGCCCTAATTGCTTTGTTGATTATGTCCAACCTTTCCTCTAAATCTTTGGATATATTGGCCGGGCACAATGTCTCATGCCAGTAATCCCAGCACTTTTGGGAGGCCAAGGCGGACAGATTACTTTAGGTGAGGAGTTTGAGACCAGCGTAGCCAACATGGTGAAACCTCATCTCTACAAAAATACAAAAATTAGCTGTGCTTGGTGGCGTTCGCCTGTAATCCCAGCTGCTCTGGAGGCTGAGGCAGGAGAATCACTTGGGAGACAGAGGTTGCAGTGAGCCGAGATTGTGCCACTGCACTCCAGCCCGGGCAATAGAGGACACTGTCTAAATAAATAAATAAATCGTTGAATATATTTATTTCATTCTTTTAAAGTCTTTGTTTGTTACTTTCATTATCTTTGTTATCTCTAGGCCTGTTTCTGTTGACTTATTTTTCCTGGTTATGAGTTACATTTTTCTGCTTCACCTGTCTAGTAATTTTTTTGTACACTAGGTATTGTGGTAGCAATGTTGTTGAAAGTCTCAGTTCTGTTTTCCTCCCTTAAAGAGTAGTGTGGTTTGTTCTGGAAGGCAGTTAATTTGCTCTTGGTTAGCTAGGATCCGTTTGAGGCTTGTTTTTAAGCTTTATTATGCCAGGTCCAGAGAACCCCCTCACTCTGGGCTATTGTAGCCCAGTCCCCATGGCACAGCCATTGTGGAATCTCTGTTAAATCTATTCGCCCAAGGTGTCTCCAGTCTGGGTGTGGGAACACGTCTGTCTCCTGCCCCGTGTGGCCTCCAGAACCTCTCTTCCTCACGCTTCCCAGAGCTGTTCTCTGCCAGGTCTTGCAGATGTTCTCTCTGACACCCTCAGCTATTTGTCCAGAAGCTTCCTTGGATCCCTGTTGATGTTTTTAGAGTCCCTTCTCTGTGCAGCTCTGTCCTGACTGCCTCCTCATCCTGCAAATTTCAACAGCTCAGCGGCTTGAGACTTCCATCCCTGCCACCTCAGCTTCTCCAGACTGCAGGCCCCATGTGGTTTCACCATCCCCACCTGCAGCCTGAGAGGCTCCCAGTCATCGCCTGTGCGCAGGGGCCACCGTCCTGCACGGCGGTATCCTGGGTCTGAAGCCAAGCACTTCATATATTCTACCCAGTTTGTAGTTGTTGACAGTGGAGGTGAGGTCCAGTGTCAGTTACTCTGTCATGAGTGGAAGCAGAAATCTCTTCTTTCCTTTATTATTTTAAGAAATTCTTCCTTCCCATCTTCTACTTGGACATCATGGTGGTTTTTGTATTCTAATTTAGACTTCATTTCAAAAATGGTTTATCCTCTCATTCCTGATTCTTATTTTGCCTCTTTTTTCAAATATTTTCTTTTTCTTTTTTCTTTTCTTTTTTGAGACAAAGTCTCGCTCTTCTCCCCCAGGCTGGAGCGCAATGGTGCAATCTCGGCTCACTGCAACGTCCATCTCCTGGGTTCAAGCGATTCTTCTGCCTCAGCCTCCCAAGTAGCTGGGATTACAAGCGCCTGCCACCACGCCCAGCTAATTTTTGTATTTTTAGTAGAGACAGAGTTTCACCTTGTTGGCCAGGCTGGTCTTGAACTCCTGACCTCAGGTGATCCACCTGCCTCAGCCTCCCAAAGTGCTGGGATTACAGGCATGAGCCACTGCACCTGGCCTCAAATATTTTCTTAAATTGCATTGTTTCCCTGATTGTCTTATTGGGTTGTAGTCTTCATCTGTGTTATGTGTCTTCATCTGTGTTGTGTCTTCATCTTTGTTGTGTGTCTTCATCTGTGTTCTGTGTCATCTGTGTTGTGTGTCTTCGTCTGTGTTGTGTGTCTTTGTGTGTCTTCATCTGTTATGCGCGTGTCTTCGTCTGTGTTGTGCGTCTTCATCTGTTGTATGTCTTCACCTGTGTTGTGTGTCTTCACCTGTGTTAATGTGTGTGTCTTCATCTGTGTTGTGTCTTCGTCTGTGTTGTGTGTCTTCGTCTGTGTTGTGTGTCTTCACCTGTGTTATGTGTGTGTCTTCGGCTGTGTTGTATATCTTCGTCTGTGTTGTGTGTCTTTGTCTGTGTTGTGTGTCTCCGCCTGTGTTATATGTATGTCTTCGTCTGTGTTGTGTGTCTCTGCCTGTGTTATGTGTATGTCTTCGTCTGTGTTGTGTGTCTTCATCTGTGTTGTGTGATTTCGTCTGTGTTATGTGTGTGTCTTTCTGGGATGTTTTAATTGTCAGTGGGAGAGTGTTACTCTCCTCTATTCTTCTTGATTTTCATTGGACTCAACTGTGAAACTTTCCTGCTTGCTTTTAAGTGACCCCACTTTCCCTGTGCCTTTGTGAGGGTGCCGGGGGCATTGTTTTGCTGCTTCCGTAGCTTTTGAGCTCCTTCTTCTGTTGTTTTCACAAAGTGATTAAAAACACGAAGCTCTCCACGAGTCTCCTTGTTGGAGGGGAGGCTACAGACGAGCAAGTGGAGGGGCCAGTGTGGTCCAGGCAGTGATGGCTGCAGGGGTGGGCTGGAGACCTCAGGGGAACCCCTGCTTAGCTTAGTATAGATACAAATGTCGACATGTGGGTGGAGATTGAGGCGTATGAGTGCATGTGTGTATACACATGTGCCTCCGTGTTCTTCCAGCTGAGAGGGCCTGGAAGCAGTGACACCCACTAGCAACGAGCCCACCCAGTGCTCTGATCTTAGTGTTTTCGTTTCTCGTTTGTGTAGACCCAGGCTGGAGTGAGGTGGTGTAGTCATGGTTCACTGCAGCCACCAACCTCCTGGGCTCAAGTGATCCTCTCACTTCAGCTCCTCAGTTGTTGAAACCACAGGCACATGCCACTATGCCCAGATAATTAAAAAAAAAAAATTGTTTTAGAAATGGGGGTCTTGCTGTGTTGCCCAGGCTGATCTGAAACTCCTGGCCTCAAGCGATTCACTTACCTGGGCCTCTCAAAGTGCTCTTGAGATTCCAGATGTGAATCAACGTGCCTGACCAGGTCTCAGTTTTGAATTCATTCATTACTGTTTTGGGGCAGGGTCTCGCTCCGTCACCCAGGCTGGAGTGCAGTGGTGTGATTATGGGTCACAGCAGCCTCAATCTCTTGGGCTCAAGTGATCCTCCTGCCTCAGCCTCCCATGTAGCTGGGAACACAGACACACACCACTATGCCTGGCTAATTTTTACATTTTTTGTAGAGATGGGGTCTCCCTTTATTGCCCAGGCTGGTCTCAAACTCTTGGGCTCAAGTGATGGTCCCTTCTTGGCCTCCCAAAATACTGGGATTACAGGCATGAGCCACCATGCCTGGCCATTTTTTTTTTTTTTTTTTTTTTTGAGACGGAGTCTTGCTCTGTCGCCCAGGCTGGAGTGCAGTGGTGCGATCTCAGCTCACTGCAAGCTCTGCCTCTCGGGTTCACGCCATTCTCCTGCTTCCGCCTCCCGAGTAGCTGGGACTACAGGCGCCTGCCACCACACCCGGCTGATTTTTTTGTATTTTTAGTAGAGACAGAGTTTCACTGTGTTAGCTCGGATGGTCTCGATCTCCTGACCTTGTGATCCTGACCTTGTGGGAGGCCCGTCTTGGCCTCCCAAAGTGCTGGGATTACAGGCGTGAGCCACCACGCCCGGCTGCCTGGCCAGTTTTTAATATTTTCTAATGAAAAGAACCAGGGCTCCTTGGAGAAGGGGCTGATTCCCGGGCTGGGGCTGGGAATGCAGGGGGAGCCTGGAGCACCCTGCAGTGCCAGGAAATCAGGACATGCCCCAAAATGAAAAGTCTGTTGATGGGGGTGCATCAGGGGACCCAGCAGCTGATGGCAGGAGCTCCCCAGGGCCAAGGACGGACAGTGTGATTCACAAAACAAAGTAGTGTTGTGTTCTAGCTCGGAGTGCAGCCTCAATAGCCAGGACTTCATCCCAATATAAACAAATGGCTGAATATATAAATGAGTGACCAAGAAGAGGCCGCTCTCTGGTGCCGAACTTCCAGTAATTCCCGTAGCTACTCCTCCGTCAGGGTGGTAAGGGGTGGTCCCCACCCCTTCAGTGTGGTCTGCGTGCAGCAGCTTCGTTCGAGAGCGCGGTGCGGGGCGGGGAAGACGAGAGCGTCTTTGCGTGGGGAGGCCTGGCAGTCACAGCCTCAGCCAGGAGATCGGGAGCACCTCCCGCGATGAGCCGTGCTGACAGGACGGGCCGTGGGCACGGGGCGACGAGGGGGACATTTCCCTCTGTGCTCTTCCTACCCACACCCACAGCCCAGCCTCGTCGTGAGGAGAGCAATGGATGGATCCAGACGTCTGAGTCAAGTTTGGACCTTGCTGCATCAATGTGGATTTGTTCATTGTTAACAAACAGACCATCCTAGTGTAAGGGTTAGCAATAGGAAGAGTGAGTGGGGGGCCATGGGGATTCTGTGTTTGCAGTTCTTTGTAAATCTAACACTTTTCTAAAACTAAAAGCTTATTAAAGGTAAAATAACCTCTGACACAGACACATGGCCCGTGCCCCCTGCCCCGTCCCGCCTTGGTTGCGACCGTTCCCCCCTGCGTGGTGCCTCTGCCCCGCTCCTGTGCTCTCTGTTCCTGGCCAGCTCCTGGCCCTGGCTGTGCCCAGAAGGTGCTTTTGCTCTTCCTTTTCTGGGGTGGCGGGGCCAGGCCACACTGGCACCCGTCACTGGCCTGCGGGCCTCTGTGGCAGCTCCTCGTGGAGTCTGCAGAGCCTGCTCCAGGTCTGCTCCTCTTCCCAGTGCAGTGTCTGTCGCTCAGTGTCTGTGGGTTCCAGCTGCCCCTCACCCTACCCCACTCCTGCCCCACTACCTAAGTTTTGATCAATAGGAATACCTGCTCCCTGCACGTGTCCCCCAGTGAACAAACACAGATGAATGTGGACGTTCCTCTGGCGCCAGCCCAGCCCTCTCGGGACAGTGGCATAAGCCACAGAGCTGCCGTGTGCTGACCAGACCCACTGGGCACACTTGGTGTGCTCCCCCACCCTACCGGGCACCTTGTCTTGACTGTTCCCCCGCCCCCGTGCCACCCTCACCACTGCCTTGCCTGGACCAGACTAGGCACGCTTGGTGTGCTCCCCCCACCCTACCCGGCACCTTGTCCTGACTGTTCCCCCGCCCCCGTGCCACCCTCACCATTGCCTTGCCTGGTTGCCTGGCTTCTTGTGCCCGAAGCCTCCACCATCCCCAGCTTCCTTTATGCTCTGCCCTCCAACCCCCAGCAGCTCATTCTCCCTGTCATGGGCCTCTGCACGGCCTTCTCTGTCCAGGCCATGCCTCCCGAGAGTGGGCAGGTCTGCGTCATGCACCTCCTGGTCCCAGCCCTGCTACTCACGGGGGCCTCCCCAGGCCTGGAGCCCGCTCTTCCTGTGGCTCCCTTTGCCACTTGGGTGACCTGCCAGCACCTGTGTCCCTGCTGTTGGTGGAGCCCCCGAGGGCAGACCGGCAGCCGTGAGCACGGTGCCTAGGTGCGTGTGGCACCACAGGGCTGTGGGATGGCCTTGCCAAGGCAGAGGAAGGCCTGTGGGCGCATGGACGTCCTGAGCCTCACCGGGCTGTTTGTTCTGTAGAGACCAGTTACGCACTGCTCAGAGCATGGCTTAGGGACTGGCCTAGTGGGGAAAATGAAACTGCAGCCTGTTGGGCCTGCTGCTGCTGCTGCTTAGGGAGGCGGGGGCCGGCCTGGGGCCATCCTCTGCTGTGGCTCCTGGAGAGTGTGTCTGTGCTGGGTTGGTGTGCTGTCTCCCCGTGCGCCCAGGCTGTGTGTGTGCGTGCAGTCCAGACACCACAACTCCCATGGGGGCTGGTATTGATGGGGGTGAGCCTACCCTGGCTGCTTTCCTGATGGCTCTGTGCTCCCCGCAGCAGCTGGTACCTCAGGCTGTGTCCTGACTCCTACAGGGCTTCACACCGACAGAGGTGCTGGGACAGCTTCTGAGGGGCAGTGGCTGGAGATGCTGGGGTCTCTTGATTGGCAGGAAGCACAGGAAGTATGGCTCCCATGCGGGTGGGGGATGCTCCTGATGACCCCGTGTTGTCAGGGGGCTGTCACTGCCAGTGGGGTCCACGCTGACTCAGGATGAGGAGAGAGCATTGCCCTCTCAGGTGTTTGCATTTTCAGGATGTGGTGGTCTCCTGTGTGCAGACCAGCCAGAAGGAAGGCCGGGGCCGTGCCGCTCTGTGCGCCCCCATGGGGAGCTGCTGTGGGCATTTCTGTTGGGCTGGGTGCCCTGTGGTCCTGGCTGGCAGCAGCCTCAGCCCAGCACCGTCCAGGCACCGCAGAAGCTGGTCGGCCCCTTCTCTCTCCAGGGCCATCCAGCAGGAAAGCCACTTTGAGTGCCTCCAGCTGCGTACACACTGCAGGGCAGGGCGGCCCATCTGTCTGTCCGTCTGTCCGTCCCTGGCCCGAGCACTGACTGGGCTAGGCTGGGCCGGACAAGGGAGAGGGGAGTGCCATCGACCTGGAGCTCGTCAGCAGAGTTGCTGCCTGTGTTCAGAAGGCCTTTCCTGGGGGCTTGGCAGCAGAGGACCTTGAGGTGGAGCCCAGGACCTTTCTGATGGATCCTTCTTGCAGGCCAAGGACGGCCCTGTCCCCTCCCTTCTGGTCCCACCCCCACCGCCTCTTCTGGCAGCCTGAGGTGGAGCCCAGGACCTTTCTGATGGATCCTTCTTGCAGGCCAAGGACGGCCCTGTCCCCTCCCTTCTGGTCCCACCCCCACCGCCTCTTCTGGCAGCCTGAGGTGGAGCCCAGGACCTTTCTGATGGACCCTTCTTGCAGGCCAAGGACGGCCCTGTCCCCTCCCTTCTGGTCCCACCCCCACCGCCTCTTCTGGCAGCCATGCCACTTGGAAAAGGCCAATTCAGACGCTCCCTCGTTTCACCAGCCTTGGCCAGCCCTTGCCTCTGGAAAGGGGGCAGCTGTTTGTCTCTGCCAGGCGTCCCATTGGCCAGGGAGTGAGGCTGGAGGGCCCGGCAGCAGGCATTTGCGAGTGCTGGCCAGCCGGCACCCCGCCCCGCTTCTCCTCCCCACCTTCCCGTCGCCCACTCATGCTGGGAGACCACTGCAGTCTCCCTGAAGACCAAGCCCGGCCCGGCCAGTCCCTGCAAAGTGGACTCTGCTGCAAAATGGTGCTTCAGGCTGTCAGCAAAGTGCTCAGGTAACACCTGCCAGCCTGGCTGGGGGAGGGGTGTGTAGCACATCTGTCTGCCCTGTTCTTGCCCCCAGGAAGGAGGTCAGGGTGGGGAGGCGGCGGACTGTGTCCGTGGCTGCCCTCCCAGTGTGGCCGGCGGCTGTGCAGCGAGCTGTGCTGGGCCACACGCAAGCTGTCCAGGGCAGAGGCGGCTGTGCAGTCCCGGGCCAGCCTGGCGGGTTTGCTCTGGAGCCCTGCCCAGTGGGGCTTTCCTTAGCCGCCTGCACTTCCTGTTGCTCTGTGGGAGAGGAGCGGGTCTTGGTGTCCTCGACCTTCGGGGTTGACCCCACCTTGCCGGCACAGGAGCCTGCCTTGTCCTCCCGCAACCCACAGGGTGTGGTTCCTCAGCCGCCAGCAGGTGTGCCTGTCTTTGTCCCAGCGTGCGGCTGTTTGTGCCCTGGGCAGGGGCTTCAGCCACCCAGGCAGAGGTGACCCGGAGTCTGTCCTTGTGTGGCCTTGTCCAGAGAAGTGGCATGGGGTTCCCGGGTGCCTATTTTTGTGCTGGCTGCCATAGGGATGTTGCCGGAAAATCCATTTTTGACATTTTTCTCACCTGTACTTTCTCTGACCTGCTGCGGGGGTGCCTCCCTGCCCACACCACTCAGCTCGGTGTGTGCAGGGGCGTGTGTGGGAGTGTGCGCCCAAGTGTGTGGGAGCGTGCACCCGTGTGTGTGGGAGTGTGCACCCGTGTGTGGGCATGAGGGGCCGGGGGAGTGGGGCAGGCACAGCCAGCTGCAGCAGTGAGTGTGTCCTCCCGGGTGGGGTTGCCTGGTGGGGGTGTGAGGCGAGCGTGGCCTGCTGGACGTGCCCTCCAAGGGCCGGGGGCTGCGGCACCCGTGTGCATCTCCGTGCCTCTGCCTGTCCCTGGGCACCCGGCTCCATCTTTCTCTTCATAGGCTCCTTCCCTATCTCCCGATCACCTGTGCATTCAACAGGGAGGGCTCCACAAGTAGACACAAGAGTGCCGGCCGGTGACCCTGCCTAGGATGTCCTATCTTAAGGTGAAACTGTGAGGTTTTGGAAATGTGTGGGCAAGTTGGCAGTACTCGTGAGTTCAAATCAGGAATGGTGCCTGACATCAGTGGTGTGAGGGGACTGGCGTGTGTGTGTGTGTGCCTGTGCCAGTGTGTGCTTGTGTGTCTGAGGCCAAATGCCGAAGGCAGCTCCACAGGAGACACAGAGGCAGGCCTGGAGCCCAGCCAGGCCCTAAGGAAGACGGGCGGAGTCCCTTCCCTGGGGCTCAGGAAGGTTTCAAAGGAAGCGATGAGGAAGCCACCTTGGCTGGGAGCTGGATGCATGGAGGGGCCGAGGCGCAGTGGAGCATGGTGGCCACGTGGGGCTGAGGTTCTAGGACAGCAGCAGCACCTGCCTGTTTGGACGTTTGGTCTGGGATGTCTGCGGGCGTTCCTTGTGCCATCTTGGCTTTTTCCTTCTCAATGGGCCTCTGCAGAGGGCACAGTAGGCTGGTAAAAGCTCGCTTTGTCTGGGGCTGCTGACCTGTTTGGGGGGGCAGACAATTAAACTCAGAAGAAAAGAAGCCACACTCCACAGCTTCCAGCTGGCTGAAGCCTGTGGGCAGTGCAGGCTGTGCTGAGAGATGGACAGGGGCTCCGGAGGCCTTCCCACCCCTCAGCCTGAGGCCGTGTGACAGAAGTGGGATCAGCACCCAGGGAGAACTCGGGTTAGAACACGGTGTTAGAAATGCAGTTTTCAGGCCCCCCCTCAACACCCAGAAGGCCACATCAGAAATGTAGGGGTGGGGGTGGCGCCAAGCACCCCAGCATGTGGTGCCCTCCCTGCATGTTGGGGTGACAGGAGGTGCCCGTGGCGTGCACCCTGGGCAGCAAGGTGTGCTGAGACCCAGGCTCTGTACCGGGTGGCTACTGGGGGCTCTGCCTGGCCGGGTCTTGGGGGAAGGGGTCACTGGGAGCCTTGACTTTCAGGCTCTGGGTGGACCAACCAGCACTGACATTCACCCGAACCAAGGAGCATGAGGGGCCCGGTGCAGATGGCTGAGTGGGGTCCAAGGACCATGCCCTCCTCAGAGGCGTCACCTGCGGGCCTTTCTCCTGCACCCCACACGCTGCCTGGTCACCGTATTTTCCAGGCCTGGGCTTGGGGACTTGTATTTCTGGGCCCCTCGTGCCTGCCCCACCCCTTGGCGTTGACCTGTGGTGGGAAGTGCCAGATGAGGGCCACCTCCTGCTGCTGCCCACTCACCTCAGGGTCTACAGGCTCGACTTCCATAGCAAGCGTGCTCTGGGCGAGTGGGGGTCTCTGAGCCTGGAGCACCCCATTCCTGTGGGCCGTGGGGCCTGGCCAGGATTCCATCCCTGTGATAATGAAGTTGACACTCGTGGCAAAGGTGCAGGGCACTCGGTTGTGCTGTCCTCGTCCCTCAGGGCGGATGAGGAGTGGGCGGCTCCCAGCCCACTCCCCAGCTCCCCCTGCCTGTGAAGCAGTGTGCACCTGCTGTGGGCAGGGTGAGACCCCCTGTGTGTTGACTGTGTGGTTGTCTAAGTTTTCCACGGGAGCCCAGCAGCTCTGATGCCTCCCTGTGCCCCTTCCCTTGCCCACCAAATTTGTGTCTAGCAGGGATTGCCTCACTTCCCAGTAGGGATCAGTTACGTGCTGGGTGCCAAGGAGGCCGACTGGCACGTCATGGGTACCACTGGCGAGAATGGGGAGGGTGGCATTTGACAGGCTCTTAAAGGACCAGGAGAAGTTTGCTAGGCCTGGTGTAAGATGGGCAAGTTGGCAGAGCAGCAGCTGGTGCCCACAAACAGGGTGCAGACCCCTGTGGCAGGCAGGACAGGTCATCTAGAGCAGGGAGGAGGGAGGTGAGGCTGGTGAGTGTGTGGGAGGCAGGAAGGAGGTGGTTCCATCTGGCCCGGCCCTCCTAAGTGCATGGTGCCTGCCAGGCAGGACCCAGGCTCAGAGCCCACCTGTTGGAATAGTGTGAGGGACTTTGTTTTGGGGGCTGTGCACACAGCATCTGCCCTTCTGCTTCTTCCAAGTGGTCACGGAAGCCCTGTGGGTGGGCTGAGGTCCAGGGTCCACTCCCCAGTCCCTTCAGCGCCATCTCTGTCCTGCCTGCGGCCGGGGCCTGCTCCCACAGTCCTCCCTCCACATCGAAGGACTTGGTCTTTCTGTGCCCCGGGGCTCCTAGCCAGCAGCACAGGGGGAGCTGGGAGCAGGGCGCAGGGCCTCGGCACTTCCCTGGGTGAGGGGCAGCTGGGCCACTGAGGCAGTGACTGGGCAGACCTCTGGGCCTGGACGGCACAGAGCCTGTTTCAGAGCCTGTGAGCCTGCGGGGGGCGCCGCAGAGGTGTTTTCTCCACTGGGCAAAGCCAAGAATGACTAAGGACGAGAAGAGTGCCATGGAGGTGTCGTGTGCTCTGAGGCCTCCTCGGTAGCTGCCGCTGGCTTGGACCGAGCAATGGGCTGCCTCAGAGTGACTGCTTCCTGCCCAGGCCTGGGCCTTCGCTGAGAGCCTGCCCTTCTGGGAAGGAGGGCACTTGAGGTCAGGGAGACGTGGGTGCTGCCAGGCGTTCGGGGCTTTCCCATGGAAGTCCCTCTGTTGGTGCCCGCACAGCCGTTCCTGGAGCAGAGGCCATGTCCTGCGCGTCCCCTTGGTCCTACTACCTTTGGGCCAGTGCCCGTCCACCTGCCCCATGGGAATGAGTGACCCGGTCCAAAGAAGGTAGGCTTGCAGGAGGCTTGTCTCACAGTGCACTAAGCTCCGGGGCCCGGCCAGCCCTGGGTGCTGGGGACAGGGTGAGACTGGGGGAGCAGCTCGGGGAGGCCCAGCCTGGAGGGCCTCGTGCGTACTTTTCTTCTGTGTTCTAGGAGAGCAGGTGTGGACGGGAAGAGGCAGGGAGGCTGAGGTGCCAGTGCCGGAGTGGCGGCTGCTCACTACCTCCTGACCACAGCCAGAGCCTGGGAGAGGGAAGCCAGGTCTCCAGGTTCTGCCCCTGCCCAGCCCTCTCTGAGGACCGGAGGTGGAAGGTAGCCCCAGCCTGGAAGGCTGGCAAGGGGGCAGGAACTGCCAGTAGGGCAGCCTCCCTGAGTGGGCCCTGGGGCACACCCTGAGAGTGAGCGCGCTGACAGCTGCTCCTGCTGGCAGCCCTGCGTGACCGACCACCAGGTAACTGCCACCTGGAGCTTGCCAGTTGACACAGCTCCTAAGACACAGAGCAGGGAGACGGCTTGTAGCCCGCTTGGCAGCCTGGGCCACTGCAACCCACCCCTCCAAATGGGAAGGCCGAGCCCAGGCTGTAGCTGCCCGGGTGGGGTGTGGTGTGCTGTGCTGTGAGAGCACAGGGCAGGGAGGTGCAGGCCCACCTGCCGGTGGTCAGGGCCAGGCCCAGCGTCATGGGGAGAGCCTTCCCTGTGGTGGACACGCTGGGCATGGCCTGGCACAGGCTGGTGTGGAGTCTGGGTGCCTCGCTGTGCTGGGGCGAGGGGCTGCAGGCTACACGGAAGCTCACCCTGTCTGTCCCACCCCTGTACTGTGAGGACCCCAAGTGCCCACGCTGCATGTGGCCCATCCACACCTGTGCTTCCTCTTCCTCAGACCCCACGCCCTGTGCTCTGGAGAGATGGCAGAGTGGGAGTGCCAGGGCCCAGGGGCCCTGCCCCTGCCCCTCCCTGCCCCTGCCCCTGCCCCTCCCTGCCCCTGCCCCTGCCCCTGCCCCTGCTCCTGCCCCTGCTCCCTGCCTGGCTCTGGCTACTCCCAGCACTGCCCCCAGAGGCCTGCGCTGGTCTCCTTTTAAGGCGAAGATCTGCTGTGAGAAGCTGAAAGGGAAACATTTCCCTGGCATTCAGGGAGCATTTTTCCTTTCTCTTTCTCTTAAATAAACCATTAGCAACTTTTCAAAACAAGAAAGAAAAAAAATAAGGACAGGGTCAGGTTGCCACAAAGACCTTTGGCCCCCATCCTCATCACCCTGTGGCCTCCCCAGGCCTGGTGGACAACAGGGATACTGGAGCTGCAGGCCAGGCTGCCGCCTGATGCCAGGGGCCCCGTGCTCTCAGGCTGGCCAGGAAGGCAGGTGCCCTGCACAAGGCCTGTGGTATGTTTTCACCGGGGCCACCAGCGGCAGGGGCAGGGACAGGCTGGCCAACTCAAAAGAAGCCAGGAGTGAGAGGGTTTGCTTCTCCTTTCCTTCCAAGAGCACTGGAAAACTGGAAGGTGGGCGCTGGGGGCCCTAAACCCTGGGCCCCTCCCTGGTTGGAGGACTTGGTGAGGGGTGAGGATGCCCTCCGTGCAGGGGCCCGTGTGGCAAGTGGGAGCGCCAGCCCTTCTTCCCAGGAGGTGCCACGCAAGGCAGCTCCACTGGCCCCTCTGCGGAGCAGCCTCACCGTTGGTGTCCCGTTGGTGTCCTTTGAGCCTGGCAGGGAGGCAGTGTCGCCCCGATGGGCTCGGGCAGCTCCCTCTACACCTGCGCTGGCCACAACTGACCCCCCGGGCAGACCCTGGGTCTGATGGGCGTGTAGTGACCACACCGCGTCTCCTCTCTTGGCAGGAAGTCCAAAGCCAAGCCTAATGGCAAGAAGCCCGCTGCGGAGGAGAGGAAGGCCTACCTGGAGCCTGAGCACACCAAGGCCAGGATCACCGACTTCCAGTTCAAGGAGCTGGTGGTGCTGCCCCGCGAGATTGACCTTAACGAGTGGCTGGCCAGCAACAGTGCGCGGGGGCCTGGGGGCGGGCCCCCTCCCTCCTCCCTGCTCCTCCTCGAAGCCCCTCCTCAAGGGGGACCCCCACGGCTGGTGCTCAGCAGCCCCCTGCCGCGAGGGGAGAATGTGGCCCGTGGACGGGCAGAGCTCACCCAGCCGAGCTCCTGCACCTGTTGCTGGAAGCAGGGGTGGACGGGGCGGCTCAGCTCTGGCGTTTTTCACATCTGGCTCCTTCTCTTCTCTTCCAGCCACGACGTTTTTCCACCACATCAACCTGCAGTATAGCACCATCTCCGAGTTCTGCACAGGAGAGACGTGTCAGACGATGGCCGTGTGCAACACGTGAGTGCTGCCTGGCTACAGCCCACTTTCTCTTGGGAGACTCGGTGGGGCTCTGAGCCCCCGCTGCCCCAGGCTCCTGTCCTCTCAGATTCCGTTCTCACCTGGAGACCCTGAGAAGTCTTGGCACAGGCCTTCCACAACATCCACCTTCCTGTGGAAAGGCCACAGGCTGGGCCAGTGGCCCAGCTACCCAGGTCCCCAGTGGGGCCCAGAAGGTGCAGGAGCTGGTGGGGGTTGATGGGCTATGTTTCTAGGGACAGAGACGTTTCCAGAAGGAATGCCCTAAGATTGCAGAGAGCCCTTCTCCGCTGGCTCCCGTGACAGCTCTGGATGGGACAGTGAGGGCTGGGCTGGGCAGGCCACAGGTCCTTGCTCGGCCATTCATTTCATGGGGGCTCAGTTACCTTCTCCGTGACCATCCAACATGCCTGGTGCTGGTAGCTCTCTCCTGGAAGCACTGCACCCTGATTTCCTCAGTAAATGGGTGTCCGTTAGTGGCCCTGAGCACCTCACTTGCGTAGCATGGGAAGGAGCGCCGCCAGGCCTGGGTTGCTGAAAGCAGCCTTGGAGGCTGCAGGCAGGAGGAGGCTGGGTCTGCTGGGCTTAGCCTGGGACATGTGCGGCTGAGGAGGGCGGAAGCTTTTCCCTGATGTCCCGTTGTTGTCAGTGCACACAGGTCAGGGACAGAATGTGTGCCTGTGAGTGCGTCCTGAAAGTCATCCTGCCCACAGACATGGCTTTCCTGGCCCTGGCACAGGGAGACGTGGTCCCCAGACAAAGCTGAGTTCTGCCTTCAAGAAGCCAAGGGGAGCTTCTGCACAGGCAGCTGGCAGGCGTCCCCTTGGCTTCAGTCCTGCTGGGCCCTGCCCTCATGGCCATGATGGGTCACAGCTTGGTTTGGTTATGGGTGACACCGGGGCAGGTACAGACAACAGCTGGCTTCACTGTCTTAATTCCCCAGGAAAATGAGGTGTCACAGCCAGGCATGGCCCAGGAAGATGGGGACAGTGCTTATGGCTTTGAGGGGAGCAAGCTCAATGTGAGACGGCGGTGGCCTCCATGGATCAGGCATGGAGATGGGTCCTGAGGTGGCAGGGCAGCACCCGAGAGCTACTCGAGAGCCTTGTGTCCACTGTGGCTCTGGAGCCACCTGTGGCCAAGTGCTGGCTCAGCGCCTCTGCTCCTGGGCAGACGGGGCCTGGCACCCTTCCCAGAGGCTCTGCTCCTGCATGTTCTGTGGTACTGGGTTGGTTTGGAAAAGGGGTCCTTGGAGGAGTGTAGGATGTGGTGTTGGGCAGACCTATGTCCCCTTGGAGGGCCTAGGCCACCCAGATTTGCCTCTTGGTCCTTCTCATCTGGAGCTGGCATCATGGTGGTAGTAGATGTGTGTGAATTAATTGCATGTAATGCCTTTCCAGGAATCCTTTCAAACCAAGGGACAGAAATCCACTCAAACTAAGAGAAACATGGAGACTTCTCAGAGGGCCTCAGGGCCACTTGCCACCCAAAAGACCAGCAAGTCTGCCTGGGTCGTGTGAGGGCTCTGGGATTGAGGCGCGTCTCCTCCCTGCTAGGGCCTGTAGGACAGTCCCAAAAAGGCTGATGTCTGACTCCTAGGGAGACGAGAAAGGGGGCGGGGCCGGAAACACATTGCAGCAATAATGGCTGAGAACTTCCCACAAAGACACAAACCTGCAGACTTAAGAAGCTAAGCAAACCCCAAATAAGGCTCACAGACACGTGCAGATGCATGCAACCAAATGCTGAGAACTGGGGGCAAAGAAAAAGCCCTTGGCAGCCATCCTCTGTCAGCAGTCAGACGGCGGTGGCCTGGTACTGACAACAGATGCCGCAGTGAATGACCGTGGCACTTTTAGAAACCCAGGAGGCCAGAAGGAAGAAGGAAGCCCCACACATCTTCCAGTGCTGGGAGAAAAGAAAGGTCATCCCAGAATTCCACATCCAGTCAGTGTCCAAAGTCACTCAAAACCAAGAGCCCTCACAGCCAGCAGACCTGTTCCAGAGGCTCCCTGCAGAGTTCTCCCAACAGGAGGGCCTCCTCCCACTGAGTGTTTGTGGAGACGCCAGTGATGGTGCAAGAAGACAAGAGTAGTGTCCGGCAGTGCCTGTGCAGTGCCGTTCCCAGGGCGGCCGTGGGGCCTGTGCAGTGCCATTTCCAGGGCGGCCGTGGGGCCTGTGGTGGCGGTGGGGCTGTGGCGGCTGTGGGGCCTGGCGGCGGTGGGGCTGTGGGCAAGAGAGCTGCTATGCTCCAGTGGAAGCACATGTGTGGGTGCCATGGAGAGCATGTGGGGTTGAGTTGCGTGTTACAGCCCTTTGAGCAGGCCTTGCAGAGCTTATGTGAAGAGACGCAGTCAGAATCAGAATAGGTAAATTTAAATGAAATACAAAAACATTTCAGTGGCCCAAGAGAAAGCAGGAAAGAAGAAATACCATAAGGAATGAGAAACAGAGGCAACAAACAGCAAATAGTGGAAAACCTAAATGCTAACAGATGAACAGACGGGACTGGGCAGCTTATGAGAATGTATTTTTAAAATAACCAACTCTCTGGTGTTTACAAGAAGCTCATTTGTTGTATTTCATTCGGGATGCTGTCACGAAACATGATAGGCTAGGTGGCTTGTGAACAACAGAATCTTATTTCTTGCGGTTCTGGAAGCTGAAAGTCCAAGGTGAAGATCCACTGTGGACCAGGAAGGGGGCACTGACCACGTCACTGGATCTGATTAGCCAGATTCAGTGTCTGGTGAGGGTCCCTTTCCTGGTCCACAGACAGCACCTTCTTGCTGGAAGGAAGGCAGGGCGACGGAGCCACCAGTTCTGTTCATGAGCGTTCTACCCTTGCAACCTCATCGCCTCCCAAAGGCCCCATCTCCAGATACCCTTGCGTCTGGGGTTAAGCTTTCAACATAGGAATGTGGGGCATAAGCACCCTGTGTGTCACACCACTCTAGGTGCTGTGGTGCAGGCGGGTGAGAAGTAAGAGGACAAGATGTGCTGAGAAAACACCCATCAGAAGGAAGCGGAAGTGGCTATGTCAGTGCCAAAGGAGACTCCGAGGAAGGAAGTGACCAGGAATAAGAAGGTTATCTAATTAGAAAAGGAGCAGCTCTTGAAGAAATCCTGCCATAAATGTGTGTGCGCCAGACAACAGGGCTTTCCACACAAAGCAAACGGACGGCCTGTGTAGAAATCACATGATCGCCGGGGATTGCAGCCCTCTCCTCAGTGATGGAGCCTCATAGACAGTCAGCGAGAGCACGGAGCCCGATGACCCCACCCGTGGGTTGGATTGAAATGACACATGCACTGCAGCCTCAACAGCAGAACACCCATCTTTTCAACTTCACAAAGATTAGCCACCAAGATGGAGCATACCTGTCACAAAAGAGCCCTTAACAAATTTTAAAAAATCAAAACCATACGAAGTAAGTTTTCTGACCATGGTGGGGTTAAATTAGAAATCAGTAACAGAGAACAGGAAAGTCTCCAAACACTTGCAGACTAATACAATTCTGAGTAGTCCATGGGTCCGAGAGGATGCCTCAACAAAAAAACTTTAACAAACTGTACACAGGAAAATACAGCATGTCAGAATTTGTGAGACATAACTCAAGCAGTGCCTAGAGGGGATTTATAGGATTAATGCTTTCTTAGAAAAAGAAGATGACTTTCAGTAATCTACGTTTCCAACTTAAACTAGAAAAAGAGCAAAATAAGTCAAAATCAAGGACAAGAAAGTAAATAAGAACAGAAAGCACTGAGATTGATTTTTAAAACAATAGGGGAAATGAGTGAAATCAAAATGTGATGACTTTGAAAGGTAATAAATTGGTAAGCCTTTAGTAGGTACAAAGATAAGAGAGAAGATGCAATGATCAATAAAAAGGAGTGAGTGTCACTAAACCCTGTGGATGTAAAGAGGAGTATCACTGTAGACCCAGTGGATGTTAAAAGGATAATAAGGAAGTATTGGAAAAAAACCCTCTGTGCACATGAATTCTATGGCTTGGGTTAAATGGACCAACTCTTTGGAAAGCGCAGTATATCAGAACTCGCCTAAGATAGGCAGTGCCATAAGGTAAGAAGAAAGAATAAAAGGCATCCAAATTGGAAAAGAAATAAAACAATAAGCCCCCCTTATCTACAGTTTCCGTTACCCACAGTCAACTATGGTCTGAAAATAGTTAATGGAAAATTCCCGAAATAAACAGTTAATAAGTTTTCAACTGCATGCTGTTCTGAGCAGTGTGATGCGGTCTCCACCGTCCTGCTCCAGGTGTGCCTCCTCCTCCCTCGGCCCAGCTGTGCCTCGGCCCCCGTGTGGATCCACTGCCGCAGTGCCAGGGTGCTCGTGCTCAGGTTGCTCTTATGTGACATGAGGCGGCCCAAAGCGCAAGAGCGTGATGCTGGCAATTCAGATATGCCAAAGAGAAGACAGAAAGCACTTCCTTGACCTAAAGATGAAAAGGTGAAAGTTCCTGACTAGAAAGAAACAGATTGTGTGTGAGGTTGCTAAGATCTAAGGTAAGAACAAATCTCTTCTTTATGAAATTGTGAAAAAGGGAAAAAAAGTCCCTTTAATTTCGCTGTTACATCTGAAATTGCAAAAGTGACAGCCACAGTGCGTGTTGAGTACTTGGATCTGTGGGTGGAGGAGGTGAGAGGATGGGAGCAGCAGCGTGTTGCCATTGAGCCTGCAGGAGGCCAGCAAGGGACCCCCTGATATGCGACCCCAGCCACTCACTGCAACTGATTGTCCTCAGTTTATGAATTACACTGGGTGTGGTGGCTCACACCTGTAATCCTGGCTACTCAGGAGGCTGAGGCGGTGGATCACTTCAGGAGTTCGAGACTAACTTAGCAACACAGCGAGACCCTATCTCAGTCAATCAATCAAGTCTGCCTGTCTTTATTTTAGTAATGTATGTATAGGAGAAAGCGCAGCATATATAGGGTTTGGTGCTCTCTGTGGCTTCAGGCATCCCCTGGGGGTCTTGCAGTGCATCCCCTGTGGATGGGGGGGATTGCTGTATCCCTGTGCACACGTGTGATTGGGAAAACCTCAAGGATTGTAGCAAATAATAATATAAATTTAGTGAGGTCAACACGCACAAATCAGTCATAGGTCTGTATATTAGCAATGTGAAATTTAAAACTGAAATTAATATTTAACATGCCATTTATAATAGCTCCAAAAATAATGCGATCCTTAGTTATAAACTTAACAAGACATTCCCAGGATCTGCACCCTGGAAACTACGAAATGCTGTTACAGAAAATCGAAGGTCTACATAAATGGAGAGACGCACTGCGTTTATCACCTGGAAGATGACTCCAAACACAAATTCTCCCCCAAACTGATCTGTTGATTTAGTGCAGTCTCAATCCAAATCCCAGCAGAGTTCAAGTATAGACCAGTTAGTTCTAAAATTTATATGGAGGGACAAATTAACTGAAATAGCTACAATGATTTTGAAAAAATAAGAGGAATCTCACACTTTTGAGACTTACTGTGAAACTCTAGTAATTAAGACAGTGTGCAGTGTTGAAGGAATGGATACAGAGCTCCATGGAACACAGTAGAGTCCAGAGATAGCCCCACACAAACGTGTGGACGGAGAGTCCGGAGACAGCCCCACACAAACGTGTGGATGGAGAGTCCGGAGATAGACCCACACAAACGTGTGGATGGAGAGTCCGGAGACAGCCCCACACAAACGTGTGGATGGAGAGTCCGGAGATAGACCCACACAAACGGGGCCATCAGAGTTTTGACAAAGAGCAAAATAAATTCAAGGGAGAAAGGGTAGTCTGTTCAAAAATGCTGCTGGGAAAAGCAGTCATTTGTGTCAAAAACCAAACGCTGACCTATCCCTCATGCCTCGTGCAAACATCTAAAACTCCAAAGCTTTTGGAAGAAACCATAGGAAATCCTTATGACCTGACACTAGGCAGCAAAATTCAGAACTTTTGCTTCAAGACACTTTTAAGAGAAAGAAGACAAACTCCAGGCTGGGAGAGAAAACATTTGCAAATCACACATCCCACAAAGGACTGATATCCAGAATACATAAAGAACATACACAACTCAGCAGTAAGAAAACAAAACAGTCCAGTTAACTGTCAGCAAAAGAAATGAGCAGACAGTTTGCCAAAGAGGGTGTAAGGATGGCAGCTGGGGCTATCCTGTGTTGTTAGCAATTAGAGAAAGGCAAGCCGAAACCATGGGCAGACCCATGTCCACCTGCCCACATGCCGGTCGGGACACTGGTGCTGGCCAGGATGTGGCCACCTGGGACTCTGTTCTGCTGGCAGGGACACAGGTGAATAGATGAGCACGCCATGTCCATCTCTGCAGGGGCAGTGTCTGGGCAGTGAGGAGCCGTGGACTTCCGACACGTCTGCCACGTGACTGCATCCCAGGGGCCTCCGTGCAAGAGGGGCCCAGATCGGGAGGATCCGCGCGGTGCGATTCCTTCCCGCGGCCCATCCCTGAGGAGCCATCCCCGGGGTGCTGGGGGCACAGCAGCACGGGTGTGAGGGGCCACGTAAGCCGCCGCGTGTCCTGATTGTGGTTATGAATGCGTGAGTCCACATGTGGATAAAAATCTTAGAACTATATACCAGAAACGGTTTACTGATAATTGAAGAAGTACAGGAAACAGTGGTGTTCCATCTTTCAGAACAGATGGGACAATCCACAGTGTCCCTGAGTTACTGCTTTCTCTGGGTTTGCATTGTGGAAAAGGGTTTCCGTCTCTAACCTCCACTGTTTTGAGACCTGTCGCACACCTGTGGCCAGGTGCATCAGATGTCAGCTTGCAGTGTCAGGGTACCTGGAGCCAGTGTCTGACTCCTGCAGAGTGCTGAGCCATCCTGGCTGGGTCCTCGCCCTGGAAACATGGGCCTCAGCCTGGCCCTTAGGGGCTGGGCCTCCCCTACACCATCTGGGAACCCCAGGACAGTGGGGATACGTGCGTCCTCTACATCATTCTCGAGGAGCAGATGCTGAAAGGACTGTTGTCTCTGCATTCTCAGAGGGTCTGACAGCCTGGTGGCGATGCCCACGGTGAGGCCTGCAGCCTGGGAAGGTGGGCGTGAAGGTCATGCAGAGCTGTCCCAGGGGGAGGACAGCACCTGAGAGGCAGGTGTGGGCACTGCATCCCCGTCCTCATGGCCTGTCCATTTTGGGGCTGCACTTCCCCTTCGGGTGGGCTGAGTCAGCCCCGCACAGGGCACACATGAGAGCTCCTGGTTTGCATTCTGGAGGTGGGTGCTGGGAGGGGGTTGTCCTAGGGCCCTGGTGGTGCTGGGAGGTGGCCTGATGGCTGTTTCTGTTGCAGAGGGCAGGGTGCCAGCATGCAGGGCTTGCAGTGTCATCCTCTAGCTTCTTGGTAACTCTGGTGACTCCCCCCGGGATCTGCAGTGCACAGGCTGAGGGGCTTCTTGGACACAGCAGAGGGGTGCCCAGAGACGCTGGAGGCCCTGTGCCCAGAGATGCTGGAGGCCCTGTGCCCGGAGACGCTGGAGGCCCTGTGCCCGGAGACACTGGAGGCCCTGTGCCCAGCTGGGAGGATGGCTTCTCTGGCTGCGCAGGAAGTGGGCGAGCCCCCCGTGGCCCTGTCTCAGCCCTTGGGGCGTCTCCCCAGGTGCCTTGGTGGGCTCTGGAACCCAGGGCACGATGCTTGGAGCTGGCCAAGAGAAGAGTGGCCTCCAGAGTGGAGCCTGGGTCCATCCTTTTCAGCACTGCCCCACCCAGGGCCATTCCAAGAGGAACCGTGACTGGATGAGGAGGGTGGGAGCGGTTCATGTGGAGCCTGGTACTGGCAGACTGCCTGTTGGTCTAGCTGGGGCAGTGGAGGCGATGGTGGTTGTGGCCATGGTGTGGAGGGGGCGTTTGCTCAGTGGCCAGTACTGCTCTGTGCTGTGTGGCCCATTCCCACCTGTGGTGAGCTGGGAGCTGGCTCTCAGGGAGGAAATCCCGACCCATAGTGTTGGCTGTGTCTCAGGTGTGAGCACTCCCACCACAGCACTCTCCACTGCCTGTGGGTGGGGCTGCGGCATCGGCCCCAGCATGCCCTGGTTCAGGCCTGCGGGGGCGGCCGCTGTGGGCATGGCCTTGGAGGACTGAGACCCAGCACCGTGGCAGGGGGAGAGGGGTGGTGGCTGCCAGGTGGGTGCCCTGGGTTTTGGTGTTGTGCTGGGGGAGGAGGGGTGTTAGGGGCTGGGGGTCACCTTATATTAACATGAACTAGAGCACACCCTTGTCATGGCTGGACCCAACAGTAAGAGGCAAACCCAGGGTGTCCATGTCCCTAGGATGCTCCAGCCTGCTCTGGGGCCACGAGTCTCACATGAGGACTGGCCGCCCTTGTGTACAGGGGCAAGAGGGGGCCAGGTCCCTGTCCTGGCCAGGCTGTTAGCCGCAGGTACCCACAGAGACCACCGCCCTCCTCTGCTTTCCCCGGAGAGGGGCTTGGCTTCTAGCAGTCAGAGCAGGGCTCTCCCAAAGGGTGGGGCCTGGCCGGCGAGCCACAGCACAGCTTCCTGGGAAGAGAAGGAGCCTCTGTGTGCTTTCAAAATACAACAGAAAAACAGCAGCACGCACTTGTGTAAACGAATACAACTGAAGCCATGTAGAAGCGGAGAAAACGAAGATGACCCCTTCATTTAATCACACACCTGTACAGCCATGTGGCTGGCAGGCTCCCCAGCGTGATCCTGGCGTAGTTCTAAGTCAGCGCAGGCAGACCCCTCCATAGAGTGCAGTGTGGTCCCCGCAGACAGTGTGTGGGGACAGTGTGCATGTCCAGGGAGGGAGACACCTGGGTCTGCCACACCTCCGCTGCTGGCGCCACCTCTGCCCGCAGATGACCTGAGCGGGTGGGACCCAGTGGCTGGGTGGGTGTGCAGCGGGCGCATGCCCTGACCGTGTCTCTGTCTCCACAGACAGTACTACTGGTATGACGAGCGGGGGAAGAAGGTCAAGTGCACGGCCCCACAGTACGTTGACTTCGTCATGAGCTCCGTGCAGAAGCTGGTGACGGATGAGGACGTGTTCCCCACAAAATACGGTTCGTCTCCCCCAGCACTGGGCGGTCATCCTCACAGTGGGGCAGGGAGCATTCAGGACGTGTCTGCAAGTGACCAAGCTCCTGTGCCGGGAGGGGCAGAGGCACGGAGGGCGGCAGCTGCACCACCCCAGTCCCTGCTTAGCATGGAGCCACCTGGGCTGTGGGGTGAGGCCGGAGCCCTTGGGCAGGGGTCAGCCCAGCCAGGGCCAAGGGCCATCTCCCTGGCCCTCTGGGCCATGCGGCTGCACTGGGCCCCTCTTGGTTTCTGCCGCTCATGCTGCTCTCACCGTCCAGCTTGTGGGCACTTGGGCTGGGTATCAGCCGCCAAGCCTGTGTCCAGATTTTGGTGGGATGTGGTGGGGCTCCACGCCACTCCCGTGCTGCCAGAGGGACGGCAGGGGACAACAGGAGAGGCCTGTGCCACCATCGCCACCTCCGTCCTGGCCCGGGAGATGGCCCCAAGTGTCCATCAGGGAGACACCACGGGGGCCCGAGTGCCCGATCACAGGCCCCTTCCTGAGGAGGTGGCCAGGATGGCCCAACGAGCTCCCAGCCCTCAGGGCAGGTGCAGCCTCCGGAGCCTGAGCACGCAGGGAGGTCTCAGCAGCCCAGACCCGGGGTTGGCAAGTCCCTGTGGTGCCTGCTGATGGGCAGAAGCTGTTGCTGCTGGGGCTTTGTAGGCCCTGAGGGTGGCAGGGTCAAGGTGTGGGTGGCAGGTACCAGACCCACCAGGCTGGGTGCCAGGGGCCTGGCCTCTGTTGGGGCCAAGGGATGTCTGCAGCTTGTGACACGGTGGCCTTCCCCAGGCAGAGAATTCCCCAGCTCCTTTGAGTCCCTGGTGAGGAAGATCTGCAGACACCTGTTCCACGTGCTGGCACACATCTACTGGGCCCACTTCAAGGAGACGCTGGCCCTGGAGCTGCACGGACACTTGAACACGCTCTACGTCCACTTCATCCTCTTTGCTCGGGAGTTCAACCTGCTGGACCCCAAAGAGACCGCCATCATGGACGACCTCACCGAGGTGCTATGCAGCGGGGCCGGCGGGGTCCACAGTGGGGGCAGTGGGGATGGGGCCGGCAGCGGGGGCCCGGGAGCACAGAACCACGTGAAGGAGAGATGAGCCCCCCGGGCCGGACAGGGGCACACGTGTGCAAAGAGACGGTGGTGTGTGTTCTCTCCTGCATCTGCGTGTGCACACATGTGCTGGGCACGCGTGTGGTGAGGTCTGAGAGGGCCCCGGGCTGCACTGGTGTGGGCTGCACAGGCACAGACGCAGACGGCCCCGGCCGTGTCCTGTGGCCCCCTGTCGGATGGATGCGTGCCGTTTGTAGAGAAGAGCCTTTGGGCCCATTCACTCGTTCAGCAGACACGCATGGGACTGATGCTTTGAGTTTTCTTCTGTGGGGTTTTCCTTTCTCTGGTCTCCGTGCAGCCCCTGCCCTCCCTCGGGTGCTGCTGGCCTCAAAGGAGGAACTCGTGGGGGGAGGGTGTGATTTGCAGACCTGGGTCTCTGCTCTGCTCTGGGGGTGGGGCTTGCTTTCACAGAGACCCTCCTTCCCTCTCACCCCTCCTCTCCCGGCCTCGCCAGGAGTCTTGGCTGTTGGCAGCTCAGAGGTGGGGGAGGCCTGTGGTGTGAGGTGCCCTGCACCTGCTCCTGCTCCTGTCACCCCTTCCTGCTGCCTCCTCCATGCCCAAGGAACACCCATGGTGCAGTCCTCAGGCAAGGCCAGGACGGGGCTGAGGCCCTGCGTGGAGATGCTGCACCAGCGGAAGGCTGAGACCCGCTTACCTTAGTTCATCTGTTCACTCGTAATAAAAAGAATTCTCTCAGGTCAGAGCCTGTGTACGTCTCAGCGTCTCGGTGACCGCCCCCCCCCCACACTGTGGGCATCCCGGCCACTTGCTTGGTGGGCAGCCCCAGGAGCAGGCACCCCGGAGGCTGCCCCGAGAGTGGGGGTTGGAGCAGACTCGCCCCTCACTGCCTGCGAGGGTCCACAGCCAGCCTGCAGGTGCCGTGGGGGCAGCACATACCCTGTGTCACTCGCTCTTCCCAGCTGCCTCAGCCCCCTGCCTCTCCCCGTGCTGGTGGCGGGGACCCTCAAATGTGGCTGCAGTAAGCTGGAGACATCTTCTCCGAAGGGCTCTGGGCCAGCCTGAAACAGTGGCTCTGCCGCAGGGGCCATTCCTGGCCGGGACAGCGTGGCCCAGGGGCAAGCAGGTTTGTGTCCTCAGCCTGGGAGTGGGTGGGCACGTGCTGCAGGGAGAGGGGCCCTAAGCTGAAGCCTGGAGCTTATCAGGACCTGAGTGGGCTGAGAAGCGGGAAGAGAGGGCTTCCAGGGTCAGGGCCTAGTTGGTTCAGACTTCAGGACTGTGGGCTCCTGCCGATGGCGCCTGCTGCACAGTGACCTCGGGCAGTCCGCCCCCCCCCCATCCCCCTTAGCTAGGGGGGCCTGCCCAGGTCGTGGTGCTCCCCTGGCCTCGGGCTCAGCCTGCATGATGCACCTGTGGCCAACAGGCCCCTTCTTGGCTTTCCCAGGGATCGAGCTGCAGGTCAGAGGCCCTTCCCCTGCCCTGTCTCTGCCTCCCACCCCGAGAGCTGACAGCCTCTGGGCTTCTCAGAACATGTCTGGAGTCAGCTGGGGGCGTCTCCTCCGACATCCACGCGTACCCTAAGGCCTTCACCGCCTGGTCCGCCACCTCCCCACGAGGGCCCGCACTGACTCCGTGACCCTGGGCTGCATGGTGAGTCAGTGCCTGGAGCCAAACCCAGTTCCCAGAGAGAGGCCTGCTGGGTGCCACCCACCCTTGTCTTCTGATGCTCTGCGTGGACCCCCAGAGTGGAGGCCCCAGGACACCCACAGAACTTGACTGAAGGGGCTGAGCGTAGGAACCTGAGGCAGGGACCGGCGCTGGCCTAGGTAGCAAGGAGGTCCCCCGGCGAGGGAGGGCAAGAACAGGGGCGGGTGGCCTGGTGGGGCCACCCTCTGGCTGAGGCCCCGTCTAGGGTGTGCAGGGAGCTCCTGGCTGAGGCCACAGGGAGCCAGCCTGGCACACAGCCTGGGTCGCTGTGTGCTGGCGAACCTGGGGCCTGGCTGCCGAGCGGAGGCTGGGTGGAAGATTGGACTGAGAGTGCTGTAGGGCACAGGGGGCTGGGGGCCAGCTCCACTGGGGCTGAAGGGGCTAGGAGGACACCGGGATTCCAGCCAGAGCCTCCAAGGCAGCCTCAGATGGAGCGTGTGTGGAGCCCGTGGGACGGCCTTAGGAGGTGTCCAGGGCGCGCATTCGTGCCGGTCTCACACTCAGGATGCAGCTGCAGGGTCCCCAGGGCACGTGGGAGTCGCGGGCATGAGTTCCTTTGGGAAGGGTGCCTGGGATGAGGGCTGGCGCTGGGCGTTGGGGGCGCCTGCTGCTAGGCCATTGTCTGGTGGACCTGTCCCTCTCCTGGGCTGAGGGGACTGTGCTGTGCGCTGTCCTCCACTGGGATGGGTTCTTGCTGTAAGACCTGGAGTCCTGGTCAAGCCTTCCTGCCTCTGCCTCCGTTTCCCTCCGTGAACAGGAGGCCTGTACACTGAGGGGGGTCTCAGTGTTGAGGGCTCAGCCTCGCCCCCAGCTGCAGCCATGGCTCACTAAGTCTCTATCTATGGTCTGTGTTCTGAAAGGCAGAATGATGGTCTCCAAAAGAGATCCGTGTCCTAATCCTAAGAGACTGTCTCCTTAGATAGCACAGCAGGATGGAAGCTGCAGATGGAATCAGGTTCCCGGTCACTGACCTGAGGAAGGGGAGGTTATCTGGATGGGCCCAGTGTTGTCAGGAGAGCCAAGGGCACTGAGCAGGGAGGCAGCGGAGGAAGACAGCGCGGCGTGGGAAGGGCCTGAGTCAGCAGTGCAGGCAGCTCCTAGAAGCTGGGAAAGGAAGGCACCCAGAAAGAACTGGCCCTGCAGACTAGCCCGGTGAGGTCCGTTTGAGGTAAGTTCATTTTGCCTCCAGCCACGAAGTTCATGGCAACTGCAGCAACAGGAGATGAAGGCAGATTTTGGTTCTAGGCATGAGGCACTGCTGTAGCAAATACCTAGAAAGGTGGAAGTGGCTTTGGAATTGGGCTGAAAGAATTTTGAGGGTGATAGAAAAAGCCCGTGATGTTGTTAAACAGGTGGTAGAAGGATGGAGGCGAGCGGGGCTCGAGGGGCTCGGAGGAACCAGCCTGGGCTCTGAGAAGAGTCAGAGCCCCTCTGACCCGCCCGTCCTCGGACATGTGGGGTTAAAGGTGCAGGTGGGAGCTCAGAGGGAAAGGAAAGAACGGGAGCCAGGGAGAGCCCCGTCCATGGGGGCAGAGGTGCAGCTGCACTCTGTCCCGTTGCCACGTGCGGGCAGCACTCGAGGGTGGTCAGCCTGGGCCCCTTGCGCTGCTCAGGTTGGCCACTAAGTGAGAGAAGGACATTAGCAGAGGGGTGAGCACCCTGCCATCGGGAATTCTCAGCTGAAGATGCTGATGTCAGGAGATTCACTGTCAGGAATGTGTGCTCAGAGTAACGGCCACACCAAGAGCTCCTGGAGGAGGGCGAGCCTGTGGCTGGTGGATGCCCCGGGTCACCCAAGCAGATGCTCAAAGCAGGGACCGCTGTGGGAGGTCTGTGGACGAGCCTTGGGTCTGTGGACGAGCCTTGGGTCTTACGGATCCGGTGAAGCCCTGTGGGAACCACGAGAGGCTCTTAAACCATCAGAAACTCAGCTGGCTTGGACTGAGGCAGAGGGGATGTGATGAAAGGCTCTTGAGCCCCAAAAATCAGCAGGCAGGAAGCAGACTAAACTGTTCAGCTGCAAACACTTGCTACGTTTCATAAATAGAGAGCATGGCCCTGAGGGTGGAGGTGTCAGCACAGAGGCAGAGTTGGGACCCACAGAAGGAGTTCCCAGGCCTTGCTGGGACGGAGGAAGTGTACCCAGCTGGATTTTGGATTTCTTGGGAGCAGCGACACAAGCACCTTGCAGCTTTCTCTGTGTGTCACGTGTGTGTGTGTGTGTATGCACATATAAATGACTGGGTTTCACCGTCACCCAAACTGGAGTGCTGGGTAATCCTAGCTCACTGCAGCCTCAGACTTCCGGGCTCAAGGGGTCCTCCCCCTTCAGACTCCTGAGTAGCCAGCACCACAGGTGCGAGCCACCACGCCCGGCTGATTTTGAAATATTTTGTAGAGTTGAAGTTTCACTACCCAGGCTGGTCTTGAACCCCTGGACTCAGGTGATCCTTTCTGTCTCAGCCTCCCAAAGTGCTGGACCGTCACACCCAGCCAAACTTTCCTTGAAAACAGGAGTGTCTGTGACTGGCATTCCGCGTCTGTTCTCTGGTCGTATTTTGGGAGCAGGTAACTGGTTTTCTAGCTTTCGGGGTCCACAGATGGAGAGGAAACTGCCCCAGGGTGGAATGCCCAGAGTGTCACCCATACCTGATCGGGGTAGCTTAGAGGGTGCGACTTGCGACTTGTGAGCTGATGAGCTGTACGTGAGGTTTGGGACTGGACTGGGTGCTGTGTTTGGTGGAGACTGTTGGGGCCGTGAGGGGAGGGATGCATTTGCACGTGGGATGGGTGTGAAGCAGCGGGAGTGGGAGGGTACTGCGTTCGGCCTGAGACATCCCTTACCACTGGTGATGTCCACATCTAGTCCCATGGAAGTGAACGTGCCACCCAGCAGCAAAGGGGAATGAAAGCAGCGATGGGATTAAGGCAATCAGCTGACCTTGAGAGGCAGAGATGGTCTGGGCCCAGTGAGAGCACGAGGCCTTCATCGTGGAAGCTGGACGCAGGTTGGGATGCGCAGGACACAGCTGTGAGGAGGCTCCACCCACGCTCCTGGCTGCGAAGGTGGAGACCCCAGGCCACGGGATGCAGGCGGCCACAGGTCCTCCCCTGGAGCCTCCAGGAGGAGCACACCTTGATTCTAGACCAGGGCACCCCTTGAGTGAGACCTGCCCAGTCCTTGACTCTGGGACTGTGAGGTATTGGTGTTTTAAGCTTCTTACTTTGCGGTAACTATGGCGGTGATAGGAAACCACAGGAGACAATGCATCTACCAAGCAGGCCAAGGCGTTCTTACAGGGTCCTGGGGGCAGGTGCACAAGAGGGCCCAACTCCCCGGCATGAGACCCACAGTGTAGACTGTGCCAGTCTGGCTGGCACGAACGTGGCTCCCCGGGTAGTGTTCCCTGCACGTCTGTCAGCCCTGCCCGCTCTCCAGCAGGCCCCGCTGCCTGGAAAGTCGCCACTGGTTCTCCCTCCTGTTGCTGGCCTCCTCCTCTCTGGCTCTCTGCTGACCCCGACCCCTTGCCAGATCACACCAAGAGACTTGGGTTGGTGGTAGGGAGTTGGGGTGGGATGGGGAGAAGTCACTGGAGTGAGTGGGGAGGCACTGGACTTAGGGCAGAGGGCCTGGGCACCACACCACTGGAGGGCAGGAGGCAGGCAGGACGGGGAGGCAGGGCCAGTCCACCTGTGGTGAGCTCCCTGGCGGGATGGGAGCAGGGCAGCTGGAACGCCCCACCTTGAAGCTGGCATGCGGGCATCAGCCTCCTGCAAGCTCTGAGGCTTTGTGACACCAGGAATTGTTCCATCTTATAGCTTAGGAGGCTGGGGCTCTGTGCCTCTGCCTTCAGCTGACGGAAAAGCCCAGGGCAGGCTCCCCATGGAGCAGACCTAGGCCTGGACTGCTGTGTGCAGGGCCCCTCCCTGGAGCACCCACCTCCCACCTGCATCCTGTACAGGAGGTGGGTCAGACTGTCGTCCCCCGCCACCCACCTGCCATCCCATGGGTGGGCTCACCAGTCGGCTCGTTCACCAGGGCCCTAGCTCTCAGGCCAGGCCGTGGCAGGCTCTGAGCCCAGATGTGTCCGTCGGATTAGCCACCTGGGAACTGAGGACCAGGACTGTGAAGCCATCCTCTAGGTGGGCAGACCGGCCACCACATCCTTTTTCAATCTCCATTTTAATTTCTTCATAGAAATGATGTGAGGACCGACTGGTGTAAAGTGAGACTAGTGTCTGCCACATCAGAAGTCCTGCCATATTTGTTTTCATTTTTTATATAAACCAGCAGATTCTGGCTTAGCTCGCTTTGGGTTCTGTTACTTACAACCAAGAGAGCTTGGTGTCAGAAGTGGGACTGCAGGACACAGCCCCTTCCTGAGCAGTGGGGAGCTGGCAGGACTCTTGACACACTGTTTCCTTTTGGGCCTCCAGTCATGGGCCTGAGAAGGCTGACTTCTCACCGTGAATGTTTAGAGGAGGGCCAGGAGTGCGTGTGTCAGCCGCTCTCAGAGAAGCAGGTGCAGGACCACAGGTCAGGAAGGCTTCCGGTCCAGGGCCAGTAGCCTGCGACCCCACAGACTGTCCTGTGCCTCACTGAACCGTAGCAGCCAAATTCCTTTCCTCAGCCTGTTTCTTAAGGTAAAATGAACTGGGAAACTGTAATCCAGGGATTGGAATGGATCCTGATTCCCTGGGCCCCTCCCAAGTGCCTTCTCTTCAGGGTACCAACCTCCTGTGAGCTCAGCCACTTGGCAGTCCAGGGTCAAACAGAGGACGGCTCAGCTTCCCTCTGTGTCCTGGGCTCTGAGCGGAGCCCTGAGCTAACTAAGCCTGACTAACATGGTGACCCCCTGGCTCCCTCCAGAGAGATGGGTACAGGCACAGCTTGAAGTTCAGGGCAGTGGCTCTCACCTGGGGGTGATTCTGTCCCCTACCAGGAGACTCATGGCAATGTCTGGGGACGTTTTGTCACAATGGAGGTGGGACAGCTACTAGCTTCTGTTGGGCTGAGACCAGGGATGTGGCCCCCACCCCATCATCATCTCCCCCCTCAGCCATGTGCTTAGCACCTGCTCCAATGATAGACAGCTGGGTGCAGTCCGGCGCATCTGAGTCCTTCACGTGGGAGGGAAGTGTGCGTGGGCCTCCCAGGGCAGCTCTGTGGACGCCGCAGTCTCTGCGTGGACCCTGCTGAGGCCTGCTGCTGGCCTCCTCCAGGCCGCGGTGGACTCCCGGCCACTGGCCTCACACAGCATGGGCCTGGACTTGCCCTTCTGCTGCGGCGGCAGAGGGGCAGCTGGGCCAGGGCGTCGTGCCAGTGGAGCCCACGGCCCTGGCTGCCCTCTGTGGCAGGTATGGCTGGGACCATCCCCGCTCTAGCTCCAGGGGCTGTGCTCAGCCTGGGCCCCTCACTCCCAAGGCTGGGTCATGGCACCCTATCCGGACCCTTCCCAAGTAAGGAGTGGGAAGAAGGCTCATTCTCCAGGAAAAGGCCCAGGCCCTGGGTGGCCGTGCAGGCCTTGTGGGGTGGCAGAGGTGCCGTGCAAAGAGAGCTCCGCCCAGGCCCTGGCCCTCAACGGGAGCCCGCCTCAGGCTGGGGCAGCCTCGGGGGATGGCCCCACACATCGGAAGTGACCTCTGACCTTGGCCGCCCGGAATCTCACCCTCTTCAGCTGGGCAGAGGGTAGCTGCATTCACACTGGCGCAGCCCAGGGGCTGCAAGTGGGGAACAAGAAGCTGTCCCGGGCTGTCACAGAGCCCTGCGCGCCCGCCCTGCCCAGATGAAGACCTGCGTCGCTGTCTTTGCGGAAGGGATTTATTGTTCCGGAGCTGCAGCTGCTCACAGTTATGACAGGGGTACACTGCAGGGGCTTGCCCATTTCCGTGGCGCCTGCTGGAGTCCGCGTGTGTCCGAAGCACAAAAGGGGAAGGCAAGCAAGAGGCAGTTTGCTTCGTGTCCTCGATCTCCGTGGAGAGCCCCTTCCCGCCTGTACCGCCTGGCGTTTGCTGTCCTAGGTGTTTGCTTTTGTTCTTATGTATAGAAATCCCAGCCTGTGGCAGAGGTCTAATGTTAACAGAAGCGTTAAAATCTATACACGAGGTGGGTGGGAGGCAGGGGCAGGCACCGAAGCAGACAGACGACTCCATGGCAGAGGCATGCATCAGACCCGCCGTCCCCCACGGCCGCCGCACCCGGGCTGTGCCCGCCTGGGAGGGCTGGGCACATGGGCGGAAGGGAACACAGAAGCTGGAGCTGGGGTGAAGCACGGCGGCGGGCACTGGGCAGGGTGGGCCTGCAGCCCTCTGAGGGCTGCGCCCTGGGCCTCGCTCTGCACAGAACGCCCTGCAGAGGAGCGCCACCGACTCTTTGTCCTTTTTTTTCAATTTTTTCATTTTAATAAGAAAAGCCTCACAGTGCCCCTGCCGTCCTGTGTGTGGGGAGGGCCAGCTGAGGGCCCTCCTCCTACCCCTTCACCTTTGGACACAAAACCAAGATTGCCCCAGCCTGACAGAGGGGCGCTGGCGCTGCCGCCCGCTACAAGACACCGCCCCTCTGCCCCGAGCCCCCCCAGAGGTGGAGCTGCTTCTCCACAGAGAGACGGAACCCATGACAGAGCGAGCCGCACCGTCTTTAGATGTGTGTGTAGAAAGAAGCAGGAGCAAGGGACTAAAACACAAAACCTGGCCCTGCCCCAGCGGCGCCCCCACCCCCACACCCTTTTCCAAAAACCACCAAGAAAAAAAAGTTTATAAAAATATCTTGCAGGAATTCTTTAAAGTTTACAGTAGCTCGCCAGCCCCCCCGCGCCCCACCAGCTCTGTCCTCAGAGGGCGCCCTGGCCCCAGCCCCCCCACTGCCTGAGACACGCAGACGGCAGGGGATGTGGCCGCCGCCCTTCCCTGAACAGAGGTGCGGAGAATCCATAAATTAAAACGGCAAATAAATAACACTGATCCCAGCCCAGCGGCCTGGCCTGCTGGGAAGGCTCTGGTGCCGCAGGGTGTCTCTGTTTCCACCTCAGCCAGAGAGGAGCGCCAGAGCCCACAGCCGCCCCAGATGAGGCAAGGGAGGCGCGGGTGAGACGAGAGGACGGGAGGCAGCCTGAGGAGGCCAAGACTACACGGAGGCGGCGCAGCCAGGGAGGCGGGGCACGGGCCTGCGAGGAGGCCTCCAGGTGCGGCGTGGAGGCGGTGGACGGGGCCTGTTCCTGTGGCTACGTTGCCCACCAGGGGTCCTGGCCCCAGAAGGCCACCAGGCAGGCTGTTCTTGCTGAGGGGTCAGGTGACCGGGAGTCCGGGTCGGCCGGGCTGGAGGAGGCTCCCCCGAGCCTGGCCTTCCTCCCACGGGCCGTGCGGAGCTGAGGCGAGGAGCTGCCGCGGGGTGGACGGGGCGCTGGGCTGGGCCTCACTGCCCGGCAGCAACAGCAGGAGCGGAGGGAGGGCGGGTCCGCAGCAGCTGCCTTCGGTCACAGAGGATGGCCTCGTGGAGGTGACATGTTAACTTTTCGGGATAATTCCTGGTATCAGAGTGGAAACAAGCGATGCTGTCAGAGACAGGCAGAGGCAGAGACAGAGAGAAAAGAGAGCGGGCGCGGGTGGCGCAGCCCACAGGCCGGCCCCAACGCCCCTTTCCTTTCCTCCCAGGCTCTGAGAACAGTCTGGACGGACGGGCGGCGCGGCCGCGGGTCCACTCGGGGCAGGGCGGGCGGCGGGCGGCGAGGCAGCCGCTGTCAGTGCTGTGCTGGGGGGGGGGGCTAGTGTGTCTAAGGCTGCTCGCGGCGGGCGGTGGGCGGGCCCATCTTGGCCGTGTCCTTGCCCGTTGGGTACTCGGCGTCCCCTCCGGGGCCAGGGCCAGCGGCCGCGGAGTCACCGAGTGGGCCGTGGGCACTCCGCTTGGCGGGCGTGCTGGGGGCCTGGGCCGCCTGCCCGTTCTTCTCGTCTGAAAAAAGTTGTTTAATTACGTCAAA
Source organism: Homo sapiens (assembly GCF_000001405.40). Lineage (NCBI taxonomy): Eukaryota > Metazoa > Chordata > Mammalia > Primates > Hominidae > Homo > Homo sapiens. The sequence goes on along the minus strand of NC_000011.10, from coordinate 1,460,519 downwards.
GAAGTTACTCAATGGGCTGCCTGGGTACACAGAACAGAGACAAAAAAAAAAAAAAAAAGGAAAAAAGAAAAAAAAGGGGGAGAGAAAGAGGAGGGGAGGGAAGGAGAGAGAAAGAGAACAAACAAACAAATGAACGAAGAGGCCTCGACGAGGGAAAGAACCCAGAGATGAGGCTGAGATGGGGCCGAGCGGGGACCGGTGGGCGGCAAGCAGGGTGGGCAGGCGGCGGCCGGCAGGGGCCCTGTACGCTGGGGGCTGTGCGGTGGGGAAGCTGTGCGCCGTGGGGCCAGGAACTTAGGACCCCAGCGCCTCCGAGCTGTTGCGCAGGACCCAGTGCTCCTTTGGCGAAGCGAGGCTCGGGGCAGGTGGTGAGACCCCTCCCTCCCCACCAAGGCCTGGCCCGGAAGGCCCTGCCCCACCCCCCTTCCCTCCCCACCTTGCAGCCGTGAGGGCCGACCCACCCCAACGCCGGAGATGACAGCGTAAAGACAAGGGCCTGCTGGGAGCTCTGAAGCCTCGCAGGACCCTGGGGGCAGCTGCTGGCCCCACTGCATGAGGCCCAGTGGATGACAGGGAGAGGGTGTGCCCACCACACCTCCCCAGAGAGGCCTGAAGCCCGACCCCTGGCCAGCTTGGACACAGTTTAGCAGCAGACAGACAGATGAACAGATGGGTGGACAAGCATGGAGGGGTGGATGTGGGAGGCAGGCTGGGGGGCTGGGGGCAAGCAGCTAGAGTCATGTCCCGGGTCCCTGGGATGGGGGCAGTCCTGAGAAGAGGGGCGGAAATGGGGAGCCCACCCTTCTTGGGGCCCTGTGCTCACTGCCCAGGTGTGTCGATGGAGGCCCCTCAATCCCACTTCCTAAGCCTAACCCCCACCTGAGCCCTGAGCTGTGGGCCCCTCCGCTCCCTGCCAGGCACAGCCTCCAGTGGACAGAGGGATGGGCACCGGCCCCTCCCCTAGGCCACAGCCTGCACCAGTGGGACCAGCGGGACCCTCACTGGCTTCAGGCCTTGGGAGCCCCTTCTTGGGCCTGCCCTGATCCTAGGGCCTGGCAGAGGTGAGTCTGGCCAGGAACCCCGCCTGGGCTTGCTGTGGTAGGGGAGCGACCTGGGCTGCTCCTGGTAGAGGATGGGGCCGGGGACATCTGGGCTGCTGGGTGCCTACATCTACACAGGGAGGCCGGGACAACCCGGGCGGCAGGTGGCGGCCACAGCGGGCTGAGGGTGAGCGGTGAAGTGGCAGGTGGAGGTGCCAGGTGAGCGTGGGGGATTCTTACCACATTTGGAAAGCCGCCCCGTCATCATTTCCATACAGTTAGTGGTGTCTGGAGTACAGAATGGAGAGAGGAGGGAGGGAGTGAGTGAAAGGCTGTCCTGGGCCTTCTGGCTGGACGCCCACAGCCTCGATGGGGAGGGGGTGGAGCCAGGAGTGGGTAGGGCCCCAGAGGCATGGGTGGGGAATACTGGGGGGGCCAGAGCCAGAGGGGGCGGGGCTTATAAGGGGCAGTGCAGGGGCAGGGCCTGGAGTGAGGCGGGGCTGCGGAGGCAGGGAACAAGGCGGAGCCACCTGGGCAGCAGCCGGACCTCCAGCAGCCTGAGCCTGAGCCTGGATATGGCCGGTGCCCTGGGTGGGCCTAGCCCCTCCCCTGGGCTGACAACTCTGCCCTGGCCGTGGCCTGCATCCTCACTGTGCCACTCAGCAGCTCCAGGGCCCTGTGGCTTCCGGCTGCCCTTCAACTCAAGGCAGGCACCCTCTTCCTCGGCCCTCTTCCCTACTGCTGGGCCTGGGGATGTTGGTGCTGCCAGTCCAGGACTGGGGTGGGAGCAAGGCCCTGGGAGGGGCTACTCCCTCAAGGCCCTCACTGGCGCCTGCACAGGGTGGACACACGCCCTGGTCTGCCTGTGCCTGCTCACTGGGGGCTCTCAGCCTCCCCTCCCTCGGCCGCAGTCTCTGGGGGGGTGGGCAGTGTCTGAGGAGGCCCCCTGCTGGCTAGCCACCTTCCACACATCCTTGGAGCTGGGCTCACTGGACAAAAGCATCCAGTGTGGGAGGGGGGCAGGGCTGGGAAGGGCTGGGCGTAGCGAGATCACGGGGATAGGCTGGGCTCCCCAAGTCCACAGGGAGATAGATGGGGCCCAGAATAGACCCCCAAGAGCCTCTGCAGTGGGCTCCACTGAGGTCAGGGTCCGGGGCAGGAATGGAGAGGGGCTTGGAGTTGGCTCCAGGGGAGTGCTGCGTGCTGACAGGCGGTACCACACTTTAAGGGGCCAGGCTGGGGGAGCTTTGCCTACAGCCCACGCAGGAGCGCTCGACTGAGGCACCCAGATGGCTGCTCAGGTGCGGGGACACCCTGGGCAGTACCCCGGGGCCCGTTTCTGCTTGCCCTACCAGACAAGCCCTGTCCATCCCTGGCCTAGGTGGCTGCCCTGTCGTTCCCTGGCCTCGGTTTCCCTTCCTAAGATGAAGGCTTTCAAGGCTCAGAGAGCCAGAGGCTGCTGCCGGCCGACGGCATGGCCTCCGCTGTAGGGAAGCGCCACGTGTACCTGCGGGGCCGAGCACCTGGAACCCTGCTCCTCCTTACCCGCTGTGCCAGCCTGGCTCCCAAAATCAGGAGAAGGGGGCTACTCCTCCACCCACTGGGGCTTCGGTTAGGGCCAGGGCTGTTGGGGACCTCAGCCCCCAGCCCGCAGCAAGGTGAAGCACACTCTGGGGGGGCTCCCACAGGTGATGGCATGATGATGGAATGAGGATGTCATGGGGAGGGGCAGTGGGGCCCTCTTTGGCTTCCAGGACCCCACATGGAAACACAGGAGGTGACCCTAGCATGCCACGGAGCTGCTGAGATGCAGGCTGGGAGAGGGGACCCCCAGGGTCCAGCCGGGTGCTCCCCCACGACGCCCAGCGCCCCCACGCCGTACCAGCGTTCAGAGGCACACCCACACCCCCTTGCTGACAGACCAGGCCCATGCATGTGCCCAGTGCTCCGCCCTGCCCCCACCACACATGGGCCCAGGGGAGTGGGGGGAGCCCTCCCTGCCGTATGCCGAGTGGCACGGACCCTCGGGTCCTAGACCCTGGTGGTTCCAGGCTGGGGCAACCCTCCCCTGTGTGAGCCCATCAGGCTGTGGTGAAGCCCCCGCTCTGGCTGGGCTCAAGCCCCTCTGCCCTGCTGGAGGCATGACCCTGGGCTGTCAGGAAGTATGGAGAGATGAGAAGTCACAGCCCGTCAGGCAGCCCGCGGCCCTCCTAGGGTGCCATGGCGGGGAGTCCCGAGGGCAGGGCCTTGTCACTGCTCTCCCAGGTCCTGTGCAGGCTGCCCTAGCAGATGGGCCGCCCGGGGCATGCTTGGCCTGTCCAGGGCCGAGACCTGTGGGTGGGCATGGAGGGCCCTGCTCAGGGCCAGCCTGGCTCCGCCGAGGACCTGCCCGCAGCCCCTCCCCGCCCCAGCACAGGCCGGGCGCCTTACCTGCCAGCGTCAGAGGCTACTCTCGTAGCTGGTGGCCACCTTCTGGCCCTTAAGCCCAGCACCCCAGCTTAGTCCTGGCGCTGGTGGGGGGGGTTCTACGGTGGACAAGAGGCGCCTTTCAGTGTGGTGCGGCTGCGCCCTATGTCCCTGGCGTGCAGAGGCGAGGCGGGTGGTCCCGCCAGGCCAGGGAGGGGCTCTGCTCCCTGAGGGGTGCAGCCACAGCTCGGGGCAGGGAGGTGGGGGCGTCCGTCAAGAGGGGCCAGGAGGCTGCGCCCGGGTCCTCACGCCTCCCGTCCGCGCAGCACCAGCTGGCCACGCCCCACTCGCAGGCCGCAGGTTGGCCGGAGCTGAGCCCGCCTCACCTGACAAGTGCTGGGCCGCAGGCGGGTCGTGTGTGCTCAGCAGCTGGGCCTGGATGGTCTCCACCACCCTCTTGAAGCGACGGCTGGGGCCTAGGGGAGACAGGGGGTTATGCCCTGGACGGGCCTGGGCCCGGAGCCGCCCTGGGGGCGCCAGCTCACCTGAGAGCAGGGTGAAGGTGACGGAGTAGATGCCGTTCTCCTTCTGCGCCTCCCCACCCTCCGTGTAGGTGATATCAACCTGGAACTTGACCGGCTTCTGGAACACGGCTGGCCCCCCCGTGGCCTTGTACTCGGCCCGGAAGCTCGTTTGGGAGATGACGCTGTGGCTGAGACTGGGAATCTGTGGAGAGAGAGCAGCGTGAGCGTGGCTGGCCTGGCAGGTCCCACCCTGGCCCTCTGGGGAGGCAGCCCTGGGGCGAGCCAGCCCCACCGTGCACACATTGTGAGCACCCAGGCACCTCTGCTTCCGTGAGGGGCACAGTGCGGTTGGAGACGGCTGGAGCAGGGGGAGGGGCGTTTCCAGCCCCCACCCTCCAAAGCTTTGGTCCACTTAGCGGGCACAGCTAAGCCCCTGCCGGGCTTTTCTCAGGCAGCCACAGCACAGGATGACCAGGACCTTACAGAGGAGCCTTAAGGGCAAAGATGGAGGTGGAAGGTGACCCCTGCAGCCTGAGGTGGGGGTCCAGGGTGGAGCTGAGTGGGAGGTGGGGGGTCTGGGAGCTGCCACTGAGAGGGAGGTGCAAGGGCGGGGCTGGGGCTGTGCCCTCCTGCTGGGGCTTCCTGGGACTCCCACTGGTTGCGGGACCTATGGTGCTGGGCACTGGCTGGGTGGGCTTCACAGTACCGAGGGGGCAGCTGCAGGAAGCAGAACTCAGGGCCACCCAGCGCACAGGGCCCAGGCTGGCACACAGCCGCCTCACTGGGGCCGGCATGGGGAGGGGCTGAGTCTGAGGTTAGCCGTGGCAACCAGGGGCAGCATGAAGGGATGTGGTGAGGGAGGAGGCCGAGGAAGTGAGCAGCCTGTGGGGACGGGGACGGGGACGCTGAGGACCCCTGAGGCCAGGGTCCAAGTGCAGTCTGAGGCCTGCCCTGCCCAGCGCTGGGCTCTCCTGGCCCTGGAGCCTTCTGCAGGGGCTCCAAGCTGTCCCCACAGCGTAAGGGAAGCTCAGCTGCAGCCAGGGCAGCAGTGGCCTGAGTGCCCGGGGGCAGAGCATATGGTGGGGTGGGGGCCAGTCCCTAGCTAGAGAGGCTGCCGAAGCGAACCACGGCCTGATCTTGCCAAGACCCTGGGGCCAGGGAGGGCGCCCGGGCAGTGGTGAGCACAGGGCAGGACAGCAGCCCTGGGGAGGCAGGCTGGGGGCGGTGGGGGAGGCGGGTGGGGGGCAGCCCCTGTGATGCCTGGGCGCTGGGTGCAGCACAGGGTGGGGCAGGGCCGGCAAGGAAGGGGCGTCCTGATGGGACTGGGTGCTGGAGTCCTGGCAATAAACTTTCTCCATTTGAGGCTTTTAGGGCCTTTCTGCTCCTCCTAACCCAAAGATGCCCAGCAAAGACAAATGAAGCCCACCCAAGACCCCGAGCGCGACCACTCTGTGGAGAGCCACCCGGCCTCCGAGGGCAGGGTGAGACCAGGGAAACTGAGACACCTGAGGGCTGGGGCTGTCCACTGAGGGCCAGCAGAGCCCCACCGGTCCCTAGGGCCATGGCCTCACAAGGGCTTCTCCCCGAGTCTGATGGAAATGTCCCCCTCTGAGACCCACCCAGCTGGAGCCTTCCTTCTGCCCCACGTGCCAGCTGCCCAGGCCTGTCCGGCACACACCTAGGGCTGCTGGGGACCAGTGAGCAAAGCCCTGACTCCCTCCGCAGGCCAAGCACCCCAGATGGGCAGTGACCCCTCCCTCACGAGGGTGGGCAGGAGAGAGCGCCTGTCCAGTGAAGGCGGCCAGGCAGGCCCACGGGTGAGCGGACGTCCGTGCTGTGCGCGTGGACATGTCCTGTCTACGTGAGGAGGCTGGATTCTCGGGGCTGGGCCGTGTGGGGTTGGGAGGGCTGCCCGCCTCCCCCAGCGCCCTGTGGCCTCACCGACAGGAAGGCGTGCACGATGTCAGCCTTGATGGAGCTCAGAGGTTTGTCTTTGATGACCACGAAGATCTGCTCCTCCTTCTCCAGGCTGATGAAGTTCCCAAACCAGGACTTCTTCGCCAGCCTGGGCAGTGGGAGACAGAGGCTGTGAGGATTGAGGTGTGGCACCGTCCACACCCCTGCCTCCCTCGAATCTGGGGTTGGAACGGCGGAATCTTCCATCGCTTCGTGATAGAAACGGCTGTCTCCACAGTGCTAGCCAGAACCCATGGCCCTGACCCCAACGCCCTAACCCTAGCCCATATGCCCTGACCATCACCGTGGCTCTAACCCCAACCCCAACCCTAACCTTTCTCCAAGCCCTAACGCCCTGACCCTGGCCCATATGCCACCCACTCCCAAGTCTGGGGATGCCCCTCCACAGGTGAGCCCCCCACAGGTGAGCCCCCCCTCACCAAGGCCGCTGTGAGAGGTGGCTCAAGCTGGGCTCCTGAAGTCAGCTGTGCCCCCCACCCCCAGGAGCAGGCGGGGCCTGCAACTCGCTTCCAACAGGAGAGTGGGGAGGCGCTTCTGAGGCCACAGAAGGCTACTCCTGTCTTGCTGGCAGGCTCACCCCAACATGCAGAGGCCCTCTGCTCTCCAGCTCAAGAGCACCCGAACCCCACCCACCAGCGCGGGGGCCAGGAAGCCCAGCCGTGAGAGGACCATGGCCAGAGGCGCCTCTAGCACAGCCCGAGACTCAGGCAGAGCGCGCCTGGGTGGCTGTTCAGAGGTGGCACGCTCTGCTGGCGTCCCCTGCCGTTGCTGCCTGGAGGTGGAACCAGGTGTGCTGAGAGGCAGAGGCAGGGACCGGGAGGAGGGGCCAGCAGGGCTGGGGCTCAGTGGTGCCCTCTCCCGACTGATTCTGAGGCCCCTCCCAGCGGCCTCACAACTCCCCTTTCCCTTGCCCATTCCTGGAGCTGCCTCCTCGGCCACTGTGCGGCCTGGGAGTCCTGCCGGACAAGCACGGGGACCAGGTCCAACCCTCACTCAGCCCCTCGACGCCTCCTCAGTGTCCTGCCGGTCTCGGCGGCTGTCTGTTCTGGGTTCAAAACTCCGAGGGCCACCACTGGCCCTGACCTTACCCCAGCCCCATGCCAGGGCCTGGAGCCAGGAAGTGCACAAAGCAGCCTGGCAGTTCTGGAAGCACAGGTGAGTTTCTACATGGTCGATGTTCTGCCCGATGAAGAGACAGGACAGATGGTACAAACGTGACTCTCTGCTTTGCGGCCCAGGGGTGCAGCATTTGGCAAAAATAGTCCCATGTGTGAAAGATGCCTGACGGCCCAGGGAGGCCAGGCCGACGAGGGGTGAGGGGCCTGCACTGTGACTCCAGCACCCACGTGGTGGGCAGTGCACAGCCTGGCCGGACACTAGTCTGGGTGTTGCTATGAAGCTATTTTTAGATGAGACGAACTTAAATCAGTCGCCTGTTGAGTCTGGCGGGGGACCCTTCCTCACAGGGTGGGTGCATCCGCCAGGTTCGGTCTTCCTGGGGAAAGAACGCCCCTCGAGGCTGCAACCTGGAAACTGCCTGGGCTTCCAGCTAGCACTTCAGACTCAAGGACATCAGCCCTGAGTGTCCCAGACAACCGCATGCATCCCTTCCTGAAGCCAGCTGCCTCCCTTGGTGCTGTTCCTCTGGGGTGCCTGGTTGACATGGGGCTGGCAGCAGCTGGGGCTGGGGGTTATCTCAGGTCCCCAGCAAGCGAGTTGTCGCCAAAGAGGGACTGTGGGAGGCATCCGTGCTGGACCCTCGTCCAAGGCGTCTGTGCAGGACCCTCAATAAGGGCTGTCACAGGCATCTGTGCCGGGCCCTTGGGTGGGGCTGTGGGAGGTGTCTGTGCTGGACCCTCGGGAACGGCTGTCGCAGGCATCTGTGCCGGGCCCTTGGGTGGAGCTGTAGGAGGCATCTGTGCTGGACCCTTGGGAAGGGGTGTCTGTGCCGGGCCCTTGGGTGGGGCTGTGGGAGGCATCCGTGCCGGACCCTTGAGAGGGGTCAGGGCCTCCAGGCCATCTCAAGATGGGGGAGGGGAGAAGCGCAGGCAGCCACAGTGGCATCAAAGCCACCTTCTCGGCTTTGATGTTTTCCACCTTCTCTGAGGAAGATAATTATGAGTCTGTTCATGAAAGCTTTTGGTAGCAGCAGAAACGGCAATGTCAGGGCCTAGGCGGAAGGTTCCCAAGTCTGCTGAGCCCTGTGCATCTGGGCTTGCGACAATACCTACACACCTCCGACCTGGGCACCCAGCTGGAAGGGCCACCTGATCGGCGCAGAAAGGCCACTGGGTGGAATCCTGGCACAGGCTGCAGATGCTGCTCCTGGGGCTTAGCACTGAGCAGTTTCCACAGGGGCCCCTGGTTTAAAGCCAGCAGCAGGACGAAGGTTCTCGTCTTACTCAGTCCACAGCTGGCCACATCTTCATTTCCCGGGGTCTCCTGTGAAGTGACTCCAGCCTGACCGCCGCTCTCTGCCGCTGCCTGGCCTGGGGTCACGCTGCAGGCTCATATGTGTACACCGCCAGTCGCCTGGTCTCCGAGACACTGCCCAGTGACTGAGGCCATCGTGGAGAGGAGGGAGAGGGCCTGGGCGCTGGGAAGGGGTCTCTCTGGGGACATCTTTGTCCAGACACCAGTCACAGCGGCCCCCAGGGCATCTCAGCACCTGGGCGCTGTAGAGTCTCTGCAGTGGCACCTCTCACGGCTCAGAAAGGCGGCGGGGCCAGACCTCGGCTTGGCTGCTCCGCTCCGCCCCTGCACACGTGTTCCCACCAGGCCTGCTGCCCCTTTGTTCTTAACACGGGCTGCTTTCTCCTTGAGACCTGAGCGACCCGGTCTCTGCCCTTGGCGAGCTCAGGCCCTGGGGAGACTCTGCCCAGTGTACCCCCTGCTCGCCTCCAGCCAACCCTAGGCTCTCCCAAGGCCTGAAGCTTCTCAACAGGGCTGGGGGCTCCTCCCCTGGCTGGCCTTCCCCTCACAGCCGGGAATTCGAACTTCAGAGACTCAGTGGCCGAGACGGGCCTGCCTGCAGTGGGAGGTGGGGCCACGTGGAGAAGGAGCACCCCGTTGGCCATAGGGGAAGGGTTCCATGCCCCTCTCCCGGCCAGCCTGGTGTCAGGTACCAGGAGGCCTCCAGCAGGGGCCACTTACTCTGGGGACGACTCTGGTGTCAGGTTGGACATCTCCTCCGGCGTCGGAACTGTGCACACAGGATGAACAGGAGGAAAGGCGTGGTGACCGCTCCATCCTTCCCCTGCCCTGGCCACCTTGCGCCGAGGTCAGGGTCATCAGGAGTCCACCCACACACACTGGGACAGCCCCCCCAGGGGCACTGGTCCACCCCAGCTCCCGGCCACCTTAGAGGCCCACTGGCAGTGGCGCCCCCCAGGCTAAGGGGAGCTGTCCCCGCCTCTGGTGCTGAAGTCGGCTGTGCCTTCTCCAGCAGCACTGGCTGGCCCTTGGTGCCCCACACATGGGGCCTCCTGACTGGCAGTGCCCCCTCGGTGGCCAGCTCTCCTTGCTGTGTGCCTGGCCCCAGGACACAGAGTGGGTAGACTCAGGAACACAGAATGTCTGGAGGGGATACCAGCCTGTGCGACAGGTAGGACACAGGCTGCTGCTGGGCGCTTTCGGGACAGTGAGACGTGGGCAGGCCCAGGCCACCCCTGCAGCTACAGGCCCCTCGGACTGGTCTGGCACTGCCGGGCGGGGCCCTCCCCAAGGCAGCCTCTGCTCTCTCCCAGCCCCACTCTGGCGCCTCCGGGCAGACACTCACCTTGCAGTTTCCGGCGGTGGAAGCGGGGTGAGCCCAGAAAGCTGTTCTTGATGGAGTTGAGCCGCGCCCTCCAGGGCACCCCTCCGACGCTGGGGCTGGACGGGGGCGTGGGGTTGGGCGTGCCAGCCGGGCTCTCCTTTGGCGTGTGGACAGGTGTCCCCTTGGGGGTGGGGAGGGGACTGCCCCTTGGTGAGGGGTGAGGGGTCACCTGTATGGTGGGGACAGATTTGGTGTTTGGTTCAATCCCGGCGGGTGGGGGCCGGGGGGGCACCCGCAGGGCAGGCGGGCCCAGGGGTGGTGCCAGCTGGGGACAAAGGCCAGTGGCGGGAGGCCGGGCTGGGGTGCTGGCCGGGAAGGGGTTGGACTTGGTGCCCTGCAGAGGCTTGTCGGTCAGCTTGGCCTTGCACGGCAAGGTCTGGGTCTTGGGGTCGGGCCGCAGGGCGGCCTGCAGAGGGAGGACGTGTCCAGGCCTCGAGGCGCTCCCACAAGCTTCGGGCTCCGTGGAGGTGGCCAGGGGGCGGGCCACGAAGGGCGGCTCGGGGGGCGGTGGGGGCAGGACAAGCTTCCTAATAGGCTACGGGGAGGCGCAGGGAGCGAGCGGGGTGGGGGCAGCCGCGCGGCACATGCACCCCAGTCCCCCGCATGCACACGGCACAGGAGGACCAGAAAGAAACAGGCGGGAGCGGGAGGGTGGGGAGGCAGGCAGGCATGGGCAGGAGGATTAGCCACAAAAGAAAAGAAGTGACACACAAGAAAACAAACAAAACAAAACAAAAGAGCGTGCAGTTAGCAGAGCAGCCTGCGCCACAGAGCAGCAGCCGCCACAGGAGCGTGGGCATGGGGGGCGCCTGGGGCTGCTTCCCAGGGTCCGCGAGGCTGCCCCCACCCTGGCACACGCTGACTGGGAGGGTTGGGGCCTCTGTGCATCCGAGCTGGGTGGGGGCGGGGGGTCACTCACCCGGGGGCTGCTGAGTGGGCTGGTGGAAAGGCCTGAGGAGGCACCGCTGATGGACCGAGACCTGGAGGTCACAAGGTACAGGGCCACTGCTCAGCCAGGGGGCAGTGGAGCAGCAGGTGCTGGGCTCTGCTCCCCCCAGGTAAACCCTCCAGGAGGCCTGGAGCCCGGGCCAAGAGCCTCGAGGCCCTGGGTCCTGCTGCACACCCTGTCAATTCAGGAGGGCCCAGGGCGCCTGGCTGTGCCCAGCCCCACTGGGGCCCCCATCAGAGCCCACGTGTGGGGGCCACCCCATGCCAGCAGCCCAGGCACAGCACAGGATACGGCATCAGACAGCCGCGGCAAAGGACCATCCAGCGTGGGGGTGGACGGAAGGACGAGGGGACAGACGGGAGCTTCCTGTATGCAGCCCCTTCTGCTCCAGGCCTCGTGCTGGCTCCAGCCTCCCACCTGCCAAGCCCCCCCTGGCTGAGCTCTCACAGGGCCTGCAGCCTGGTCCTCCATGTCCCTAGATGCCCGTGAGGGATGCCTGGGTCAGCGGCCGGCCCTTCCCTTGTCCACAACCAGGAGGGCCTGGGCAGGGCCAGGCTGGGGCAGCTGCTGGCAGGGACGGTGGGGCCTTGTCCCACCACTGCCCTACTCAGCCTGAGACCTGCACACAGCAGGAGGGAGGCCCTGGCCCGGCGTGCCCGGCTGAGACTCCGGTGTGTGGCCGCCACCCCCGTGCAGGGACCAGGACGGCTGTGCGTCGTTCCACCACACTGCACGGACGAGCCGGCGCCCACGTGCCCAGACAGTGGCAGCTGCCATCCTTGGAGGAAGGAAATGCAGGGAGGGGCCGAGGCAGCCGCCGAAGAGAAGAGGACAGAGAAGAGTAAAAGCCCGGCCTGCACTACCCACCAGGCCTGCCCACCGCCAGCCGGCCACGAGGGGCCTCGCTAGTCCACACCACGGCCCAGGCCCCGGACCGTGGAGAGTGCCACGCTGGCCACACACCTGGCTCCCGGACACCCGGGGGCTGGTCCCCACGGTGACGACCCTCCAACTCCCTCACCAGACACAGCCAAGGGGCAGGGAGGCGACGGGGACCCCATGCACAACCCAGCCTGTCTGGGCCAGGATGACACCCAGGGCTGGAACTGGACCCAGAGCTTTCAGGGCTGAGCTGGGAGCGCGGACAGCCCTCATGGGGGCAGCAGCCACCAGTGAGGCCCTGGACCTGTGGTTCCTGTCGAGCCCGCCCAGAGCTCGTGACTGGGCACGAGGAAGACAGAAGAGGCGCTGGAAACCCCGGGGTGGAGGGGCCGAGCCCTGGTCCTATCCGGCCAGGCAGCTGCTGGGAACACTGAGCTACAGTTGCTGGGGCAGGGGCAGGAGAGACGGCGCCAGCCCTGAGGGCAGCCAGGGCAGGCAGAGTGAGGGCACACAGGTGAGGGTCCCAGGTAGGCACGGGGCCAGGGCTCAAAGAGAAGGACCCCGACCGGCAGCCAGCACACTGCAGCCTTGGGGGCGGCGCCACCCGCCCAGGCTCGCAAAACTGGCCCCAGGTAGAGGCCCCTCTTGACGGCGGCGCCTCCTGCCCTCCTCAGCTCCTGCAGGTGGGCACAGGACGGCTGCTCGGCTTCAACTCTGGCCGGCCCCAGGGGCAGCAGGGCCACCGAGGCCCACCGGACACAGCACAGGGGCTGGCAGGAGGAGCGGCTCGGCCTGCAGCCACGCCGGGCTCTAGCCCCAGGCCCTGTAAGCCATGGTGCGTGGTCCCTCACAGGCAGGCGTGGGCCACGCCTCAGCAGCCCCACCCCTCCTCGGCCTCTGCCTGGCCCGCGGGCCCTTGCCTGGCTTGCTGGCTGGCTTCACCGCAGCAGGAGCCCTGCAGCCCAGCCCGCCACCAGACCCGCCCATGTGCCTGCCCGGCCTGAGGCAGGACAGCGTGTCTGGGGCTGGGAGGTGCGGGGACGGGTGGTCGGGGTGTATACCTGTCTTCTTTGCTGAATTGGGGATGGGCCTCAGCGATATCCAGGCTTTTACTGAACATTGCTTTACTACAGCAGAACAGAGCGAGAAAACACAGTTACTGACGGCCACACGCGGGCACAGGTCGGCCCCCAGGGCCCGGGCCACACCGGGTAAGAACTCCACGTGGCTCTGAGGCCGCTGCACAAAGATGGCGAGAGAGGAGGCTGGGCCAGACAGCACACCCCGCACCGTGTGACTGCTGGGCAGGGTGGCCTGGTAGCCCCCACCCCAGCCCCCAGGACCCCTGCGTCCCCAGTCAGCAGCCCTGTGTGGCCCAACACCAAGCAGCTGGGTCTCTGCTGGCTGCACAGGTGGCCCCACCAGGAGTGGAATCTGGCTGGGACATGCCAGGACTAGTGGCCTTCCAGAGGCCCCGGAATGGTCCATGGCCTGGCCCATCCCACACCTGCCCCAGGCAGCCAGGCCTGGGAGTTGCAGCAGAGGCCAAGAGGGCGGCCTCCCACGCCGCTGACCGGAGGGGCCAGGCAGTGGGGTGGTGGGGCCTGCCCTGCAGGGTCGGGGAGTCCGGGGAGGTGGCCACGCAGGCAGGAGGCAGGCACCTGGGCTACAGGTTGTGGTGCCCCCATGACATGCAGGCCACTGAAGGTCAGGACAGTAGAATGTAGATAGGAGGGCCCCTTGCTACCCCCTAGTACTGGCGTCAGGGCTGCGCTGACTGGGCCCTGGGAAGGAGGTTCTGGGGGCTGGGACCCCACGTTGGAAGCTGGGCCAGCCTGAAACCCTGGGGAGGGCCTAGGACTCCCAGGGGGCCATGGCCTGGGAGCTGCCAGAACTGGGACCACCAGTACTCTGGCCAGGGCTGGGGCTGGAACAGGTTTAGCCTGATGGCTGCCAAGCTACCTTGCAGTTCCCCACAGCTTCCCCCAAGTTCCCGAGGAACAGGCCACGCCTGTCCCACCCCCCACATCTCCAGTACAAGGAGGGGGCCCTGGGGTGCTGAGGCCCAGATCACAGGGCAGACCAGAGACTGCTGCCCGGGCTCCTGGACCTCCTGGTGTGCTCCTGGGCCCAAGGGCTGTCCCCAAGTGTTGGAAGCTGCCACCTGGTGAGGGACGTTTGAGCTCATCCCCAAGAGGCCGCACCGGCTCCAAGGATTTGCTGAGGGCCTCGTGCGGGCAGCCCAGCCCTGCCCCCACCCAGCAGAGGCTCCAGAGGGGCTGGGTGCCCTTCCTCCGGCCACGGGTCTGCTCATCACTGCTGAGTTCTGTGATGTCCCTGGCCACACACACCACACTTGCCACCCAGAGACGGGCCCAGCATTGCTGGGACCAGGGGGACAGGCTTGCTGGGCTGATGGCTCTGAGCATGGTGTGACCATATCACAGCTCAGCCCAGCCAAGCTTGGGTCAAGCCAGCCCAGCCCAGCTCAGCCCTGCCCAGCCTGGCTCGGCTCAGCCAAATCCAGTTTAGCCCAGCCCAGCCCTGCCCAGCTCAGCCCAGCCCTGCCCAGCTCAGCCCAGTCAAATCCGTCTCAGCCCATTCTAGTGCAGCCTAGCCCAGCTCAGCCCAGCTCAGCCCAGCCCCGCCCACCCTAATTCAACTCAACCCTGCTCAGCCGCGCAGTCCAGTACAGCCCAGCTCGGCTCAACCAAGTGCAGTCTAGCCCAGCCCAAACTAGCCCAGCCCAGCCCAGGCCAGCCCAGCTCAGCCTAGCCCAGTCCAGTCCAGCACAGCCCAGCCCAGCTCAGCTCCCAGCCCAGCCCAGCCCAGCTAAGCCCAGCCCAGCCCAGCCAAGCCCAGCCCAGCCCAGCCCAGCTAAGCCCAGTTTAGCCCATACAGCCCCACCCAATGGCCTCAGCCGAGACCCCAGGCCAATGGGTAGCGATGAGCCAGGCGGCAGTGCCGCGCAGCCAGGGCCCAGGGAGGGAGGCCCAGCAGCCTCGGGGCACACACACCTCTGGCCGTGCTGGGCCATCTCAATGGCCCGCCGCGCAGGCACCGGGGAGCCGCCGTCCGTCACGCTGAGCACCTCCATGGATTTGCGTTCTGGCCGCCGCTTGCCGTGCCGGTTCAGCATCGGGGAGTCCACACGCTTCCGGGGAGGGTCTGAGTACAGACGAAGGTCAGGCCAGACAGCCCCCGGACCCCGGTGGGGCAGTGCAGGCCGGGCTGGAGGCCACCCCTGGACCCATACCTATCTCGTTCCGGGGGGGCAGGTCCTCATCCTCCTGGCTCGGGTACCTTTCTTTCCGGTCCAGGAGGAGGAAGTAAATCATCTTCTCCTGGTTCTCCCTACAGCGGGCGAGAGGCGCGAGACGCGCTGGCACACGGGGCCGCCGGCTCCTCCGGGGCAGCGCTCCCACCTCAGGCCCCGTGCCCCACCCGGGAGCAGCCCCAGACGCACTCCTCGGACAGCAGGTCCTGCAGCAGCTTGTTGCGGTCTCGGAAGCAGCCCAGTGAGTGCATGCTGTCCAGCACGTCGGGGTCGATGTCCTCCAGGCTGGGCAGCGAGCGGATCTGCACCTTGCGAGGAATGGGCTGCTCTGGTTCGGGCTCATTCTTGCCCCCTCTGTGGACACAGGACGGGCCACCCGCTCATCAGCTCCGGCCGGGCCTGGGCGGCTGCGAGGGTGGGACGCCCGCCCTCACCTGGGGCCCTTCATCCTGCCACTCTCCCTGTGCCCAGCCCGGGGAGGCCTCCTGCGTCCTGCCCGCACCCCGCACCCAGCGCAGGCCACGGAGGGCCAAGGCAGGGCAGGACCTGCGCTGGGCCGGCGCCCTCCCCCCGCCTTTCCTAGCAGGGCCTCCAGGCCACAGCAACAGGCAAAGCAGGCGATTAGTGGGTGGAAAAGCTACTTACATATACCATATGTGTTTCTGAATGTGCTCTAGCTACAAGGAAAGAGAAACAGGGAGTTAGTACGGACGAGGGACGGAAAGAGCCCACATTAGGAGGTGAGGGGGAAGGCAGGGGCGCTGGGAGCACGGAGAGAGCAGGAGAGGGTGAGGGCAAGTGAGTGGGGGGAAGGTGGGGAGGAAGATAGGGAGGGGGCTGCGTTCCCAGAGGCTCAAGGCCAGCACCCCTGCTCCTGCCTCTCCCAAGTGGAGAAGAAAACACACACCTCAAGGAGGAGAGAAGTCGGGGGAGCTGGAGTCGGAGGGGGTGCTCCAGGTAGGGGCAGGGGCCTGGGGAGCGGAGGGAGAGGGGGAGGGAGGGAAGCTGGAGCCAGGGCAGCCCCAGGTGCCTGTGCTGCCTGGGCTGGGCCCCTCCGTGGCTCTAGGAAGGAACCAAGGCAGGAGAGCAGGGAGCAGCCAGGAGGGAGCTGAAGCCAGAAGAACCCGGCCCACCTGTGCGGCGGGGCAGGGCTGGGTGCAGGTGCAGGCAGGAGGCTGGGAGGGCCGGCCAGCCACACGGCCCCTTCTCTCCACCCTGACTCAGGGACAGCTCGTGGGGTGTGAGGCAGTGGCCACTTGGGAACAGGTCAACGCTACCCTGGAAGGGTCAGCCCAGAGTGTGACCTGCTTCTGTCAAGTGGACACGTGCGGTCCCCACACCAGGCAGCCCTGGAGGAGGTCAGGACCAGCAGCTGGGGGCTACCTTTGGCTCTTGCTAGCCCCCACAGCTGCTGGGGGCACTCAGCAGAACTATTCACGCTGCCTGGAGCTTGCCCCAGCAGCGTCTGGAGGCAGGATGGCCGTGATGGGGAAGCACCAGTGCTTTTGTGTAACTTATAGCCAGGTCTCACCTACATGTGCACACAGCCCCCCACACCTGTGCACACCCCACACTGGTACAAGTGCTCATAAGCACCTGGACACACCTCCCCACACGTGCACATGCCCACACCTACGCCCTCACCCAATCACATGAACCTGGGCATGTGCCTGGGTACCCCCACACCCTTGAACACACACCTGGGCATGTGCCTACATTTGTGCACCCACACACCTGAACACGAGCCCACACACGCCTGGGCACTCCCACACCTGGGTGCGCACACACACTTGAACACTCACCTGGGCACCCACACACGGCCATGGGCCCACATTTGGTCACCCACACCTGAACACAAGCCGACACCTGTGCACACGTCCACACACCTGGGCACCGACCCACACACCTGGGTGCCCACACGTCTGGGCACACACCTGTGCACACACAGGCACACGCCCGCCCCCGCGCCCCCCCGCCACGCTCTGGGGCCGCCCCGCTCCGAGGGCACGCACCGTGAGGCGGCGTGCGGCGTCCACCTCGATCATGCCCCGTAGCAGACTCTGGCAGTCGGGCGGGATAAAGTGCGGCATGTGGAACACGCCCCGCTTCACCTTCTCCAGCAGCTGTCGCAAGTTGTCATCGTCGAAGGGCAGAGCCCCCTGCGGGCGGCCGGGTGTGGGGGTCAGCGTGGGGGGGCAGGTTTGGGGAGAGGCCAGGGCAGGGTTGAGGGGGCCAGGGTCTCACCACCAGCAAGGCGAACAGGATGACGCCGCAGCTCCACACGTCCGCCTTCCGGCCGTCATACTTCTCCCCCTGTGGACAGCAGTGCCCGGGCTGTTGGGGGGCGCAGGGCAGGGCGGGGGCCTTGGAGGGCCTGGGCTCAGAGGGAGTCGGCCCGGGGACAGGCAGCCTAGCAGCACCTGGGGGTGCGGCAGGCTGGGGTCCCACCAGGGTCAGGTCCCCGCCACCCTGGGCCCCACAGAGCTGCACGCGGCGGCGCTGACTCACCCGGATCACCTCGGGGCAGGCGTAGTGGGGGGACCTGCGGGCAAGGGCAGAGGTCAGCGGCGGGGCTCCGGGCGCTGCCAGGCCCTCCCCCCAGGGTGATGGTGCACCGCAGGGCCCTCAAGGAGGCCTCCAGGGCTGTGGTGCCAGACGCCCCCACATTCCCTGCATCCCCAGGCGGGCTTTTGGGAGGAGATCAAGGTGGGGCACTGGGTCTCTGCTGCGCCCAAAGCTGTCTGCCCACTCGGCTGGGCAGGGGCCAGGGGGTCCCCAGGAGAGGGGCATGTAAGTGGGTCCCAGCCTCTCTCCCAGGCAGGCCAGGGCCAGGGCTGTACCCCTACCCTTACTGTGCCGGGAGGCCTGTCTCCCCACCACCACCAGGCTGTGGGGTACTGGGAGGCTCAGGCACATTGTGGGGGGCCTGCCTGTGGGGTGCCGGGAGGCTCAGGCAGGCTGGGGGCCTCTCAGTCCACTGGCTCCTCTTCCCCCAGCCCAGCCTGTCCCCCAGCCTCTCTCCAGGGCAGAGGGCCACGTACCCACAGCTGGTCTCCAACAGGCTGTCGCCAACCTGCAGGGACGCCATGCCAAAGTCTGCGATGCGGATGTTGTTCTTCTCGTCCAGCAGGAGGTTTTCAGGTTTCAGATCCCTGTGGCTGGGGAGGAGGGTGGTGAGGCTGAACAGGGCCAGTCTCTGCCTTGAGCGCCTCCCCGCCCTGGAGACCCCCTGCCCAGAGCCCACTGCCTCTCCAAACGCCAATCACACATAAGGGCCAATAGCAGCCCAGCCTGGTGATGTCATAGGCAGCCAATCAGAAGTCGCCTGCCTGGTCCGTTTGGCTCTGGCCTTTGGTCAGGCATCCCTGTTTCTCCTGCCATGCCCTCCTGCACCCTGGCAGGCTCCTTCCTGCCCCCTCCTGCTCCCTAGCACACCTGCTCTGGCCTAGACCAACCTAGGGCCCCCAGGCACGTAGGGATGCAAGCAATGGCCCCTGGAAAGGCCGAGGGGCTCCCAGAGTGCTTGGGTGGGTGCCAGGCAGAAAACTTCCCGACACACTGCCCACTCGGGAAAGGGGAGGTGCAGGGGGTCCTCAGGGGGAAAAGGGAAGCACCTGGTGCACATGGTGCACTTGAGAGGTAGCTAATGGGGTGGGGGGGACAGTGCACTTGAGGGGTAGCTAATGGGGGGGACGGTGCACTTGAGGGGCAGCTAATGAGGAGGGGATGATGCACCTGAGGGGTAGCTAATGAGGGGGATGGTGCACTTGAGGGGTAGCTAATGGGGGGACGGTGCACTTGAGGGGTAGCTAATGGGGTGGACGGTGCACTTGAGGGGTAGCTAATGGGGTGGACGGTGCACTTGAGGGGTAGCTAATGGGGGGGAGGGGATGGTGCACTTGAGGAGTAGCTAATGGGGGGGACGGTGCACCTGAGGGGCCACTATGGGGGGACAGTGCACTTGAGGGGCAGCTAATGGGGGGGATGGTGCACTTGAGGGGCAGCTAATGAGGAGGGGATGATGCACCTGAGGGGTAGCTAATGAGGGGGATGGTGCACTTGAGGGGTAGCTAATGGGGGGACGGTGCACTTGAGGGGTAGCTAATGGGGTGGACGGTGCACTTGAGGGGTAGCTAATGGGGTGGACGGTGCACTTGAGGGGTAGCTAATGGGGGGGAGGGGATGGTGCACTTGAGGAGTAGCTAATGGGGGGGACGGTGCACCTGAGGGGCCACTATGGGGGGACAGTGCACTTGAGGGGCAGCTAATGGGGGGCACGGTGCACTTGAGGGGCCGCTAATGGGGGGGATGGTGCACTTGAGGGGTAGTTAATGGGGGGGATGGTGCACTTGAGGGGCAGCTAATGGGGGGGAGGGTGCACTTGAGGGGCCGCTAATGGGGGGGACGGTGCACTTGAGGGGTAGTTAATGGGGGGGATGGTGCACTTGAGGGGCCGCTATGGGGGGACGGTGCACTTGAGGGGCAGCTAATGGGGGGACGGTGCACTTGAGGGGTAGCTAATGGAGGGGACAGTGCACTTGAGGGGCAGCTAATGGGGAGGAGGAGATGGTGCACTTGAGGGGCAGCTAATGGGGGGCATGGTGTACCTCGGAATAGCACCATAGGGGGTGTAGTCCTTGGGGCACAGGGGGCATCTGTGGTAGCGCACTGGGTGTGGGGGTCCCTGGGGAGTGGGGGGCACCAGGGGTGGGGCCTCACCATATGGAGTGGCTGTGGCAGAAGTCCAGCGCAGAGATGATCTGCCGGAAGAACTTCCGAGCCTCCTTAGGCGTCAGCCTCCCCTTCTTCACCAGGTAGTCGAAGAGCTCACCACCTGACACGTGTTCTAGCACCAGGTACCTGCAGGAGACGGGGCCACCAGTGCGCCCAGCTGTGGCTGCCCGCCGCCCCTCCTCATCCCAGGGCCTCCCACAGCCGCCTCCTGGCCCAGCCTCTCTGCAGGCCGCCCCCATCCTCTTGCTGGCTGGGGGGGCAGCTGAGAGGAGCCCTGACTATGGTGGATCTCAAACCATCTGGGCTCCTGGGGGTGGACCTCAAATGAGTCTTCAAGGAGCCTGGGTTGGGGTGGGGTGGGGTGAGGGTGGAGGGACAGGTGAAGGGATGGTTCTGGGGGCACAGCCGCCAGGGAGGGTTTGGAACCCACAGGCTGAGTGTGGCGGGTGCTGGGGCCAAGGCTCGGTGCATGGGGTAGCCTCGGGACTCTGCCCTGCCTGCTCTGGCCCTCACACCCTGTGGTCCTCAGTGGCACAGGCACCGAGCAGGGAGACCACGCAGCCGCATCCAGGGGCCCAGGGACTGTCTGGGCCTCTGTGGGGGGAACAGGAGGTGTGAGGGCCAGGGGAAGGGGGTGAGGAAAAGGTTGGCCTGGCCCTCCCCTTCCTGCCCTGGTGGGCTCCCAGCACCGCCCCCGTGGGGTCTCAGCCACATGGAGGGTCCTGAGGGGCTGGTTCCTGGTGAGAGGCCCGTGGGACGCTGCATGCAGCTGCTTGGGGGCCGCTCCACCCAGGCTGAACCAGCTCGGGGGGGAGGCCTGTGAGGGTGGTGGCCCCTGGTGTGGCTGTGGTGATGTAGGGGGGCTGTACAGCCAAGGGGGTGGCACCTTGGTGCATGCTCAGAGCTGCCGTGCGGACTGGGATGACTGGCTGTCCCAGGAGCTGGTTTTGGCAGGAGTCAAGGGCCCAGTGTGGGGATGGGAGCAGAGGTTGTGGTGAAGCCCCCAGGGCAGGGGAAGGTGTGAAGCCCCCAGGGCAGGGGAAGATATGAAGCCCCCAGGGCAGGGGAAGGTGTGAAGCCCTCAGGGCAGGGGAGGGTGTGAAGCCCCCAGGGCAGGGGAAGGTGTGAAGCCCTCAGGGCAGAGGAAGGTGTGAAGCCCTCAGGGCAGGGGAAGGTGGTGGGGGCCAGGGTGGGATTCTGGGCAGGGGGGCGGCCAGGCCCAAGGCTCAGCATAGGCCACATGGTGTCCAGAGGGGGTGGGACAACACCCAGGGCCAGACCTCGGGAGAAGCCGCGAGCCCGGCCATGCCCACCTCCTGGGCTCTTTCCTGTTCTTGGGCCTTGGCCTGCTGTGCCCATCCCCCCCGCACTCCCCTGCCCTCCCCTCCGAGAAGGCCTCCCCAGGACCCCACTGCACCGGCACCGTGTCACCATGAGGAAGCCATGCCCCTTGTCACAGTCCACCTTGCCAGCATCAGGGCCAGGACCACCCCCGCCCCCCCAGTCCTCTGGTGACAGTTTCTGAGCCCCTGCTCATGGTGGGGCAGGCGGGCTCCCCACACCCCAACCCTGGGTTTCCTCTCCCCAGCTACACACGAGCTGGCCACCTGCACATGCTCCCCACGAGAATGCAGAAACCCAGGCCAGAGCAAGCGTGGACGTTGCTGCTGGGGGAAGGGGAGCTGCTGGGTTCAGCCAGGCCCTCAGCCAGCTCACCCTGAGGGCAGCCCCCAGCCCAGCCCTGTATGTTCCCTGCTCCCTCAGAGCCTGATGCCTCAGAGATGCCCGGCTAGGATCACCTGGCAGGTCACGCCGCCGCCCTGGGACCAGCGAGGGTCAGATGAGGCTCAAGGCCAGACAGCCCTTGGGCAGCAGCGCCTCATCTGTCAGAAAGCCCCATCAGAGCACACAGAGGAGACTGCCGTGAGTGACCACTGTGCCCATTCCCAGGAGCTCCCTGAGGCTGGGTCTGGGGGGATGGGGTTCACAGCCAGGCATGCCTGGGACAGGGTAGGGATTTCTGCTGGCCTCAGCGGCTGCGGAGGTGACACTTTCAGCCACACTCAGCCACGGTCCAGCCAGGGCGGGATCCTGGTGGCTGTGCCTCGTGTGAGGGAGCCTCAGGGATAGAGACATGGCTCACTGCCCAGGGCTGGGGACGTCCTGGGCAGAGGCCAGGAGGCTCAGCGTGGCCATGTGGGGAGGGCCAGGTGCTCCTGCCCCTTGCCCTGAAACTCCTATCTCCCCTCCAGAAGGTCCTGTTCCCCCTTGCCAGCCTCAGGCTGGTGGCTCTGCGAGCCTCCACAGACCAGGTCTCCGGTTTGGTCCAGAAGCAGAGACCACAGCAGCCTGGGCTGAGACCCTACCCAGGCAGGTGTTCATGCTAGCAGGGCCAGGGCTGCTGGGATGCAGCAGGCGCCCCTGGCCTCCAGCCCCTGTGCTCCCCAAGCCCCAGACACCCACCCCTGCAGCGACAGCTGCCACCTCCGCCACCCCAGCTCTTCAGACCCAGCAATACCTACAAATATTTTTTGTTTTCATAAACGTCGTGCAGCTTTAGGACGTGGGGGTGCTCAATGAGCTTCAGGATCGCGATCTCCCGCTCCACCTGCATGGGAGAGGCCAGAGAACATCACGCTCACAGGGCTGGGGCACGCATCGCTCCCCACAGACACTGCCTTTGGTGCCAGCTGTGGGGGTCGCAGGGGCCTTTGGTGCCAGCTGTGGGGGTCGCAGGGGCCTTTGGTGCCAGCTGTGGGGGACGCAGGGGCCTTTGGTGCCAGCTGTGGGGGACGCAGGGGCCTTTGGTGCCAGCTGTGGGGGACGCAGGGGCCTTTGGTGCCAGCTGTGGGGGACGCAGGGGCCTTTGGTGCCAGCTGTGGGGGATGCAGGGACGTGGGCTGCTCAGCTGGGGCCCTGGCTGGTGGAGAGGGCAGAGGGCAGGGGCCTCAGTGGAGGGAGCCCAGGCCGCCGGGCTGACACCAGCCTGTAGGGCTGAGGACTGGGGGCCCCTGGAGCAGGAGGGCCCCTCCCCACACTGCCCAGGAAGGCAGGCAGCCTGGGCCTCTCTGTGAGCCCAGCCTCAGGAATGGGGCCTGGAGCTGTTGGAGATAAGGCCTCCCAGGCTCCCAGCCAGTCGGATGCAGGGCCCTTCCAGGCAGGCTGTGCCTGGGCTCCGCCCTTCCTTACGGTGGAGGCCTCACAGGAGGAGGGGCCGGGACAGGCCTCTGTGGGCCCCATGAGGTGGGGGCAGGCATCCTGTTGTGTGTGGGACATACAGTAGGTGTGCAGGCCGTGGGCAGGGCACGTGCCCCCCATCCACAGGCTCCCAGCTGGTACTGTCCCCCAAGTGGGGAGGGCCCCAGGGAGGGGCAGAAGTGACCCCAGAGGGCACCTGACTCAGGACACCCAGTCCTGCTCCGAGGTAAGGGCAGGGCCCCCTCCCTCAGACATGCAAGCCTGGCCACGGGCAGCTGGTGCTCCGCCCAGCACAAAGAAGTGGCCGTGTCAGTGGTGGGGCCAGTGAGGCCACGGCCTGGGGTCCCAGCCCTCAGGAGCCAGCGTGGACCAGGCTTTGGAGCTAGGGCCAGTCTTGTGATGGGGTCCCAGCCCTGGCGAGTTGGCCAGCCTGTCCCCAAGTCCTTCCCTCCCAGGCGGACATCTGTGCACAGCGCCTGCAGGTGACAGGGACACCTCCCCTTTCCCGCATCCCCAGGCCCTCCTTTAGTCGGGGCTCACAGGCACCTCCCAAATTCAGCATGGGACTCTCCCCAGCTACGCCCCGCACTGGATCTCTCTGCCAGGCGCTGTCCTGGCCCCATCACTCCCAGGGCCTCTGTTTCTCCTCCAAGGCAGGGTGGGACCCTGCCAGCCCCATCCAGGCAGCCCTCAGCAGCCCTTAACCCCACCCCCACCTCCCCATAGGGTCCCCAGGCCTCCCCAGTTTAGTCTGGTTAATTCCTCCACACCCCAGCAGCTGGGGGGTGCCCAACATGTCACAGTCCCCAACCCTTAGCACCTTCCACAAGCCTCCCCTCTCTTGGCCACTCCCACTGGCCTCGTCCCCGGGTCCTGCCCCACCCGCAGCCCTGCATGCCAAGGAGCGAATGGAGAGGAAGGGAGAGGAGGGGGCTCGACTGGCCCCAGTGCTGGGAGGGTCGCACGCTGCCAGCCCAGGTCCCACTGTGGGTGGGACCCGGAGCAGCTGGGAGCCCCAGCCTCTTCCTCTACACCCAGGGTCAGGCTTCCCAGCAGCCGGGGCCGCCCCCTCCCCACTGAGAGGTGGGTCACAGCCCAGAAACCCTCCACCCAGGGGGCCTGCCTGGTCTCCATGGTGACCAGACACCACCGGATGGAGCCGACGGAGGCCAGGCCCCAGTGGAAGAGGAAGGTGCAGCTCCCCTCTGCCAAGCTGTGCCCTGGTAGGAGAGGGGTGCTCTGAGGCAGGGAACTCCTCTCCATTCTAGCTGGGAACACTGAAGCCCCGCCTGCTAGCACAGCAGGTCCTGCAGCAACTGAACTGCCCAGCTGCAGCCTGTCCCCTCAGGGGTGCCCACTCTGCTTGGAGGCAGGAGAAAGGTGGGCAGGGCTGGAGGGAGGAGCAAGAGCAAAGGCACCCTACCAGGGGACCAGCAGGGGTGTGGCGGCCCAGGAGCCTGCAGGGCCCGCCCCCCCACCCGCATCCAGCACCGCAGGTCCCCACAACCTTGGCTCCCACCCCTGTGCTATTCCCCGCCCCACCCCACCGCCGGCCCCGCCTCCCTCCCCGGCCCCACCCACCTTCATCAGCACCGACTCGCTGAGCTTCTCACGGTTGACGATCTTGATGGCCACCTTCTGGCAGGTGACGCAGTGAACCCCCAGCTTCACCAGACCTGCGGGAGAGAAGCAGCCGCGCTCAGACCCACCCAGGGTGCCTGCAGCGAGCACCCAGCCGGACAGTGCAGGTTGGGGGCCTCCTCCCACGTCCTGGACAGCAGGGGTCCCACCCGCTCCAGGGCCGGAGGCCCCTGCCCGCCTGGGTCGCTGTCCAGAACAGCTCAGTGCTGGCGTCACGCTGCCCCTGCAAAGCTGTGTCTTCCCTCCACGCCGGCCCTTTGGGCTTCTCAGGTCTCTGTGGCCCCCCTCGCCCTCTCCCCATCCCAAGGCACCCAAATCCCCTCCCTTCAGCCTTCAGCCACCCTCAGCTGGGAGCCAGGGTGCCCTCGAGGTGCCTGCCTGGCCCAAGAAGGCTGTCCCCCGCACACCCTGCCGAGACCCCCACCTGCAGCCTTCTGCAGAGATACCTCAGCCGCAGCCCTCCGCCGAGACCCCCACCGACACCCCTCCTCCGCCGAGACCCCCACCGGCACCCCTCCTCCGCCGAGACCCCCACCGGCACCCCTCCTCCGCCGAGACCCCCACCGGCACCCCTCCTCCGCCGAGACCCCCACCGGCACCCCTCCTCCGCCGAGACCCCCACCGGCACCCCTCCTCCGCCGAGACCCCCACCGGCACCCCTCCTCCGCCGAGACCCCCACCGGCACCCCTCCTCCGCCGAGACCCCCACCGGCACCCCTCCTCCGCCGAGACCCCCACCGGCACCCCTCCTCCGCCGAGACCCCCACCGGCACCCCTCCTCCGCCGAGACCCCCACCGGCACCCCTCCTCCGCCGAGACCCCCACCGGCACCCCTCCTCCGCTGAGACCCCCACCGGCACCCCTCCTCTGCTGAGATGCTCTGCACCTGAGCCCCGGCCCTGTGTTCACCCCAGGACACCAGGACGGGCCCCAGGTAGCTCCCCAGGCAGCACTGCCCTAGACCTCCACGGCCCGGCAGCCCCTTCCTTCCCAGACCCACCTAAAAGGCAGGCAGGGTGCTCTGGGAATGTGCCTTGGCTGGGCACACGGTCCCGGTCCCCCTCCGCGCCTCGGCCCACCCTCCCTTTCTCCTCTCCCCACTCTTTTCACAGCCAGATACTTGCCCCTGCCCAGGACAGCCCGGCCACACCCCTGAGCCCCACCTGGCCTGAGCTGTGGCCTTGACACTGGAGATGCCCCCAGGAGCCCACAACCCAGGCCCTTTCCTACCATCAAAGGTCCTCAGGCGCACTCATGTGCCATTCCATGTTGGGGCATGTTGGAACCATGGGGGGATCAGGTTATCACAGGGGACCCCAATCCTAGGTGCGCCCAGACACCCAGAGCCGGCCCAGGTTATCACGGGGACCCCACTCCTAGGTGCCCCCAGACACCCAGAGCCGGCCCAGGTTATCACAGAGGACCCCACTCCTGGGTGCCCCCAGACACCCAGAGCCGGCCCAGGTTATCACAGGGGACCCCACTCCTGGGTGCCCCCAGACACCCAGAGCCGGCCCAGGTTATCACAGGGGACCCCACTCCTGGGTGCGCCGACACCCAGAGCCGGCCCAGGTTATCACAGGGGACCCCACTCCTAGGTGCCCCCAGACACGCAGATCCTGGCCCATATTATCACAGGGGACCCCACTCCTAGGTGCCCCCAGACACGCAGAGCCGGCCCATATTATCACAGGGGACCCCACTCCTAGGTGCCCCCAGACACGCAGAGCCGGCCCAGGTTATCACAGGGGACCCCACTCCTAGGTGCGCCCAGACACCCAGATCCTGGCTGGCATTCCCACTGGGCTTTAGTGGCCGCCATCCTTCCGTGCACGCGCTGTGCTCAAATTTCACCCAGACTCGGCCTCGCCCTGTTGACCCGCGGGACGTCACCGGTGTTTACTGACCGTGTGGGTGTGCTCTGGGCTCCTTTCCTGTTCTCGTTTTTATCCTGGTGCACGCACATGTGTGCATTTTCTTACCAATTTGCAAGAGCCCTTTGATTTTTTTGGGAAATTAATCCTTTGTCTCACGCGTCAAACCTCCATTCCCCCGGCCCCATCGGCTTTTAGCTTTATTTTGCCCTTTCCGTCAGTTTCATCTGTGTGGCGTCACGCCTGGATCTGGGTGAGCCCAGGCCGGGTGGGGGACCCAGGACCTTGCCGAAGAAGCGGGCTTCCCCAGAGGCAGGGGGAGCTGCAGGCCGGGCAGTGACACAGGCTGGGCACAGAGGGGAGCCCAGTGCCAGGGGTGGGGGGTGGCCTCGGCAGGGTGTGCTCATGGAGGAAGAGCTGCTTCTCCCTGAAGGCCTTTGATCCAGCACAAGGCTTGTGATTCGCTCAGCCGGAGGAGCACTCAGGAGGGCCTAGAGCCCTTCATCCATAATCCAGGGCGGCTGGAGGCGCCCACAGCGCATCCCTCCCCAGGCACGAGGCTGGCCTGCATCCCGGGGCAGGGGTCCCTGCAGGAAGGACTCAGCCCCACACACGGAAAGGAGCAAGAGCTCAATGTCCCCCAAACCTGGCTGCAAGGCTAAGGCGTGGTCCGTGACAAAAGCCTCTGGTCCGAAGGGCATGGAGCCCCTAAAAACCCTCAGGACAAACTCCTGGGAGGATGCAGCCGGAGGCCAAGACAGAGGCTCTCAAAGGAGGGAGGAAATGACCCAGAAATGCCCAGCATGAGGCACCCTCAGGAGACCCCAAAGGATGAAGGGCCCACACCCTGCCCCAGGGCATCATGAGGGTGCAGGGGTGAAGCAGGAGGGAGGCTGTGGTCAAAGCCCCCAAGGGCACCGGGACAGCATTCCCAGGGTAGGTGGCGAAGCCCTGGTGGCTCTGCATTTTCACAAAAGATGGCCCCAAACAGGAGGGGAGTCATTAGGGCACAGCCACCAAGGGCACAGGGCAGCTGTTAGACAGTGGCAAAACCTGACCAGACCGCAGAAGACGCTCACTGCTGAGCACAGTGGCAAAACCTGACCAGACCGCAGAAGAGGCTCACTGCTGAGCACAGTGGCAAAACCTGACCAGACCGCAGAAGACGCTCACTGCTGAGCACAGTGGCAAAACCTGACCAGACCGCAGAAGACGCTCACTGCTGAGCACAGTGGCAAAACCTGACCAGACCGCAGAAGACGCTCACTGCTGAGCACAGTGGCAAAACCTGACCAGACCGCAGAAGACGCTCACTGCTGAGCACAGTGGCAAAACCTGACCAGACCGCAGAAGACGCTCACTGCTGGGCACAGTGGCAAAACCTGACCAGACCGCAGAAGACGCTCACTGCTGGGCACAGTGGCAAAACCTGACCAGACCGCAGAAGACGCTCACTGCTGGGCACAGTGGCAAAACCTGACCAGACCGCAGAAGACGCTCACTGCTGGGCACAGTGGCAAAACCTGACCAGACCGCAGAAGACGCTCACTGCTGGGCACAGTGGCAAAACCTGACCAGACCGCAGAAGACGCTCACTGCTGGGCACAGTGGCAAAACCTGACCAGACCGCAGAAGACGCTCACTGCTGGGCACAGTGGCAAAACCTGACCAGACCGCAGAAGACGCTCACTGCTGAGCACAGTGGCAAAACCTGACCAGACCGCAGAAGACGCTCACTGCTGAGCACAGTGGCAAAACCTGACCAGACCGCAGAAGACGCTCACTGCTGAGCACAGTGGCAAAACCTGACCAGACCGCAGAAGACGCTCACTGCTGGGCACAGTGGCAAAACCTGACCAGACCGCAGAAGACGCTCACTGCTGGGCACAGTGGCAAAACCTGACCAGACCGCAGAAGACGCTCACTGCTGGGCACAGTGGCAAAACCTGACCAGACCCCGCAGAAGACGCTCACTGCTGAGCACAGTGGCAAAACCTGACCAGACCGCAGAAGACGCTCACTGCTGAGCACAGTGGCAAAACCTGACCAGACCGCAGAAGACGCTCACTGCTGAGCACAGTGGCAAAACCTGACCAGACCGCAGAAGACGCTCACTGCTGAGCACAGTGGCAAAACCTGACCAGACCGCAGAAGACGCTCACTGCTGGGCACAGTGGCAAAACCTGACCAGACCGCAGAAGACGCTCACTGCTGGGCACAGTGGCAAAACCTGACCAGACCGCAGAAGACGCTCACTGCTGGGCACAGTGGCAAAACCTGACCAGACCCCGCAGAAGACGCTCACTGCTGAGCACAGTGGCAAAACCTGACCAGACCGCAGAAGACGCTCACTGCTGAGCACAGTGGCAAAACCTGACCAGACCGCAGAAGACGCTCACTGCTGAGCACAGTGGCAAAACCTGACCAGACCCCGCAGAAGACGCTCACTGCTGAGCACAGTGGCAAAACCTGACCAGACCGCAGAAGACGCTCACTGCTGAGCACAGTGGCAAAACCTGACCAGACCGCAGAAGACGCTCACTGCTGGGCACAGTGGCAAAACCTGACCAGACCGCAGAAGACGCTCACTGCTGGGCACAGTGGCAAAACCTGACCAGACCGCAGAAGACGCTCACTGCTGGGCACAGTGGCAAAACCTGACCAGACCGCAGAAGACGCTCACTGCTGGGCACAGTGGCAAAACCTGACCAGACCGCAGAAGACGCTCACTGCTGGGCACAGTGGCAAAACCTGACCAGACCGCAGAAGACGCTCACTGCTGAGCACAGTGGCAAAACCTGACCAGACCGCAGAAGACGCTCACTGCTGAGCACAGTGGCAAAACCTGACCAGACCGCAGAAGACGCTCACTGCTGAGCACAGTGGCAAAACCTGACCAGACCGCAGAAGACGCTCACTGCTGAGCACAGTGGCAAAACCTGACCAGACCGCAGAAGACGCTCACTGCTGGGCACAGTGGCAAAACCTGACCAGACCGCAGAAGACGCTCACTGCTGGGCACAGTGGCAAAACCTGACCAGACCGCAGAAGACGCTCACTGCTGGGCACAGTGGCAAAACCTGACCAGACCCCGCAGAAGACGCTCACTGCTGAGCACAGTGGCAAAACCTGACCAGACCGCAGAAGACGCTCACTGCTGAGCACAGTGGCAAAACCTGACCAGACCGCAGAAGACGCTCACTGCTGAGCACAGTGGCAAAACCTGACCAGACCGCAGAAGACGCTCACTGCTGAGCACAGTGGCAAAACCTGACCAGACCGCAGAAGACGCTCACTGCTGGGCACAGTGGCAAAACCTGACCAGACCGCAGAAGACGCTCACTGCTGGGCACAGTGGCAAAACCTGACCAGACCGCAGAAGACGCTCACTGCTGGGCACAGTGGCAAAACCTGACCAGACCCCGCAGAAGACGCTCACTGCTGAGCACAGTGGCAAAACCTGACCAGACCGCAGAAGACGCTCACTGCTGAGCACAGTGGCAAAACCTGACCAGACCGCAGAAGACGCTCACTGCTGAGCACAGTGGCAAAACCTGACCAGACCCCGCAGAAGACGCTCACTGCTGAGCACAGTGGCAAAACCTGACCAGACCGCAGAAGACGCTCACTGCTGAGCACAGTGGCAAAACCTGACCAGACCGCAGAAGACGCTCACTGCTGGGCACAGTGGCAAAACCTGACCAGACCGCAGAAGACGCTCACTGCTGGGCACAGTGGCAAAACCTGACCAGACCGCAGAAGACGCTCACTGCTGGGCACAGTGGCAAAACCTGACCAGACCGCAGAAGACGCTCACTGCTGGGCACAGTGGCAAAACCTGACCAGACCGCAGAAGACGCTCACTGCTGGGCACAGTGGCAAAACCTGACCAGACCGCAGAAGACGCTCACTGCTGAGCACAGTGGCAAAACCTGACCAGACCGCAGAAGACGCTCACTGCTGAGCACAGTGGCAAAACCTGACCAGACCGCAGAAGACGCTCACTGCTGAGCACAGTGGCAAAACCTGACCAGACCGCAGAAGACGCTCACTGCTGGGCACAGTGGCAAAACCTGACCAGACCGCAGAAGACGCTCACTGCTGGGCACAGTGGCAAAACCTGACCAGACCGCAGAAGACGCTCACTGCTGAGCACAGTGGCAAAACCTGACCAGACCGCAGAAGACGCTCACTGCTGAGCACAGTGGCAAAACCTGACCAGACCCCGCAGAAGACGCTCACTGCTGAGCACAGTGGCAAAACCTGACCAGACCGCAGAAGACGCTCACTGCTGAGCACAGTGGCAAAACCTGACCAGACCGCAGAAGACGCTCACTGCTGAGCACAGTGGCAAAACCTGACCAGACCGCAGAAGACGCTCACTGCTGAGCACAGTGGCAAAACCTGACCAGACCGCAGAAGACGCTCACTGCTGAGCACAGTGGCAAAACCTGACCAGACCGCAGAAGACGCTCACTGCTGAGCACAGTGGCAAAACCTGACCAGACCGCAGAAGACGCTCACTGCTGAGCACAGTGGCAAAACCTGACCAGACCGCAGAAGACGCTCACTGCTGAGCACAGTGGCAAAACCTGACCAGACCGCAGAAGACGCTCACTGCTGAGCACAGTGGCAAAACCTGACCAGACCGCAGAAGACGCTCACTGCTGGGCACAGCAGGATGCTGGCGACAGAGCAGCAGGGCCCTGGGCAGGGACAGCACGTGTGGCCACGCACACAGACATGCACCTGTGTACACCCCTAGGTGTGTGCATACCTCCATGCGTGCACACCCCTGTGCCTACACTCAGTGCACACACACCCATGTGCACACACCCACACACCGAGTGCACATGCACCCAGGACACACACCTGTGCGCACACGCACACACACCCAGGACACACGCCCAGTGCACACACCCACACGAGTGCACACACACCTGTGCACATGCATCCAGGACACACCCATGGGCACACGCCCACACACCGCGTGCACACACACCCATGCACACGCGCATGCACCCAGGACACACACCCGTGCACACACACCCATGCACACGTGCACACACACCCAGTGCACACACCCACACACCGAGTGCACACATGCACGCACCCAGGACACACACCCATGCACACACACCTGTGTACACATGTGCATGCACCCAGGACACACCCGTGTACACACACCCATGCACACACACCCAGGACACACCCAGTGCACACGCCCACACGCCAAGGGCACACACCCGTGCACACACACGCACCCAGTACACACCTCCAGTGCACACAAGCACCCAGTGCACACCCCCAGTAACCCGTGTGCACACACCCATGCACACACAGTACGCACGCCTGTACACACACCCATGCATGTACACACGACTGCATACATACACCCCAGTGCACATGCACACACACCCGCAGTGCACACACACTCGTGCACATACCATCATGCACACATACGTACAAACATGCACACTCCCAGTGTGCACACACATCCTTGAATGACAGGAGCCAAAAGGTGTGGAGAGCACAATCCTGCCTCCAGAAAAGGAAAGAAAGTGGGGACTGAAAATGGGAGGGAGCCTGACAACCACCTGGGCCAACTTTATTGAAAGGACACTGCTGGGCCCAGCACAAATCAGGACAGCCAAGTCTCGGAGCACTGGCCTTGCTCCAGGCGCTGCTTTGAGTGGGGCCCCTTCACCCCTATTTCACAGATGAGGAAACAGTGGTTCCATCCCCTGCCAGCACATGTGGCTCAGAAGGGCTGTGAGGACAGTGGACCACATGGAAGAAGGCATTCCTGGCAAGCACCCACCTTCCCAGAGGAGGTTACGGAGGGGATGGAGCCACTGGGGGTGGGCCTGCCGCATCCATAGATCCTGCCCACGTCCTTGAGGCTGGAGTCTGGGGGCTGCAGGTGGCCTCTCAAATAGCAACAGAGTCACAGAGGAGCCACAGCCACCAAGAGCCTCCTGCCTATGCTCAGGAGCCTCGCAGTGGCTCAGGTAAAGGCAGCCACGACGCAGCAGGCTGGGATGTAGGAGAGCCGTCCCCAGCTGCATCCTGGAGCTCTGGTCACTCCTCCTGCCTCCATCTTCTTTCACTTGCTGCCCCTATGCCTAGAAAGTCCTTTCCCCATTACTGTACTCTGAAGACTCCTACACACTCCTCAGAGCCCAGCATAGAGGCGTCCCTCCTAGGTAAAGCTTCCCTGGGGTCCTAGGCAGCAGTGCAGGCCTCTGCGTCCTGGTATCCCTCAGCTCCGAGTTTCTCTGAGCAGAATGTTTGGGTTATGAGCAGTTTTGCCACTTTCTGGAGGCAGGGAGTGGGGAGTGTGCTGTGAGAGGCCCTCCTGACTGGGCCGTAGCCTGGAGGATGGGGGACTGGAAGCTGGAGCGGGGAAGCCCAGGGCCACCCTTCATCATCTCCCCCTGCAACTCACTGTGGCTTATTTTCCAATTGAGAGTCCATCTCTAATTGCTGTCTTTACACAAACACAGGCTTGGCTGTCGAGAGGGAAGGCACGCAGTGCCACAGATCACTGCCCAGGGCCCTGAGGGGGCAGGCGGTGCACAGCAGCTCACGCCAGGCCCCATTTCTGTGGGAGCGTGTGCCGGCGGGTGCCCAAGAGTGCTGGGTCTCCCTGCGCCCCCCACAGGGAAGGGCCTGGGCATGTGGAGCCCCAGGGCATCCCAGGGAAGCCACGGGTATGCCACGAGGATGCTGGGCCTCAGGGAGCAGACTAGCACGTTAACACGGGTGCCCCCAGGTGCTCCTGAGCCGGCCAGGAGAGTCAAAGGGAGCCCCAGGACTACCCTGCACGTGGTATCTGAGAGCAGGCCCTGACTCAAGTCCCAGGCTGGCCAAGAAGTGAGGGGCCTTCTCCTGCCTGGGCCGGGCGAGGCAGCAGGACAGCCCCTGCCCCTGCACTCAGCTACCCAGGAGGACTGGCAGGCAGGGTTGTGCCAGGAGGGCTGGCACTTTCTGGAGGGGCAGTGAGGGCTCAGTTCTGCAGCTCTGCCGGCAGCGCCCTGCCCCCAGGAAGCCAGTGGGGCTGTGGGGAGAGAGGGGATGGGGGGCTGCAGGTCCAGGAGCCAAGCCAGCCTAGGGCTGGACGGGCTGCTCTTTAGTTTGGGTAGGGGGCCCTGGGGCAGGTGGCAGTGTTGGCACTGGGGAAGGACCCCGCGCAGCCCCCTCACCGCCCCGGCACGCACCAGACTAAAGTTGCGCAGCAGGTATGGGGACAGCCTGGGGTGCCGCCCCCCCATCTCCCGCATGCAGACCCAGGGGGCTTCCCACCAGGCGGAGTGGTCCCGTTTCATAGACTTGCCTGCTGCTGGCCACTACAGGGCCCTCCCCACATGCACTTGGCTGAGGGATCCTGAGCTCCTCCCCAGCAGCCCCGCCACATCCTGTGTCTGCACCCCCAGGTCCTCTCTGCTCCCCACCACGTGGCTGCTGGCCCATCTGTTGCCCCCACCCCCGTTGCCAGCAACCACCTCCTGGAGGGAGGACACCTCACAGGTGAGAGTCACACAGAAAAGACACGGGGCACCTTCACCCAGGGCCAGGCAGGAGTCACACAGAGAAGACACGCGGCACCTTCACCCAGGGCCTCTGCAAGTTCCCAGCAACCCAGGGCCTTCCCTGCACACTCTACATTTGCGGGGACAGACCCAGGCTCGAGACCGAGATTTGCCAGGACTGGGCACCCCCAAGGGCTACATGTGTCCTCCCCGGCGTGCTCTGTCTCCTGCGGAGTCTGAAAGGATTAAAGTGACAGTTCAAGCCTCTTCTTTCCCCTGGAGGGGCCGTCTCAGGTATTTACACCCCACAGATCCAAGCCCAGTCGCCAGCAGAGCACGCCCCACACACATCCCCAGAGCACGCCCCACACACATCCCCAGAGCACGCCCCACACACATCCCCGGAGCACGCCCCACACACATCCCCGGAGCACGCCCCACACACATCCCCAGTGCCCGCTGTGTGCCAGGCCCCCATCCAGGCCCTGATGGCCACGTGGCCCTGCCCGTCCC
The DNA here is from genome assembly GCF_000001405.40 of Homo sapiens. Lineage (NCBI taxonomy): Eukaryota > Metazoa > Chordata > Mammalia > Primates > Hominidae > Homo > Homo sapiens. The sequence continues at coordinate 1,426,155 of NC_000011.10, read as the reverse complement.
ATGCAGCTGGGTGCCCAGAGCACCCAAGGCCCCACAGGGACCGGTGTGTGCTGGTGTTTGCTTTCCTGAATGGGCGCGCACAGGCTAGGAGCCAGGGGCCAGCCCACCGTCCAGAGCACTGGGTTTAGGGGGAAGGCTGGACAGGTGAGGTGTGCTCACCGTGGCACCACACCGGACAGCAGAACCTCAGCCCTCCCCAGCCATGAGGCCGCAAATCCGCTCTCCAGAGGCCTGAGGCACTGGCCCCGGGGCAGGTGTACCCAGGAAACTCAGCGTTCCCCCCACGCCCTCCCCTGCCCCACACCTCTTCCCATCTCCACAGTGCACATCTAGTGCCACGGCCTGGAGTGCCACCTGGGGACCCTGTCGGGTGCCTGCTACCCACCCTCGCCCAGAAGGGGGTGGGTTCCCAAAGAAAGGACGGGGGCAGCTCATCTACCCCAAGGCCAGTGGAGAGGACACAGAGTGGGAGACGAGCGGGGGTGTGGGGGGCTCGGGATGGGCTGCTGACCTCGGTGCTGAATGCGTCCCCTGTAGGTGAAGAGCCTCCCGTGGCCCCTGGCCCAGGCTGCACGGAGGAAACGTCCTGAGGGGGTGGGGTCATTGGACAGGCCTGCCCTGCCTCCACCCCACTGAGGCGGCTCCCAGAGACCAGGACAGGTGACAACCTGCCCCGTCGCTGTCACCAACCCGCACCTCTGGGACCAAGCGGGCCTCATCCACAGACCACAAGGACACCACAGCTTCCTCCTGGACTCTGGGGAGCTCAGTGGGCATGTCTGGCAGCAGTGCCCTGCAGGGCGTCCACGTGCTGAGGACCCGAGGCCCCCACACAGCCTGCGGGACCCCCCAGGAAGCAGCCCCTCCAGCCCAGCCTGCAGATCAGGCAGCCCTGGGTGACGCCTTCACCAGAGCCACCTGAGAGGCCTTAAGCCGAAGCCACCTGCTGAGTGGCTTGGACTGATGACCCGGGGAGCTGAGACTCCAAGTGCTGAGAGCGCCGGGACCGACCGGCCACGCAGCGCAGGACGATGCAGACGTCAGGCTTCCCATCACGGGCCTCGGGGCAGCACTCAGGACCAGGGTCCGAGTCCCCACGCCTGGCAGGAACAGCCTCGCTGAGTGGGAAACACGTGGCGTCACAGCAGGGCCTGGGCGCCAATCCCACTGACCCCGCGGTCTCTGACAAGGGCCCCAGATTCTTTGCCCATGGAGGCGGGGAGAACACCCCTCCCGCCAGCACTCTGGGCCCACGAGGTGCTGTGTGTGAGCCCCAGGAAGGGGAAGCATGCAGGCCAGGGGGTCCTGCTCCACCCCCGCAACCTGCCCCCCCGCCAGTAGGTCCCAGGGAGCCCACCTGGCAGAGGCCCAGGTCCAGAGCCCCCAGCAGGCTCCACAGGGCCCTGCCTGGCCCCCCCGACTCCCTCTGTCCAAACAGTCCCAACGGGTCCTGAGCCTGGGCCTCCCAGGCCAGGATGGAGGGTGAAGCACGGGAGGAATGGCCTGTTGGCTGGATGCAGATGGAGGGCAGGGCAGCAGGTGTGTGGCTGTCCCGTCCTGCCGGGGCACAAAGCAGCCCAGGTCCTGGCGAAGGGTCCTGGACCCTTCTCCTTTAGATGTTGGGGGAGTTCCTGCCACTTGGCCCCACCCCAGTGAAGGGGGTCCCTCACCTATCCCCAACTCCCACACTGGTCACACAGCCTCCACTGTCTGCCTGGAGGGATTCTGAGGGCAGGTGGGGGCCACCCCGGCAGGACACCTTGTCCCCACCTGGCTCTCCCTGTCCTTCTTCCTTTTGCCCCCACACTCAGACCCACCCAGTGCTGGGGCACCCCCCACATGAGGCAGTAGGGGGTGAGGGCCTCGCAGGTGGACACCCAGCAGAGACCTCCCTCCGCCTGGCCGGCAGGACCCACTGTCACTCCAGGGGAATGGTGGGGCTCCCCGGGGCTCACGGAGCAGTTCCGGAGGCCACAGGGGTGCCGAGGGGTCCACCATGGCCCCACATCACAGCTGGAGGATGTGGGGGTGGAATGGTGACCCCCAAAAGATGTGTGTCCCAGTGCCTGGGGCGCATGAATGTGACCCGACTTGGAAAAACAGCCTCTGCAGAGGTTTCTAAGTTATGGATCTCAATATAACATAGCCCCAGATTTGGGGTGGACACTAAACCCAACTACCAGCCTTCCTATCAGAGAAAGGCCGAGGAAAGTGTGGCTGGGGACACACGGGGTGGGATGGGGGCGCCACGTGAGGGTGAAAGCAAGATGGGGGTGGGGGAGCACTTCTGCAGGCCCAGGGGCACCGGGAACACTCAGCGGGGGAGGCCTGGGGCACCCGGAACGCCCAGCGGGGGAGGCCTGGGGCACCCGGAACGCCCAGCGGGGGAGGCCTGGGGCACCCGGAACGCCCAGCGGGGGAGGCCTGGGGCACCCGGAACGCCCAGCGGGGGAGGCCTGGGGCACCCGGAACGCCCAGCGGGGGAGGCTTGGGGCAGGGCTTCCTTGAGGCCTTGGAAGAGCCAGCCCACCCTGGACCTTGGACTTCCCGCCTCCAGAATGTGAAAGAGCACGTCTCTGCTGTTCGGTGACCGGGTCTGAGGAGCCCCAGGGAGCTCGCGAGTGCCGTCCTCTGCTCACACGACTGTGGGCCGCATCCTTCATCATGAACCTCCTAAGGCACCTCAAATTCCAGAACCACTGTGGCCACAGCACACCCCTACCCCTCCCACAGTCTCAGAACTTCTCCCCACACACACTCTCCACGTGCCTGAACCTGGCCAGAGGCCTCGGCTCCTAACTGAAGGCTCTGCACTGAAGTATTTACGAGGTCTCGAACTCACCCCTAGCCTCAAGACGCTAAGGACAGGACAGTGGGGAGGGTCCCTGGTTCTGCCGTTTCTGAAGCCTGGACGGCCACGACCCCACCGTCTCCACCACGTACCCCACAAGGCACCATGTCCCCCACGAGGCACCGCATCCCCCACGAGGCACCGCTCTGGGGGAGGCCCTGAGGTACATGGAGGCACAGCTCTTGGGGAGGTCCTGGGTGCATGGGGCCTGGAGGTACCTGGACATTAACCCTCCGGGCTGCTGTCTGGCTGAGCTAAGGCTCCCAAGCTGCATTGCCCTCCCCTTGATCTTCGCAAAGCTCTGTTCCCTTTCCCAGGAGGGGACACAGACACCTGAGGAGCTCAGAAACCCAGGTCTGAGAGACCTCGAGGTCCATCCTCCGGACACCACATCACCAGGTTGGGACTGGCTGTGGGGCTTGCTGGGTGGGCAGCGGCCCCCAGCTGGGGCCAGCACAAGCTTCATCTCCGTCACCCCCTCGGTCCTGGCTTGGGGAGTGGACATGGCGCTGGGCAAACAGCTGGCAAAACTGAGACTCTGGAGGAAGTGTGTCCAGTTCCCCACAGGCAGCCGAGCCTTGGACGGTCAGGCCTGCCTGCCTGTGGGGTCGCCAGAGCTCTTCCAGCACCATGGACAGGACTGTCAGGGAGGAGTGTCCTTGGAAGCAGGTCTTCAGCTCCTCAGAGGCCCTGCCCTGGCCACACCTTTGTCAAGGCCACCCAGTGGGGACTGTCAGCCATGCATCCTCGGGGTGGGGGCACTGTAGCAACTGCAAACTCAGGAGGTGCACAGGCCCCTCTGCACCGTCCCCACAGCTCCTCACTCGCCAGGGCCCACCGCAGAGCCTCCGGCATCCTGAGCCAGCCTCGGCCCCATAAGCTGCTCCCCTTGTGGTCAGCACACCTTCCCCAGCAATACAGGGACCCCCACCCCTCCCCAGAGCACCCCATGGGTGGCACACGGCAGACAGGGTGGAGGAGCGGCTGGAGGAGGGCAGGCCCCACCTGGGACTCTGCACACACAGGGTACCAAACAGCTCAGGAGGGGGCTGGGGGCTGTGAGCTGCGATGAGGCCTGGCCAGCCCCCGCCCCCAATCTACTTGGCTCACCCCTGATCATCCACCTGCATGCTCCCGTGAGGGGCTCATGGGGGGCCCACAGCTGGGGCTGGGCTGGGCTGGGCTCTCACCCGACACACAGTTGGCTCTGACCCCGCCTCGAATACACCCGATGATGCAGCCCAGGCACGGGCGCCACCCTCCCCCCGTGGGGCACCCCAACCTCAGGCTAGACCCCCTGCAGGCCCAGTGACACCCCCAGCCTGCCCCGACCCCACCCCCACCTGCCCCCTCTCTCCCGGGCCCTGGTCAGGCCGCCGTGCTCACATCTCCAGCAGAGACCCCGGTGCTGGGCCGGCAGGTTTGCTCCCCAGGCTGGGGGTTCTCCCACCTGCCCCGAGAGGGGCCTCTGAAGTTGCCACAGACATTGAAGCCTTGTTCCTTCATTAGCACCCAGGCCCTTGCTCCCCGACCCTTCGGCCTCCTCAGTCTGGGGGCACCCAGGCTCTATGCACCCCCACCCTGCACACCCACGGTAACAGCCCCGACACAGGAGCTGGGGCAGGGGGCAGGAAGGAGCGAGGCCCTCAGCACACGCTCAGAACATCAATAGATCCCACAGCCTCCACCGCCCACCAGTGCCAGGTGCAGAGGGAAGGGGCGGCGCATCTCTTGGGAGACAACTGCTCACGTTGGAAAAGAACCTCTCTAGTTAAATTCGTGCCACCCTGAAGCATTTCACACGCACTGCAGCCGCTCCGCTGCCTCTGCCTGGCTCCCGCCTCCTAACCCAGCACCCAAACAAAGGTGGGATGCAGCTCCCACTGGGGACCAGATTGTGGAGGAGGAAGCAGCTTCCCAGCCCTAGGCTGTTCCAGGATCCAGGTCCCTTCCAAGCAGAGGCAGGCATCTCTGCAGCCAGAGATGGGCAAGGGTGGGCCTGAGCCAGGGCCAGACTGCAGACGCCTGCCTCCCTCCTGGGTGTGACCCCAGACGTGCCTGGCCTCAGGGGTCTCCTGACACCCCGTCCTGGGGGGTGAAGATTAAATGAGAGCCCCCACACTGTCCCTCCCCTCCGAAGCGCAGCCTGGGACCCAAAGCACAGCCTGGGACTGTACCAGGAGGAGGCCCAGGGTCAGCCAAGCCAGGAGCCCACAGGCAGCCCAAAGATCTGAATCCTAAAGATCTGAGGGTATCACTCTGAGCATCCCAAAGCCCCTCTCTGCTCTGCACCCAGATGAAAGATGTCGGTGGGAGGCCCCAGTCAGGCTCCAGGGTTGAGACCTACTTGCCAGCACCCAGCCAGAGGGCCGAGGGGGCCCTGGGGGGCACAGGCCCCTCCCCATGAGAGGCTCAAGCCAGGCTCTTAAGGTCAGGTGGAAAAACAGGGAGTTGCCGGGCACCTGCTGGATGCCACATGGAGGCTGAGCCCCCAGGACTGCCAGCCCCACCTAGAGCTGAGGACAGGAGTAACCAGAGGAGTCCCCCAGGCAGGCCACAAAGAGGGTGACAGCCAGGGAGGAGGCTGCAGGGAGGAGGTGTATCCCGAGGGGACAGTCTAGGCAGTGGAGGAAGAGGCTGGAGCTGGGGACCAAGGGGGTGGAGATAGGACTTGGGGGAGTCACAGGGGGTCCAGGCAGGGCCTGCATGGAGGGGCCCAGGCCCAGGCTGGCAGACCTCACACTCACCTGTCAAACCTTCCTGAATTAAACAAAAGGGAGCCTGGCCGTGACGGGGGAACCTCTAAACATTCAAGAACCTTCTAGAGGCAGGCAGGCAGAGAAGGCAGGGGGTGGGCCTGGGCCTGCCTGTCTCCAGGGGACCTGGAAAACTGAAAATGTCTGTTAGCCAGAGTGCAGGGCAGGCCTCAGGTGGGGCTGCAGACACCCTGGAGCATCTGCCAAGGGCGTGCACAGGTTGGGACAGCCCTGGCCAGCCTCTCCCCTCTCTGGGCCAACAAGAAGGGTAGTTGGGGTCACACCCAGCAGAGCAGGGGCCGGCCCTGTGGCAAAATCTGTCTCATCCTAACAAGGCCACCCCACTTCCTGCCCATTAGGCCATCACACATGCACACACGCACACATGCACGCACGCACACTTGCATGCATGCACGGACACCGAGCCTCCGGGCAGAGGCCCTGCCTTCCAGAGACTCACACAAGACAACATTCCCTCTTATCCAAGAAAGAGGAGGCTCTGCACTCAACCAGGCTTCCTTGGAGACGAACGACCACGTGCCCGGGTGTGGGAGGAGGCGCGGAGCCTGGAGCAGAATCGGGAGCACCAGTCCTCAGGAAATCAGGATTTCAAACATTCTTGTTTCTGTTTTTTTCGAGATGGAATCTGACTCTGTCGCCCAGGCTGGAGTGCAGGGGCGCCATCTCGGCTTACTGCAATCTCTGCCTCCCAGGTTCAAGTGATTCTCCCACCTCAGCCTCCTGAGCAGCTGGGATTACAGGCGCATGCCACCACCACACACAGCTAATTTTTGTATTTTTAGTAGAGACGGGGTTTCACTATGTTGGCCAGGCTGGTCTCAAACCACAGACCTCAAGTGAGGCCCCGCCATGGCCCCCCAAAGTGCTGGGATTACAGGCGTGAGCCACTGTGTCTGGCCAGAAATGAGAATTTCAAAAATTCTGTTGATTGCACCAGTGTGCTAGGATTTAGTGAGTGGCTGCATCTATAAACAAGGTCTACAAAAACGACTAAGAAACAAAAAAAAGCTCTAAGACATGAAAAATAATAACTGCTAGAATAAGAAACTATTTAAATAAGGACTGAAAAAATGAGAAAATTCCCAGCAAAGCAGAACAAGATAACAGAAAGACATAGAGAGACCACCGACCTGACAGCTCAGTATTTGGAGCTGCCCGGGCAGCCAGCGGCTGGAAACACCACCCAAGAGGGAATCACGTCCCAGGGCCCACAAACACAGCTCAGCGAAGGCCCCCCGGTGCCCAGACTCACACCTGACATGCACCTGCAGAGCCCACAAACACAGCTGAGCAAAGGACCCCCACCCCGCCAGTGCCCAGACTCACACCTGACACGCACCTGCAGAGCCCACAAACACAGCTGAGCAAAGGCCCCCCCCGCCACCAGTGCCCAGACTCACACCTGACACGCACCTGCAGAGCCCACAAACACAGCTGAGCAAAGGCCCACCCTGGTGCCCAGACTCACGCCTGACACGCACCTGTAACTGGGAGCTCCCAGACACTTGCTGCATTCAATCAATCAACCGATCAATCAATTAATCAATCAGGTATTCACTGAGCTTCTATTAGTGACAGGCACTTATGGCACTACAGAAAAAAAAGAAAAAACTTCCCCACCCAGGGGTTCAGTCCCTTGGATATGTGTTAGAGCTGAACAGAAATTTGCTGGAGGGACCCCCAGTCCCAGTCCAGCTGAAGTCCTGTTTGGATCTGGCTGAGCAGCCCCCCACATGCCCAACACAGGCAGGGAGCCCCTCCAGGATGACAGCTCCTACTTCAGTCTGAACTGCTGCTCTAAATAAACAACATGCAGTATCCAACAAAACATTACAGCGTATGCAAAGAGGTGGGGAAATGGGACCCCCTCCAAAGAGAAGAAACAGCCAACAGAAGCAGGACACAGTGTGACCCACTCTCAAGAGAAGAAACAGCCAACAGAAGCAGGACACAGGTGACCCACTCTCAAGAGAAGAAACAGCCAACAGAAGCAGGACACAGGTGACCCACTCTCAAGAGAAGAAACAGCCCACAGAAGCAGGACACAGTGTGACCCACTCTCAAGAGAAGAAACAGCCAACAGAAGCAGGACACAGTGTGACCCACTCTCAAGAGAAGAAACAGCCAACAGAAGCAGGATACAGGTGACCCACTCTCAAGAGAAGAAACAGACAACAGAAGCAGGACACAGGTGACCCACTCTCAAGAGAAGAAACAGCCAACAGAGAAGCAGGACACAGGTGACCCACTCTCAAGAGAAGAAACAGCCCACAGAAGCAGGACACAGTGTGACCCACTCTCAAGAGAAGAAACAGCCCACAGAAGCAGGACACAGGTGACCCACTCACAAGAGAAGAAACAGCCAACAGAAGCAGGACACAGTGTGACCCACTCTCAAGAGAAGAAACAGCCAACAGAAGCAGGACACAGTGTGACCCACTCTCAAGAGAAGAAACAGCCAACAGAAGCAGGACACAGGAGAACCACTCTCAAGAGAAGAAACTGCCAACAGAAGCAGGACACAGGTGACCCACTCTCAAGAGAAGAAACAGCCAACAGAAGCAGGACACAGGAGAACCACTCTCAAGAGAAGAAACTGCCAACAGAAGCAGGACACAGTGTGACCCACTCTCAAGAGAAGAAACAGCCCACAGAAGCAGGACACAGGTGACCCACTCTCAAGAGAAGAAACAGCCCACAGAAGCAGGACACAGGTGACCCACTCTCAAGAGAAGAAACAGCCAACAGAAGCAGGACACAGTGTGACCCACTCTCAAGAGAAGAAACAGCCAACAGAAGCAGGACACAGTGTGACCCACTCTCAAGAGAAGAAACAGCCAACAGAAGCAGGACACAGTGTGACCCACTCTCAAGAGAAGAAACAGCCAACAGAAGCAGGACACAGGTGACCCACTCTCAAGAGAAGAAACAGCCAACAGAAGCAGGACACAGTGTGACCCACTCTCAAGAGAAGAAACAGCCCACAGAAGCATGACACAGTGTGACCCACTCTCAAGAGAAGAAACAGCCAACAGAAGCAGGACACAGGTGATCTAAATGCTAGAATTTTCAGAAAAGGATAAGATAATATCACACATATATATATTTCATTGGAGAAAAAGATGAACGAAATTAATTCAGTGGATTGGCTGAACAGCAGCGTGGGTACAATAGAAGAACAGTGACCTCAATGACCAGCCAGCAGAAACTATCCTGACAAGCACCAAAGCAAAAAAGGGAGGTGGAGACCTCACAGCATGTCAGGTGCCTATGGAGCCCCCTCATAGTCTAAGGCACTTGTTCCCAGAGTCCCTCAATACAGGAAAGAGCAAATAGGGAAAAGGGCGCATTTTATTTTTATTTTTTTCTGAGATGGAGTCTCGCTTTATCCCCCAGTGTGGAGTGCAGTGGTGCAATCTCAGCTCACCGCAAACTCCACCTCCCAGGCTCAAGCAATTCTCCTGCCTCAGCCTCCCGAGTGGCTGGGATTACAGGTGCCTGCCACTACACCTGGCTAATTTTTGTATTTTTAGTAGAGATGGGGTTTCACCATGTTGGCCAGGCTGGTCTCGAACGCCTGACCTCGTGATCCGCCCTCCTTGACCTCCCAAAGTGTTGGGATTACAGGCATGAGCCACCGCGCCTGGCTGAAGAAGCCACATTTTAAGAGAGAACAATGAAGAATTTCCCCAAATGTACTAAATACATCAGCCCGTGGATCCACGGGGCTCACTGAACCTCAAGCAGGACAGACACCTGGAGGAACACACCAAGGTGGGTCACTGCGAAACACACAAAACCGAAGGATAAAAAGAAAACCTCAAAAGCAGCCAGAGACACACATCATACCCAGGGCCTCAGTGGTGGCTGCCTCTCACCAGCAGAGGACCATGGTGTAGCACCTGCTAAGCACTCAAAGGAAACCCAGAATTCTACATTCAGCAAAAGTATCCTCCAAAACTGAGGCTAAATACAACCGCCGGTAGTTAAATGAAAGCCGGGGGAACGTGTTGGACACAGACGTGTGGGAAGCCCTTCGGTCCGAGGGAGGTGAGCCCAGGCCACAGCCTCAGGGAGAGGTGACGGGCACTGGGAAGGGGGCACATGAGCCTAAAAACCTGTTCTTACAAGAGCATTTCTCGAAGACTGACCCTGCAAAACAGCGGATTTTGCGGACGTGACACCCAGGAAATAGAACACTCAATGCTGCAGTCCACGGGCTGTGTGGCTGGAAGGACGTCCTCACAGGCATCATACTCTGTGCCCACGAGACCCCCCAGCCTCAGGACCCTCCGTACTCTTAAGAGTTACTGACAAAATCAAAGTGCTGTGGTTTGTGTGTTTCTATCCACCAACATTACTGTACTTGAAATTAAAACAGAAATTTTATAAACACATCCCTCCCCCTCCCCTTGCCCTAGCTCGGGTGGCCCCAGGCCCTGGCCATTGCAAAGGTCCCCGTGCACCAGGTGAGCCCTGAGGTTGCCAAGAGCACTAATGAACTTGGTTCAGCTTGCCTGGTTCCAGTTCCCACTGGCAATGGACTTTGAAACTCTCAACTTTTCCCAGTCTGAAAAACCTACATCACAGAAAAGAACTGCCAGGGGCACTCACCTGCCCAAAGCTGGGAGCTCCGGCCTTTACCACAGCTGCCCTCCCAGGGGACAGTGGCCGAGGAGGCCGTGGTGGAGCCCGTGCAACAGAAGGGGCAGCCGCTCCAAGTCCTCTGCTGGGACCAAGTCCTCTGCTGGGACCACCGTGTGGGCAGTGAGCAGGTAATGGGTTCCTCCAAGCCAGTGAATTCTATGAAGGAAAGTGAGGGACCCAAGGGGGCAGAGCAGGCCCCGGGCAGGCAGGGGTGCCAGCTATCCAGCAGGGACCAGGGCTGCCTTTTCTGTGGGGCCTTAAAAAACCCAAATGAGGCTGACTAAAACTGGGTCCAATGAGAAAGTCTGGCAGCTCCTCAAAGTTAAACACAAGCCAGGTGCAGTGGCTCAAGCCTGTAATCTTAGCATGTTGGGAGGCCAAGGCTGCAGTGAGCCACAATCAAATCGCTGCACTCCAGCTGGACAACAGAGTGAGACCCTGTCTCAGAAAAATAAATGAACTAATTTTTTTAAAAAGGTAAAGACAGGGCCAGGCGCAGTGGCTCATGCCTGTAATCCCAGCACTTTGGGAGGCCCAGACGGGCGGATCATGAGGTCAGGAGATCAAGACCATCCTGGCTAACATGGTGAAACCCCCTCTCTACTAAAAATACAAAAAATTAGCCAGGCGTGGTGGTGAGCGCCTGTAGTCCCAGCTACTCAGGAGGCTGAGGCAAGAGAATGGTGTCAACCCTGGAGGCGGAGCTTGCAGTGAGCCGAGATCACGCCACTGCACTCCATCCTGGGCAACAGAGCGAGACTCCATCTCAAAAAAAAAAAAAAAAAAGGTAAAGACAGAATTACCACTCTGAGGTCTATGCTCCCAGGAACTGAGCTCAGGGACCCACGTGGGTACTCACACACACGTCCACAGCGCGCCACTCCTGAGAGCCACAAGGTGGAAGCAGCCACATGTCCACGGCAGATGATAGGCGAACAACGTGGTCTGTCCACACAGGTAAGTGCGTTCAGCCTCAAAAGGAAGGAAACCCCAACAGGGATGACAACAGGGATGGCCCTGAGTACATTCTGCTGTGTGAAGGAAGCCAGACGCAGACGGACGCACAGCATGGGACCAGTGTCTGTGACACGTCCAGAAACGGAAGGCAGGCCACGCTCCCACGGATGGAGGAGGGGCAAGAGAACGTGTGGCGCAGGGTCCCTTGGGGTGGAACATTCTGGAACTAGACAGTGGTGGCCGCGTAGCACCGTGAATGCGCTAACCGTCCCTGAATTGTATGGTTAATTTTATATTATGTGAATTTCATTTTAATTAAAAAAATTCAGTCTACTTTTTATCACCCTACACTAAACAATGTCAGTGATAAAATACATGCCATTTCCAAAACACAAATCTTCCTTGGCCTAAGTTCCAAACAATTGCTGCCTTTGAAGCTGCACCTTAGCATACTCTGAGGCTCCTTAGCTTCTAATGAACACCGCATTCCACACATAAGTTCATCCTGGGATCCCAGTGATGCCAACTCTCTACAGAGGGAAGTTCCTAGCGCCCTGAGATCCCCGGAGCACACTGTGGGGCAGTGGCATCCCCAGCCTCAAACTGCCACAGGGGCATGGAGACACCTTTCCAGGCGGAGAAGCAGCCTGGACACTCCCAGGCCGTCCTCCTCCTGCCCGGCCTCTGGAGATTCTATTTGCACATAGAATTTTAAACAACGGGACAATGGCAACTTTGGGGTGTGGTATTTTTGACCAGCACAAATCCTAGTTCGTACAGAAAAATTTGAGTATCTTTAATTTGAATATCTTTATGTTTGAAGGCAAACTCTTCCTTTTAAATTAATGAACAATTGTTTTTAAACTAAGCACAGATGGAGAAAACGCAGTTATATATCCCTGGGGATCACATGACTATTTCCAAGTCTGGCTACAGTAAACCGTGTGAGGAAGTGGCTGGCGCTGTGTGTCCAGTGTGGGAGGCAGCCCATTTTCCTCGGGGCAGAAGGCAGAGCTGGGCGCTGTGGCTGCCCACCACTGTGCAGCAGCAGCCCCTTACCCACCCGACCTCACCTGAGCTCCAGCCCCTGGGGCTGCTCCTTGGCTCTGGGGCCACTGATGCCCCCAGAGATGGCAGGAGGGGCTGATGGAGTGGGGGTGCCAGGCCCCACCACCCCAGGCTCAGCTCAGGCCCCTCCTTTTGGTTCCCCCGTTCTGCCCAGGCCCCGCCATGGACCTGTGTTGTCAGGGTCAGTGGGTGGTGGGCAGTGCAGGGAGCCCAGGCCACATGGCCCAGCTCCAGGCACACAGACCCCAGACGCCCATGACCACTTCCTTCCTGGCTTGGGGAAGTTCTACTGGGGAGCTGGATGCCAGGGCCCATGTGGGCTGTAGGGCTCCCAGGGCAGAAGGTCAGGGCACAGCCTGGGCACAGGGCCCCTCCACCTGCAGAGATACCACTGCCAGGGCCCTCAGGGCTGGACAGAGACAGCTCAGGCCCTGCAGAAGCCTCTGGCCTCCAAGAAGGATGAGTCTCCTACCATGGTCCTGGGGCACTGCCTCTGTGAGTCTCCCCGTGGCCCCTGCAAGGGGCTGCAGGGGTGGGAGGGGTGGGCCAGAGGGAGGGTCTCCTGGGCTGACCCCAGTGGACAGTGGGGTCAGGGCACACCACACCTGAGGGGGTGTCCCGAGGGGCCGTCCCCAGGGGCCGTCTGGGAGGCAGAAGCCCCCAGGGGAGCTCATGGCAGCTGGACATCTGGCTGGCTCCAGTCAGAGATCCTGGCTTAGGTCTGAGCTGGTGCCATGAGATGGGGAGAGACCCACCCCAGTCCCTGCCCAGCCCCATCCTCCCCAGGAATGCGGGTTCTGAACGCAGGCTCCTAACATGGGAAGAAGGAGGCCAGGGCCTGGGGTGCCGGGGGCAGCGCCTGCAGTGAGCCCCGCCCATCCACCCCTCAGGCCTACAGCAGTCAGAAAGGGCGTGCACGGTGGGAGGCCATGGGCGGTCCCGTCCCATGCGAGTGACTGCCACTACTGTGCCCTGGGCCAGAGACCCGACGGGCCTGGGACGCAGGGTTGCCTGGGACGCGGGGTTGCTGTGTGCGGCCAGGGCTAGTGATCCAACGGGCCTGGGTTGATCTGTGCAGCCAGGGCACCGTTGCCCACTCCCAGCAGGCAGGAGGATCCCCTCTGGGCTGGGGCTGCCTTATCTGACCCCCCAGCCACTGTCCCTGGCTCAGTAAAGGTTTTCCCACAGACACCTCAGCTCTGCTGGGCCCCTCCCACCACTGGACGCCCTCCCCGCAACCCGACCCTGTCTCGCATTTTCTGAGGGCGCCTGCTCCCTCGGCCCCGCCTACCAAACAGCTCAGACTTCACAGACCAGAGAGGACAGAGCAGCACAGCTCAGAGTTCACCAATCACAGGACGGGGCAGCACAGCTGAGACTCCACCCACCACAGGACGGGGCGGCGCAGCTGAGACTCCACCCACCGCAGGACGGGGCAGCGCAGCTCAGACTCCACCCACCGCAGGACGGGGCGGCGCAGCTGAGACTCCACCCACCGCAGGACGGGGCGGCGCAGCTGAGACTCCACCCACCGCAGGACGGGGCGGCGCAGCTGAGACTCCACCCACCGCAGGACGGGGCGGCGCAGCTGAGACTCCACCCACCGCAGGACGGGGCGGCGCAGCTGAGACTCCACCCACCGCAGGACGGGGCGGCGCAGCTCAGACTCCACCCACCGCAGGACGGGGCGGCGCAGCTGAGACTCCACCCACCGCAGGACGGGGCGGCGCAGCTGAGACTCCACCCACCGCAGGACGGGGCGGCGCAGCTGAGACTCCACCCACCGCAGGACGGGGCGGCGCAGCTGAGACTCCACCCACCGCAGGACGGGGCGGCGCAGCTGAGACTCCACCCACCGCAGGACGGGGCGGCGCAGCTGAGACTCCACCCACCGCAGGACTGCTGTTAAGGCTGGTGACCAAGGCCACGTTCCCCACAGGATGGGGCAGCACAGGGGGCAGAGCTCTTTTTGGGAGGGCAAGATGAGGGCCCGGATGCCAGGCCGGGCCAGTGGGCAGGAGCCTCTCCACATAGGGGCAGGCGCCTCTCCACATAGGGGCAGGCAGCGCCAGCGTAGGAACCCGCACAGCTGGCCCTCCCAGCAGGTGCAGCCCACCAGTGCTGGCGAGGTCCCCCGTCCCTGCCGTGGGGGCTGCATCCCTCACACATGAACACACTCCTCCCTCGAGGGGCCCTGGCCAGCCAGGGAGCGTGGCACGCACCTGCTGGGCTGGGCTGCAGGCAGAGCCAGGTCTGGCCTTGAGGAAGGTGGAGGTGCGGCTGGAGCAGCTGTGGGCCGGGAGTGTGGCCAGCTGGCACTCTGTGATGTGCGGCCCCTCCCCTGCCCACCGCTGGGCCAGACCTGGGCTCTCTTGGGGAGCAGAGGGAGGAAGGACAGATGCAGGGCCGGCGGGGACGTGCCCATCGGCTGGGGTGGCCCTCAGGGCTCATGGGGTGAGGCTGGTGCCCTACCAGGCTCCCTCCCCAAACTAGGGCCAGATGGGGCAGAACTGTGCCCCCTGCTCCGGCCCCAGCTTCAGGACCCCACCCGGGCAGGCCATGGCGGGGCACTGGCTGCTTTCCTGCTGATCTGGCCCAGGAGCAAGGCTGTGAGGAAGGAAGCTCAGAGCACGTCCAGAACCCGCTCTCCCCTCAGCAAGGCTGGCTCAGTGACCAGGAAGGAGGAACTAGCCAGCCTGAGACTGGAGCCCCCACCCTAGGCCCCTGAGGATCCCCAGCTGGTCTCCAAACCTGGGCTGCCTCCTCCAAAGCCCGCCCCCTCCTCCTTCCTGCCAAATCTCCATCTGTTGCCATGGTGATGGGAGCAGAAAAGGCAGACGCACGGCTGTTCTCTCCGCCCCTGCTCCTGCCCCCCTCAGCGGGGCCCTGGGCTGGAGCCCCCACCCCAGCCAGCAAGGGCCCTGGCCTCTGAGACTGGGGAACACCCACCTTCTGCACAAAAGGGCCGTCGAAGGCCCTCCTACCAAGTGGCTGCTGAAGCTCCTCCTCAGGCCACAGTGGTCTCGGTGGTGCCCTGCTGTGCCTGCCGGGTGGCGGGGGGGCCACCTGTGGCCTTCTCAACCAGAAGGGGTGTCCCCCAGCCCCTGAGAATGGAGGACCAGCCTCCCCCATGGTCCCACCCTAGGCAGGCGGGGGCTCCTGAGGGTGGGCGTCAGGCAGTGCTGACTCAGGGCCACAGGTGTGCCTGGGTGGGTGACCAGCCCTCAAAGACACAGTGTGAGCCCTGCACTCGGAGCCCCCGAGTCCACTCCCGGGGACCAGAGAGCCTGACGACATCAAAAGCGGCGTCTCGTGCTCAGCAGTGAGGCCTTTGAAGCACCGAAGTCTGCGGGCCCAGCACCCATCGCACACAGCAGCATGACTACGCTGGGTGCTTTCACGGCGCCCCCAAACACGGACTCTGCAACTGTCACCGCTCTGCGAGGCCGACGTCACAAACCCCCCCAAACACGGACTCTGCGACCGTCACCGCTCTGCGAGGCCGACGTCACAAACCCCCCCAAACACGGACTCTGCAACTGTCACCGCTCTGCGAGGCCGACGTCACAAACCCCCCCAAACACGGACTCTGCAACTGTCACCGCTCTGCGAGGCCGACGTCACAAACCCCCCCAAACACGGACTCTGTGTCCGTCACCACTCTGCGAGGCCGACGTCACAAACCCCCCCAAACACGAACTCGTCACAAACCCCCCAAAACACAGACTCTGCGACCGTCACCGCTCTGCGAGGCCGACGTCACAAACCCCCCCAAACACAGACTCGTCACAAACCCCCCAAAACACAGACTCTGCGACCGTCACCGCTCTGCGAGGCCGACGTCACAAACCCCCCCAAACACGGACTCGTCACAAACCCCCCAAAACACAGACTCTGCGACCGTCACCGCTCTGCGAGGCCGACGTCCCAAACCCCCCCAAACACGGACTCTGTGTCCGTCACCGCTCTGCGAGGCCGACGCCATGAGCGCCCCACCTGCACGCAGGGCTCTTCCCTCTGCTTTTGGAGCCGCTGGTGCGCTCAGAAAACCTGTGTCTCCGGCAGGCTCCCCATCTCGGTGGTTCCTGAAGCTCTGTGGAGGCACGACTGACACGTGACAGCCAGCACGCATTTAAAGCACACGCGTGTGAAACCATGACCTGAGGGCCATCATACCTGACACCCCCAAAGCGTCCTTGTGCCCTTCATACACCCCCCACCCACCTCAGCAGTGGCTCTGTCTCTGGACGGCGCCTTCTCTACAACACCCATAAACAGAACCACACCGCACAGACACCAACTTCCGCGGACGCCACACAGCCTCCAAGGAGACACAGAAGTGACTCAAAGCCCCCGGCACACCCTGAGCAGGGGAGCCCCGGTGAACTGGGGGAAAAGGCCCTTCTCACGGAAGGTGCTCTGACCAGTTCGTTACAAAACCACCAACACTCCAACTGTTTTAAATGAGCCAAGGACAGGTAAATCGCTAAGGAAACACAGATGACTAACACCTGTGCGAAGGAGCTCCACTCCCACGGCCCAAGCAGCACGACTGAGCACAGGGAGAAGAGGCGGGCACGGGAGCATGAGGATGCCAGCTGCCCCGTCTGCAGCCCCAGCCTCTCCCTGACTCCCCCAGCTCCAGGCTGCAAGGGGTGAAGGGGATGGCTGGGGCGGGGCAGAGAAACAGAGAGGGAAATGCAGGCCCTGAGGAAAGCCAGGCCCATGCCTCCAGGGTCAGACGGCACACACAGATGTGTGTACACACACCCTTACACAGGCACACACATACACACACATCCCTGTACAGGCAGACACACATACATCCCTGCATAGGCAGACACATATGCACACCCCTGCACAGACATACACACACACACACACACACCTGCACAGGCAAACACCTGTATACAGATACATACACACACACACCCTTGCACAGGCAGACACACATAAACCTCCATAAGGCAGACATACACACCCCTGTACAGGCAGATATGCACACACACCCCAGCACAGCCACACACACACACACACACACACCAGCACAGGCAAACACACACCCTTGCACAGCCAAACACACACACACACCCCTGCACAGGCAGACGTGCACACACATACCCCTGCACAGGCAGATGTGCACACACACACACCCCACCTGACTCACTCTCAGATCTAGTAAGGACCAGCGGGGAGGGTTCCGACGTGAACCCTGACCTGTGCCATCAGGTTGAGGGTCTGCGATGAATTCCGCCTGTCAGGATGGCAGCCACAGGGGTGTCCTTGAGGGTCCAGGCCCTGGACCTGACAAGGAGTGGCCATAGCACTCAGGTGTCTCCTGGGAAGATGGGGGGACGTGGCACAGGCTTTGACCTCAGGATACCCCCAGCCTGGTGGCCGCTGTGTGAAGACCCCCACCCCATACAGCCTTCTCCCCAGTTCTCCCGTGGCTGCTGCCCTGGGGCTGGACGCTGGACTTCTAAGGTGGATGGTGACCTGGGACCCTGGACTCCACCCTCCCCAAAGCCAGGGGCTATGAGAGGATCAGCAGGAGCTGGATGGATTCCTGGGGCATGAGTGTGGGACTGCAGAGGACTGCTGGACACAGGGAGGGGAACTGGTCAGGTGGCCAAGAGAAAGCTCCAGCAGTGGAACTGTGGGCTCTAGGAACAGGCGGAGGGAGGCTGGGGCCCGAGGCCAGGCCCGCCTGTGCTCCCCACGCCATAAGCCTCACAGTTTGCCCCAGGGAGGCCAGAGGATGGGCTGCAGAGAGTATGGGGCTCAAAGGTGGATTCTGGAGTGGAAGGACCTGGGACCAGGAACCCCTCCACCAGGAGGTGATGGAGGAGGTGCCCAGGCAGCCCCTGCCCCCTCTAGCTGCAGGGCAGGTGGGCTCAGCTCCAGGGTGGGCAGGAGACCCAGGCGGCCTTCCCTGGAGGGCACAGGTGCCCTGAGGCTGTGGATCTGAGGGCACACTGGGCAAATGGAGCAGCAAACAGCCCCTCCCTGCCGGGCCCGCCCCACACTCTGGGAAAGCCCTCCTGGAGGTGGCACCTGCCTGGAGGCGGCGGGACCCAATCCCAGCGGAGCCAGTTGATCACGTTAGACTTCTATTAACTGGTTTTCACAATTCAATATTGAAAGATTAGCCCGATGAAACATTTTGATTGAATCCTGTAACTATTTGGTGATTCAGTCTCTGAAGCTAGTGTCCTAGTTTAGGGGCTGCGTCGAGGCCCCTAGAGGGTCTAGAACCCCTGCAGAGCTGCTAGAACCAGGCTGCTAGAACCCCTGCAGAGGTGGGGTCTGAGGCACCCCATGAAGGAAGGGGTCTCCTGGGGGTCAGCAATTTCCTTGAAGGTCATGCAGGGCAGGCGGCAGGAACAAGGGCCTCGGAGGGGAGGCCCGTGCAGGAAGACGGGTGGCACTGTGGCCAAGGGTCCGATGTGAGAAGCCCCCCAAGTGGACTCTGTGGGGCCAGGAACCTACTTCCTGTGGGGACACCACGGTGTTGCCAGAGGGCATAGGGGGCAGCAGGGCCCTCTGCAGGCAGTGGGGCTGTCGTGGACACAGCAGAGGTGGCCAGCGGGAGCCAGTCAGAGCCGGTGACCCACACCAAGCTCAGAGAGGGCAGGGGTGGGAAGGAGACATCAGATGTGGGGGACCCACGCAGACACCACAGCCACCACAGCAGCCTCCTCCAGGGCCTGCAGCTCCCTCCGCTCTGCACCTGCCAGGCCCCACCCTCGGCAGCCCAGGGAATGGCTACCAAGTCGCTGTGGTGACGTTGGGACCCCCTTCCCTGGGAAACCCTAGGAGCCTCCGCCTGTCATCCTAGGTGCAGGCAGACAAGGATGCACAGACCACACACATGCGCACACACGTTTGCACGCACAGGCAGGCACGCACGCACACACCTGCACATGCAGACGCACCACACACACACACGCACACAGACACACAGATATGCAGGCGCACACAAACCTGCACATGGACATGCACACACATGCGTGTACCTCGTGGAGGGAGCAGATGCCTGGGCTCCTCTTTTCCAAGCTGCAGGCTGACACCCTGCCAGCCCCACCACAGGCCCTGGGATGTGGCCCAGCGACAGGCCCACCCCCGCACCCTCCAGCAGCACAGCCAGCAGGCGGCCGAGTGCTGGACACACAGCTGTCCTGGCCTCTGCAGGCCTCCTCATGCCAGCTCCGTGTGGCCCATCCTGAGAGCCTGGGGCTTGCTGGCATCCTCTGCAGGGGTTTGGGCCCCCGCCCTCCTGTGTTGCCAAATACCAGCTCCGCTCGCCCCCCATGCAATTTGCTGAGCTCTCTGGGGTCCTGAGTGGCAGGGACAGCCCAGGTGTGGCTCAGTTTATCTTTTTATTGAGACAGAGTCTTGCTCTATCACCCAGGCTGGAGTGCAGTGGCGTGATCTCAGCTCACTGCAAGCTCCGCCTCCCGGGTTCATGCCATTCTCCCGCCTCAGCCTCCCCAGTAGCTGGAACTACAGGCACCCACCACCATGCCCGGCTAATTTTTGTTTTGTTTTGTATTTTTAGTAGAGATGGGGTTTCACCGTGTTAGCCAGGATGGTCTCCATCTCCTGACCTTGGCAGCCTTGGCCTCCCAAAGTGCTGGGATTACAGGCGTGAGCCACTGCGCCCGGCCCAGTTTATCTCCTAAGAAGGGACCTCTGGCGGCTGGGCAGGGAGAGGAAGGCCAGGCAGGAGGAGGGGAAGGCTGGGCAGGAGGAGCCGCTGGCCGAGGGACACCCTGACCTCGGCAGGGGAGCGGGCAACAAACAGTGTGAGGAGCTGGGACAGAGTTGGGAGGTTCCTGTCTCCGTATCTTGGGTGGGTTTAGGAGCCTGTGGGGGCTTGTGGGGGTCTGGGAAGGCTGGGGATGGAATGGCACAGGTGCAGACCAGCGTCTGACGTGGACAGAAGGGGCGCCTGGGGCTGGGCCAATCACTCGGCAAGGGGTGTGGGGCCTGCGGGGCCAAGGAGCAGGGGCTGGATGGGGTCACTGCCACGCAGGTAGGCAGGAAGGACCGAGCGCTGGAGATGCGGGCTGCTGGCTGGGGCCACACTCAGGAAAGGACGGACCTCCCCACCTCGGCACAGAGCACAATCTTTAGGCTGCCCTGAGCCCAAGAGCTCCGCACCCCATCTTCCTGGCTCAACCCTGGGTCCTCAAAGCTGGGGAGCAAAGGTCAACGGCCAAGCCTGTGCCCTTGGGGGTAGCTGGCGCCGCTGGTCGGTCCCCCATCCCAGACCCCTGGGCAGGACAGGGCATGTTTTCCTAGAGGAAGGGGCTGGGGCTGGCAGCTCGCTGCCTGTAACTGTGGGGTGCTGGCTGCAGGCAAGCCCTAGGATCCCAACTTCTCAACTATCATGCAGTGGGGCTGCCACCAGCTCCCCCAGCCATCCTGAGCTTCACGAGCCACAGGGGGAAGGCTGGGCAAGGCTGGCACCTGCACACACAGGTGGGCACGCACACACACACCTGCATATGCAGACACACCACACACACATACACAGACGCACACACCTCCCACCCCAGCTGGCACGCAGGGCTCCAGGAGCAACGTCAGCTCCTGTCCCAAGTGGGGAGACGTAGAGGATCCCAGGCAGAGGGCTAGGAGGGCAGTGTCCACATTCCCTGCCCCACTGACTGGCCCAGGGCTGTGGATGAGGCAGCCTGGCCCGGGCCGCTCCCAACCCCCTCCCAGGGTGACTGACCTCCCTGGGGAGGGGCTGGAGGCTGCTCAGGCCCCTCAGAGAGCCCCCCTACAACCCCCTAGACCACCAGAGATGGAGGCCCACACCCCTCAGAGAGCCACCCCCACCCCCTAGACCACCAGAGACAGAGGCCTGCACGCCCGCCTGCCTGCCACACCTTGGGGGCCTTGTGTCAGGACACAGGGGCAGCGAGGGCTGGGGAGGGACTCCACGCAGGGCCCTGCGGCCACCCTCCCACAGAGCGGGAGTGCTGAGCCCTGCCCCCAGCCCGGCGAGCCTGCCTGTCCCAGAGGAGCCGTCGCAGCAGTAATCTCCAGGGCGCGGTAAGAATAGAGCTGCTTAGTGGGCAGTGGGTAGCGGGCGGCTTGCGGGAAGGGCAGAGAGGGGAGAGGCAGGGGCTGCAAGCCCACGCCCGTTGCTCCTACCCTCCCAAACGTTAGCATCTGTCCCTGAGTGCCTTGTGGTCTTAGAGGCAGGGGCCACATCAGGAACCAGGGCAGGGCATCCACCTCCGGGGCGCCCCCTCTGCCCTCCCAAGGCTGGTGCTCTGTGGCATCCAGGGAGGGGCCGTGCAGATGGTCTCCCCCGAGGACCTTTCCCCACCCCAACCTCCTCTGGGTGCTGGGACAGGGACGGAGGGGAAGACAGAGCAAGGGCAAGGATCAGAGGCAGGTGCAACTCTCGGCCAAAGGGACGTCTGTCCTGGGAGGCTGAGGCAGGCGGAGGGCTGGCTGGGACGATGGCCTCCTCCCGTGGCCACTCCCCTGAAGAGGGGACGTGATAGGAGAGCAGGGTCAGGAAAAGGGGCAGCATCAAGGACACGGGGCCCAGAGACAGGAGGGGAACACAGAGGAGTGAGGCCCTGGGCAGGGACACAGCTCCGCGCACCCAGATTGCGGGCAGCTGGGGCAGGCAGCAATCAAAGGGTGGCCGCAGGGCTGAGTCTCCAACCTCCCAGGGCCAGGCTGGAGGTGCTGTGTGCCCACACCAGCTTCTGTGGGACAGTGGAGAGGGTGCTGGCTCTGGAAGCTTTCACCCAGACAGATGTGAACTCTGCTCACACTTCACTGGTCAAAGAGCGAAGCCCAGGAGAGGGGCAGGGGCTTGGGTACAACTCCAGGCCAGGCTCACCCCATTCGCCCCATCTGACCAGGCCCACCGCCCGCCTCCCATCCCAACTCCCGTGATGCCACCGTCCCAAGTTGGGCAGTGGGGCCTGGAGCCCGGCCGCCTCCCCACGTGGGGAAGCGCTCAACGTGTTTCCCCCAGAGAAGCCAGGACACTTCCAGGTCACTCTCTGCACAGGCCCTGTGGGGGCTTGGTTTATCCAACGCCACCAGGAGCCACAGAGCCCAGAACAGAGCCCACTTCTGTCTCACCAGCATGGGGGTCCACAGGCGACCATCAGTGCACCAGGTGCCACAACAGGACTGTCACCAGCAGGTGAGGGACCTAAGGGGGCTGTCAGACACCACTGAACTGGGGTGATGGGAGCTCAGGACACACCGTCAGAGGTGGGGT
This sequence comes from Homo sapiens, assembly GCF_000001405.40. Lineage (NCBI taxonomy): Eukaryota > Metazoa > Chordata > Mammalia > Primates > Hominidae > Homo > Homo sapiens. The sequence goes on along the minus strand of NC_000011.10, from coordinate 1,403,594 downwards.
ATCAGTTATCCCCCTTTCACACCAAACAGCCAGCTCCAACCGCCTGGGCCCCTCCTCCGCAGCCCCTGCCCATCCCATGAGCCTGCGGGTTTCGTGGCCTCCTGAGTGGAAGGAGCAGAGAGGGGGCTGAGACCAGGAGCGCAGGGCCCCCAGGCCCAAGAGCAGCCTTCAGCTCCAACCCCAGCACCAGCAGGGGCACCAGCAGGGTAGCCCTGGTGGGGAGGACCCCACAGTGACCGGTGAGCCAGTGACGCTGTGGCCTGCGGTGAGGGGTGGCTGCCTCACGTGCTCTGCCACGCACAGCAGCCTCCATCCTGGGCTGGGGGACAACTGCCACGTTCCCTCCAGCAGACAAGGCTGGCCAGTCCGGTCACAGCAGGCAGTGACAAGGGCACTGCCCCAGGGGAAGGGTAGCGTGACACAGACCCCCCGAGGATAAGGCCCCAAGCCAGCTGACCCCACAGTTGAGCTGTGGAATGGGGAACTCAACACCCCATGGGTGAGAGGCCGGGCAGAGGCCTGCAGCCAGGCACCTACCCCGTGGTGGCCCCGGGGGGTCCCGCCCGTCCTCCCACCCACGCCATCTGCAAACGCCCTCGGCGGCTCTGGCTTTTGCTGGAGAGGGCGCTCATCTGTGCACTTTACGATGAGTCACAAATCCCCGGGGATTTGGGGTTTAGGGTCAACAAACCTCCAAGCAGATCCGAGCCCTCCATCTCCTCAGAGGCAGTCACAGCCCCTCACTCTGCCGAGCTCAGCGCCGCTCCCGCCTCCTCTGCTGGGGGCCTGTTCCCTCCCCGTGTGTCAGCTGCCCCCACTCCACTCCCTCTGCCTTTGGCAGGAGACCCTGTGTCCCTGAGTGAGGGGCTGTGGGCCTCAGTGGCCTTTTCTGTCCTGGCCTCCTGAGTCCTGGCCCTCTGCCAGTGCCCAGGCAGGATCAGATGAGGCCCTAGAGAACCCTCTCCTGTGTGTGGGGAGCTCCAGGGAGACGCTGCCCCTCACCCCCCAGGAGGAGTCAGGAGGGCTGGCTGGGCTGGCCTGAGGGGCAAGTCCCTGGAGAAGGGTGGGGCAGCCAGAGGGTTACACGCAGCACCACCCACCCTTTGCAATGCTCCTCCCCGGAGGCGGGGCTCAGGCACGGACAAGGTTCAGGTGGAGGCAGCTTGGAGCTGAGTTTGCGGCAGTAGCTCCTCTGCCCATGACCATCCACCCCCAAGGCCACCTTCTCAAACTCCTGCAACTAACCTACCCTTAGGCCACATGAGCCCTGAAACAAGGTGACTTGGAGGAGTCTGTCACAAAGGGCTCCCAGGAGTGCGCTCCAGGGGACATGGATCAGACCCCACCACAGCCTGCTGTGCCTGCCCCGCCCCGGGGAGCCCCGACACCCACCGCCTCTGGAGAGCGCAAGGTCAGGCCCCCCAGCCTTCCCCAGGCTGCTCCATGCCTGCTCTCCGGCACCCACACGCAGGGGCACCCTCAGCTCTGCGGGGCCCTGGCCCTCCCTCTCCCCTGTAAGTTAAAGACAGAGAGGCCCTGGCGGGGCACGAGGGGTGGGTCCTGTGGGTCTGCTCAGGGCCCAGGGCTGGGGGACTGGCCAGCAGGAGGCACCGAACACATCTGGTTTCCTCCTGCCCCTCCTCAGCACGGAACCAGAGACCCACAGCTGACGACAGGTTTGGGATCTTGCCAAAAATCACCGGCCCTCACATAGCTTCTTTCCAGCTGCAGCTGGGCTGTGAGGACCCAGCGCCAAGGCAGGCGCCCTCGCGGGAGGAGGAAGCTGCAGACTTCAGCACGGCTGGTGCTGGACAGCTCCCTGAGGGCCTCTCCGCCTCCCGAACAGGGCATAAGGTCCTTTCCTCCTCCTCAAAGTCGGCAAACTCCCTGCTGTGTCCCCACAGTCCGCTCTGGCACGACGCAGCAGAGCAGGGGCTTCCATACCACCCACGGCTGCTGCCGCCTTCCCTGGAGACCAGAGAGGACGGGCAGAGGCTGCACCGGCGGTTGGCATGGGCCCGAAGGGGCTCAGTGCAGCCTGCAGGAGGTGGGGCTGCTGGCCCAGGAGTGATGTTCCCTGGCTCCAGGAACATACTCCGGGGTATGCTGGCCCTGGTCCCAGGGGCTCCTGAGCGACCCTGGACCGTGCAGGAAGGTGGGGGACTGGAAGAGCGACCTATTCTTCCAGGTTGTGACAATCCCAGGCAGACAGACTCACTATGAGACACAGACACTTCCAGGAGGGCACCCGCACCCCGGGCGTGAGCCCCGACTCACAGACACTGGCAGGAAATCCCAAAATACAGACCCGCGAGGGTAGCCGTGCATCAGTTGCTCACGGGTGAGGTGTGATGCCGGGGGCATGTGCTGAGGACACAGGCCAGGTGCCTCAGCAGGAGAACTCTGTGAAGACGGGAGCCTAGAGGCCTGCGGAGTGGGCAGGGCGTCCCCTGCCCCATGCAGCTCTGTGACCGGCTCCACCCTGCCCCGTGCAGCTCTGTGACCGGCTCCACCACTATTCTGTCTGCTGGTCCTCCCTGATGCCCAACGGTGGCTGTCCTGACACTCATGTGGCCTGAATGAAATGAGCCCTCATGCCCCGCATTGAGGCCAGGCTGGGAGCTGGGCATGCACCAGCAGGGATGGAAGGAAGGAGGGTCACACGGCCCCGCCGCCGGCAGCCACTGGGCCAGAGGAGCAGACGCCACAGGGTCCCAGCACCACGAGGAGCCTGGGGAGGGCCATGGCTAGACAGGAAGGGCCCTAGCCCTGGACCGGCTCCTCATCTGCACCCCTCCCAGTGCCACAGTGTCCGGGGTGGGTGGCCGCAGGGCCCAGGCAGAGCCGGCAGGTCCTCCACTACCTGCCCCCACCCCCGACCACAATGGAGAACACAGCTGACAGGGGCCCATTCCTCCCATGTGGCATCTGCCCCCCGAGACCACCTGCACGTGTGTGACACACAGTGAACGTTCCAGCATGTGTGTCCCCAGGCGGGCAGGGCATTTTGCTGGCCCCGTGCCTGGCTTGGTGCTGGCAGTGTTCGGTGCCCAGGAAGGATGTGGACGGGTGGAAGACAGTACCCACGGCCGCTATACAGGGTCAGGGATTATGGAAGAGGTGGTCACTGCCCAGGGTCAGGGGTTATGGAAGAGGAGGCCACCGCCCAGGGTCAGGGGTTATGGAAGAGGAGGCCACCGCCACCCCAGCTCTCCAAGTGGGGTCCCCCAACCAGCGTCAGCATCACCTGGAAACTTCTGAGAGATGCAGAGCCCAGGCCCACCCCATGCCCGGGCCTCCGGGGAAAGCTGAGGCTTAGGGCCCCTGGGAACAGCTCCCAGCCATGGAGGGGGCGGGAGACTGAGTCCACGGCCCCACGCAGAGCCCAGCGCCTGCCCACTCCCTCCTGCAGGGAGACTGGGCTGGCGGCGGAGGCCCAGGCCTGGGAAATGTTCTTTTAAAGTTAAAATCCCAGCATCCGACTGGCTTCCTGCCAGTTTCTAGAAATCAGTGCTAATTTCTCAGGGTGATAACGGCCCTTTGGTTTTCAAGAGTTTCTCTGTTATATGTGCAGACCAAATGTTTACAATAAATGGTGGCTGGGACTATTCCTGCGTAACGGAGGTGGGGGGTGTTGCTGGCGGCTACAGGCGGTGCTCGCCAGGCTTGGGGCACTCTCCTCTGCTATGTGAAAACACCAGGACCCGGAGCGAGGCCTCCATCCCAGAAAAGCCTCGGGAACCACAGAGCTGGGGTTCAGCCACGACACACCCCAGGGTGCCAAGGAAGAAGGAGGCTGGGCCCGACGGCACCGGGGAATTTGGTCGGCCCAGAACTCACTGCTTCCCTGTACCCCAAATCCCCCATGTCCACCCGGCAGAAGGCAGGGCCACAGCAGATGACATGGGATGTGTCCGGGGTTACTGTGGCAGCAGAGGGACGGGCAGGACAAGCTCCTCACCAGCCCAGAGCCCTGGGGGGACAGCTGCCAGTTTGAGCCCCGAGGGACTGTGCGGCCCTGGCATCCCCAGCTGACCAGCCCGGCCTTGCCACAATCCCTATCACGGCTCACGGCTCCCCTCTCATTGTCCCCAGCAGAGAGAGCTCCACAAAAATCCCATCGGCTGGGGGAAGGCAACACAGTGACGCCATCTGAGCTGCTTCTCCCCACCCTCGGGCATCCTGGCCCACAAGCCATCTCCCCTCCTCGGCTGTCCTGAGGCTGACGCTGGCCCCAGTGGCAGGGCCAGGCCCTGGGCTCAGTCCCAGCAAGAGCAACCCCCTGGCACCACCCCACCATCCTATCCAAGCCACTTCACAGATAGGGAAACTGCGGTGTGGACACAAGTGACCACTCAGCCAGCGTCTGGAACCAAGTACCCTGGAGGTGGCCCTGCCCTGGGGGGCCTGCCCACAACAGACAGCACAGGAACGTCCTGGCCAGAGACCCCCAGTCACAACGGCTCTGTGGCTCTGGCCTGGGGCGGGGCTGCCTGCCCAGCTCCTTCCTGGCTGGAGGTGCCCGTGTGCTGTGGAAGGGACGGAGTCATTCCGCAGCCCCCCTGCAAACCCTGTGTGCAAGAAGTCACCACGGGGCTGGCAGAGGGACCCAAAGACCCAGGACGGCGCAGGACGAAAGCCAGGGACGGCCGCGGGTGCCAAGGGCCAGTCTCCGCCCCAGACACCAAAGATAAGCGGAGGGGCTGGGGGGGCTCCAGGCTCCAGGGGGCCCCACACATCTCCTGGCGCCTACCAAGGACCTGGGTACACCCAGGCCCCATCACAGATGAGCAGGAGGGAAGCTTGAGTGCGGGGACCAGGACTCCTGAAGCCACACCGGCAGGGCCTGCAGCCTAACCCTGGGGAAAGGGCTGCCCTGGGGAAAGGCCTATGCGGACTGGGGCCACCGCCTCCTGTCTGGACACCTCGGAGCTTGTGTGGGAGGGGAACCTCTGGCCCCCTGGCCTGGCTGGCCCTCTGTGCTGCCCTGCGCTCTGCAGAAAGTTAATGGCACCAAGGGGCTGCACAGGGGGCAGCTGAATGAGCCCCCATCTGGCCACCCCAGGTCTCTGAGAACCCAGCTTTGGGGCTGCCTCTCCACCCCCTGTATCCCCAGGGGGCAGGGCCAAGGCGCCTGACATGGCCACCCTGGCCACCACCCTTCCCGGGGCGGGTACCACACCTATTACCTCTGTCCGCACAAGATAACTCTCGGACCCAGGGCAGCAACGTCACCCCCGCCCAGGGAAGCAGCCAATCAGGGGCCCAGGCCAGCCCCAACCAGGCAGCTCAGGCAGCAGCTAGCCCTGCAGCTGATTCAGGGTGCCGAGGACACGAGGCCCGATGCTAGCTGTGAAGAGGGGCTTTCCCTCAGCATGGAGGGCCACTAGGCACTGCCCCCCAGCCCCTATCCTGACCCCTTCTCCCATACAAAGGGTTCCCCGGGGGCTCCCAGGCCAAGACACCCGCAGAGGCGACATTCCTGGCCAGGCAGGCTCCCTGTGCCCCCGCAAACCACCCACAGCTGGACTCAGCCCGACTTGCAGCCATCCCCGCTGTATCACGGGGATCATGCAGGCAGCCGTCCAGGCGCCCTCCCACCTCTGCCCGGGGCCGGGAAGGCCAGCCTGCCCTCCAGGGCCCTGGGCTCCAGCTTAAGCCAAGTGGGCAGTGATGGCGTGAATGCCCTGGGCACCCCCATCCCCCTCAGGCCAAGGTGCCCAGAACTCCCACTGGCCCTACCCAGCCCCACCCCAGCCCAGCTCCATCCCAGAAGTGTCCATTCCCCTCAGCCAGTGCCATGAGGCTGCCATGGCCACCCAGGAAAGGCAGCTCTGTCCTCATAGGATGGTACCCCCAGGGCAGACAGGACCCAAGCTCAGCCCAAGGACGTGGCACCCAACGAGGAGCATGGTGCCCAGAGAGACACATGCCAACCGATGGGACCTTGCCATCCACTGGGGGTGGTGCTGTCACTCTCCAGGGTTCGGGGAGGAAGCCAGGCCCAGCCTGCAGCCCAGGCCCCTGGGGCAAAGCAGCGTAGGGCAGCCACGGCCTCCGTGGGCCCCGGGACTGAAGGCAGAACGAGCCTGGGAAGCTGGAGGCGTCCAGGAAAACGAGGAGTTTCTCTTTAACAGCAGGACTTTCGGGAGCACTGCTCTGTGGGTGGGGCCTGGCTCCCAGCTGCTGGGCCCAGAACACTGGCCCCTCAGAGGCGGTAGAACAAGGCCTGGACCTGGCAGGCCGGGCCCTGAAAGGCAGCCGGCTTGGCACAATCCGTGCTTTGTCCCTGCAGCCTCTGCCCCAGCCCAGCCTCCATCTTGTCCAGAGCCCCAGGCAGCTGGCTCAGGGCAGCCTGGCCCGGCGGACATCCCTGGGGTGAGGCCTCAGGGAGATCTGCAGGCCGCTTGGTCAGCCTAGGCTAGGACCTGGGGCTTGGGCCTGACACAGGCACCAGCCCTACAGGTGAAAGCGGGGCTGCCCTGCACAGAGGAGGTGGCAGGGTGCCGTTAACTTCCTGCAGAGCACAGGGCAGCACAGAGGACCAGCCATGTGAGCCCCAAGGGGCCTGACAGATGCTGGTCTGCCGTCCTCCTGCGCGGTACGGTGTTTCCAGCCATTGGAACCTCGCACAAGCTTCAGGGAAACCCCATTCTACACTCAGGGGCCCTGAGGTCCCAGTCCTTCCACTTCCGAGGGGCCAGGGTCCAGGTGGGCTGTCCAGAGCTGAGGGCAGGGCCCAGAACTGCACAGTGATGCCCCACAGTGCCACCATCTAGGCACAGCCCCACATAGGTGGATGCCGGCGGCCGGCAGTCACGGGGACCAGCCCGCCTCCTCTCCTGGTGCCGGCTGCCCAGCAGGGCTGCTGACTTCAGAGACAGCCTGACCCTCCCCAGGTGCCCAAAGAAGCTAGTCTGTGCCCAGTGAGGACTGGAAGGCACAGAAGCCCTCAAGCAAGCGCCACCAGGTGATGGCAAAGGGGCCTTCCCGACGGCTCCTCCTGAGCGCCAGTGGCCGACGGGGAGGCACAGCCCACTCAGGCTGTTCCCAGGGACTGGGGTCTGACCTGCCCTCGGGCCAGCCTGGAGGGGGTCTCCTGTCTGCTTCAAAGCACCCAGAGCGCCGGAGCAGGGTGAGGCCATGATGAGAGGGCCCGGGGTCACTCCGCAGACTCGGGAGTGAGAACCAGGAGAGCTCGCTTAGGCCCAGGTCCGGGAGCCGGTCCGAGCAACTCTGGTGTCCTGGGGTACAGGCCTTGCTGGCCCCATGCAGTCCTCGAGGCGGCTGTAAGGGAAGAGGGACCAGGAGTGGGGGACGTGGGTGGAAGGGAAGAGGGACCAGGAGTGGGGGACGTGGGTGGAAGGGAAGAGGGACCAGGAGTGGGGGACGTGGGTGGAAGGGAAGAGAGACGAGGAGCGGGGGACGCAGGGGTCCACACACACCTGGCACAGCGACAACCTTAAGACACTCCCAGCCACCCTCAGAGCAAGGAAGGGACCTGGCCACCTCGGCAGCCAACGATGGTGGGGACCCAGAGGCCCTGGAGCTTGGGTCGTGGGCAGGAGCCACGGCCCTTGATAGTAGCTCCAGCTGGGCCTGCGTGAGATTTGCCAGAAACAGATCCCCTTGAAGCCTAGAGGCCAACCTCACATCACAGCCCAGGCCCTGCATTCCCCAGTGGTTCTGGACACAACTCCCTGCTCGGGCAGATGGTGGAGCAGGCGGGGCAGCAGCCAGCCACGGTGACTCTGGAAAGCCCTCCCTGGCACAGCTGGGGGAGGGGGCACAGCCTGGCCTTGAGGCTTCCACATCCAGGAAATCCACGGCGTGCACGCACCTCAGCAGAGCAGGGCCAGCACGGCCAGCACGATCAGGGCCGGGCGGTGCCCTCTGCCCAGCGTGTCTTTTCCAGCCATTGCCAGTGACAAGGCAGGGAGACCCACGTCAACAGGGACACACACACCTGAGGTGCCCAGGGCCACAGTGGGTGGGGACAGGACAAGGGCCTAGGGCTCCCGCCTCCAACGACCCTCCCGCCCCCGCCTAGGGGAACTGCCGTCCTCACCACCCGGAACCTCTGTGCCAAGGGCCCTGACAGGGACACTCAAGGCCAGCTCTCAGCTGGAAAGGGGGCTCCCTGTGGAGGGCATGCAGGGCAGGAAGACGCCAGGGGCAGCATCTTGAGGCCTCCACCCTGGCGCAGTCACTGACATGGCGCCCAGCGACACCAAATGGGCCTTTCCAGGGACTTCAGGGGGCCAGGGAGACTTCAGATGGGAGGGCTACCCACCATGCTGGCTCCCCGGGCTCTGTGCACGGCGCCCCTGAGAACAGCGTCCTGAGACCTCAGCTTGTAGAAACCCCGTGCAGGGCAGATGAGGGGTTCAGTCCAGCCCCAGGCTGCTGCTGCCCTGACAAAACAGCTGGGGTCAGATGGCCAGGGCCTGATGTGGGGAAGGCCACAGAATTCCTGGGGTCTCGCAGCAGACACCCCACGCTGAGTCCACCTTCACCTTCATGGCTGGGGAGGCTGCCGGGTCCTGTCTACCCATGCGCTCTCCGGGCTCAGCCCTGCACAGCCCATCTCCAGGGGCCCATCTCCAGGACCCATCTCCATGGCCCATCTCCAGGGGCCCATCTCCAGGACCCATCTCCAGGACCCATCTCCAGGACCCATCTCCATGGCCCATCTCCAGGACCCATCTCCAGGACCCATCTCCATGGCCCATCTCCAGGGGCCCATCTCCAGGACCCATCTCCAGGACCCATCTCCATGGCCCATCTCCAGGACCCATCTCCAGGACCCATCTCCATGGCCCATCTCCAGGGGCCCATCTCCAGGACCCATCTCCAGGACCCATCTCCATGGCCCATCTCCAGGGACCCATCTCCAGGACCCATCTCCAGGACCCATCTCCAGGGGCCCATCTCCAGGACCCATCTCCATGGCCCATCTCCAGGACCCATCTCCAGGACCCATCTCCATGGCCCATCTCCAGGACCCATCTCCATGGCCCATCTCCAGGACCCATCTCCAGGACCCATCTCCATGGCCCATCTCCAGGGGCCCATCTCCAGGACCCATCTCCAGGACCCATCTCCATGGCCCATCTCCAGGACCCATCTCCATGGCCCATCTCCAGGACCCATCTCCAGGACCCATCTCCATGGCCCATCTCCAGGGGCCCATCTCCAGGACCCATCTCCATGGCCCATCTCCATGGCCCATCTCCAGGACCCATCTCCAGGACCCATCTCCATGGCCCATCTCCAGGGGCCCATCTCCAGGGGCCCATCTCCATGGCCCATCTCCAGGACCCATCTCCAGGACCCATCTCCAGGACCCATCTCCATGGCCCATCTCCAGGGGCCCATCTCCAGGACCCATCTCCATGGCCCATCTCCAGGGGCCCATCTCCAGGACCCATCTCCATGGCCCATCTCCATGGCCCATCTCCAGGACCCATCTCCAGGACCCATCTCCATGGCCCATCTCCAGGGACCCATCTCCATGGCCCATCTCCAGGACCCATCTCCAGGACCCATCTCCAGGACCCATCTCCATGGCCCATCTCCAGGGGCCCATCTCCAGGGACCCATCTCCATGGCCCATCTCCAGGACCCATCTCCAGGACCCATCTCCAGGACCCATCTCCAGGACCCATCTCCATGGCCCATCTCCAGGGGCCCATCTCCAGGACCCATCTCCAGGACCCATCTCCATGGCCCATCTCCAGGGACCTGCACACCACAGCCCATCGCTGCCCGTCCTGCTCAACTTTCTAAACAGACCCCATCTCAGACCAGCTTCCTTCCCCTCCACATCTGCCTCCAGCTTCTGGGCCTGGGGTCACCCCCAGGGTCTCCCAGGCACAGGCTCTCCCTCCCCTCACCTGTTCCATCTTCAATGACTCCTCCCATCCCAGGACCCCTCTCCACCCTGGCAGCCACCAGGGCTCAACCTTCCTAAAGGCCATTGAGAACATGGAGGGGCGGCCCCAGGTCCCTGGCAGCCTAGGTCCCTCCCCCACGCCACAGCAGGTGAACACTGCCAGGTGAGCTGCAGGGCAGCCCCTCATCCTAGCTCCTTCGTTCCCTCGCAGGGAGCCCTATCGCGGCCATTATTCCTTTCTCCCGCCCCCCAGACAGAGGATTCCCGAAGGCAGGCCCCTCATCGTCCCATGCAGCCCACCCGCCTGCCCCCAAGAACAGCTCCAAGGGCCCGAGGTTCTCCAGCTCCTCCCACAGGGCCCTCCCAGGCCTCCCAGATTTCAGGAGCTAAGCCGAGGTTTGGGCAAGAAGGTGCCCTGCTCCACGTACTGATGGGGCACAGGGACAAAGGCGCGCAGGGACAAAAGCCACCCAGCCCGTGCCACACACCCTCCTGGACCTGCATGCTCCAACTCGGAGTGTCTGCGCCCTCCAACCTCCATGGTTGCCCTTGCTGGCAGGGACTGTGTCTCGGCATCTCTGCAGGGGTCAAGCTCAGATGAGGCTACACAAGCCTTTCTCAGCCCCAAGAAAAGCTAAGGCAGCACCTTTGCAGGTGGGTTCCCACCCCAACCCCAGCCTACATCCCCCTAAGTCTTGGCCAGAAACCACCAAGCAGCCGGCGAGGAGGCTTCCACAGATGCTCAGTGCTCTGACGGCTTCACCTGGTGCCTGGCACCGGCAGTGAGACCACTGAAGGCAACCCCCACAGCCACCGAGGGGAGCTGTGCAGAGGACGCCCCATGCAGAAGGACGACCCTACAGCCACACTGGCCCTGCAGGACGCACAGACCCAACAAGACAGGGAGGTGCCGTACAGGTGAGACCATGCAGCGCTCACGCTGAAAGGCAGAAGAAGACAGCCGACCGGACCCTGCGGCGTCTAGAAGGGCGTCCTCCAGGCCCCGGTGGGGGTGCTGCGTGGTCTCCCCTCCCCACACGGCCAGACTCCCCAAGGGCAGGTTTCGGACCACATCTTTGGCCCACCGTCCAGCAGGCCCCAGCTTGGGTCAGCCGGGTGGAAGGGCTCTCGTGGCACCACAAGGCTCACTGCCACTGCCACTGACCACCTCCCTCTCAGTGGCCACCTCAAGTCGAGCAGCTCCTCCTTCCAAGGTCTCAGGCTGAGAGAGATGAACAGAGAGGGCCAAACAAAGCTGCCAGCCACAGACACGGGGAAGGGGCTGGAGTCGCGTCCACACCAATGGCCCCCCAAGCAAGGCCTCCACAGCTCCCCTGTGGCCAGGTCCCTGGAAGGAGAAGCGTTCTCAACGGCAGGATCAGATCGTCCTCGGGTGGTGGCGGCCAGAAGCCCAGCCTCCCGTTCTCCCACGGAGGTCTCCTGGCAGGAAGCCTATCTCCCTCTTGAGCTTGGGACCTGGCAGCTCTCCTGGCATCTGGTGCCAAGTGGCCCAGCACACACACTCCAGGCCCCATGTCCACCCAACTCCTGGTGACCCTTCAGCAGCAGCAACAGAAGACGCACAGAAATGGTGGCCTTCTCCAGGGCCCTCCCGGTGACACGCTTGCGCTCTGCCCGTCATAACTCGGGAGAGAGGGGCCGCTTTGTGCCCCCCCTCGAGCTGTTTTCTAAATATCTCTCTCAGCACGTTGTAGACACACACAGCCCATCCTTTTGTATTCATTACTGTTAATTACAGTGGAAACCTCCCGTAATTAACTGCCGCCAGCAGAATGCCATGAAGAGTGGAGACCAGCCCCTACCCACCGAGGCCGCGCACAGCACATAACTCATCGTGTCTTCATTTACACGCAGATGTTTCCTTATAATAACATTTTATTGGGACCGTAATTGGATTATCTCACTGACTCCTGCATCCTGCTGCCCTGGGCCCCTCCTTCACCACGGATTTCACACACTAGTTTTTCTTTCCGGGAAAGACGAGAATTTTGAACTCAGGTGACATGGGCTGAATGCCACCTCCTTCTCCAACCCAGGCTGCACCACCCCACCTGCCCAGGTCCTGCCCTGTGGCCAGGGGCCCTTCCGTGCCGTGGCGGGTGGCGGAAGGCTGTGCACCCAAGGTGAGGCAGCTCCCCTGAACCCCTCAGTCTAAACCCCTTCCTGCAGCTCTGCCGTAGTTACATCACAGCCACGGCCCTCCCCCAAGAGCCTGGGCCTGGCCCACTTTCTTTCCCCAACGCCACCTCCCAGCTCCTCCTCTGTGCAGCCGTGAGGGGCTGAGCCTCCACCCTGCACCAGCGCTCTCCTCCTCCTTCCCTCCACCCCTGCCCGCCCGGGTCTAAGGAACTTCTCGGATTGGAAGGGAGAGGCAGTGCCGTGGGACCTCGGGGACACCAAGAGACAGGCCGGTCCTGAGAGAAGAAAGAAAATGGCTGAGCCCCAGCCTCCACAAAGGCGACTCTGTGAATGTGCCTGACCAGATGAAGGGCTAGCCAAACCCAGCGGGCCGGGGAGAGTTGGCCACATGCGAGGGTAGCTGGGTTGCCTCTGGCCTGGGTTCGGCCCCGCAGGGACCCGGCCTGTTCCCTAGAATGACAGCCAGGCCCCACCGGGAAGCCCCCTCCACCGGCAGGCCGCGGGGCTGCTCCACGGGTCAGGTCCCACGCACTTCTGGTCCCAGCACCAATGGCCTCTCCCTGCCCCGTGGGAATGCAGGTCACAGACGCTCCGCCCGCCCGAGCCCGAGCCGGAGCAGCGCAAGGCGCTGTCCAGCCCTCTGCAGGTCCCCGCACTCTCCCGCCCCCACCGCGGAGGGAGATCGGGCCTGCCCGGAGGCCCCGGTGGCCGGCGCGCGGAGGTGGGAGTCCCGCCGGGGGCGCAGCTGCTCGGGCAGCACGCCTATTAGCGCGGCCGCGGCAGACGGCAGATGGGCGCCCGCGCGGCCCCCTCCTCCCGCGGCACAATGGGCCCGGTCGCTGGGGCGCACAATGCGGCCCGGGCCGCGCACCTGCAGCGGGGCCCGAGGGGCGCCGTCCCGTGCGCCCCTGTCCGCCTGCGCGCCCCGCGCCGCGCCGCGTGTCCTTGGGCCGCGCCCGGCCGACCGCAGCCAAGCGGCCTGCGGGATCCGCGGCGGAACCGGGGCGCACGAGCGGACGGGGGCGCACGGGCCGCCCATTGTTCGCGGCCGGGGCCCGGGCCGGGCCTGCGGCTTCGCGGCCGGGGCCTCCCTCGGGCGCCCCCCACCCAGCGCGCTGCCAGCGCGGCCTCCCCGGCCCCGGTCCCCGCCCCGGCCGCACGCACCTGTCTGCCCCTTGCCCAGCGTCTTCTCCAGCCGGTAGGGCCCAACATACTGCGCGTGCTGCGCGCCGCCGTCCTTCCCCGTCGATGTCATCGCTCTGGGGCCCGGCGCCGGCCAGGGGCGCCCGGGCGCGCGGGCAGGGAGGGGCCGCCCAGCGTCCGCCCGCGTCCGCCGAGTGCCGTCCGCGCCGACCCGGCCGGGGCGCCCCCGCGGGCCCCGCTGCTTCGCGCCGCCCGCGTCCGCCCGCGCCGCCGCCCCCCGCGTCCACTCCGACGCGGCAGTCCGAGGCCTGGCCCGCGGCGACGCCTCCGCCTCGTCGAGAGGACAGGGCGGGCGGGGGCACCTGGCTTCCGCCGCCGCCGCCGCCGCCGCCGCCGAGGCCCGCGCCCCGCGCCCCGCGCCCCCAGCGCACGCCCGTCAGCGGCCGCGCAGCCGAGCCGAGCCGAGCCGAGCCGAGCCGTGCAGCTGAGCCGAACAGCCGAGCCCAGCAGCCGAGCCGAGCCGAACAGAGCCGAGACGAGCCGAGCCGCGCAGCTGAGCCGAACAGCCGAGCCCAGCAGCCGAGCCGAGCCGAACAGAGCCGAGCCGCGCAGCCGAGCCATGTAGCCAAGCCGAACAGCCGAGCCCTGTAGCCAAGCCGAACAGCCGAGCCGAACAGCGGAGTCGAGCGCAGCTGAGGGGAGCCGAGCCGGGCCGCGCAACGGAGCCGAGTCGACACGAGCCTGTACGAACGCAGCGGGATGCCGTGGCGGCGGCAAGCGGTGCCCGCGCCGGCCAATCAGCGCCTCCCCACCCCGCCCCGCCGCTACGAGCGCTCGGGGAGACTCTAGGGGGCGAGGCGAGGCCAGGGCGAGGCCGGGACCTGGGAGCCTCCAGCCCGCCGGCTGCCACGTCCGGTCCCACCAGGCAGCAGAGCTCCCGCTGCCGCCCGACCCGCCATTAAGGCGCATCCCGGGACGGAGCAGGCAGTGGGCCCATGGCGAGGGGGTGCAGATGGCTGCCCTGGACGGGGGTTTTACCCTGCAGGGCGTGACCCCGGGTGTCCCAAAGAGTTTCCCGCCCCTCGAGGGGGTGCTGCACGCGCGGGGGATGGGGATGCTGCCCTGGAGGGGGGCGAGTGTTGCATGCGGGGCGGGAGTGCTGTACTGGGGAGAGGTGCTGTATTCGGGGCAGGGGTGCTGCACACATGGGGGGTGCTGCACGCCAGCGAGGGGCATGCTGCGCTGGAGGGGGCGGGTGTTGCATGCAGGGCGCGGATGCGGCACACGTGGCGGGGGGGCTGCATGGGAGTCTGTGGGGCTACTGCACGCGGGCGTTGTCCAAGCAGAGATTGTGCACCCCCAGGGAGGACGTGGCCCTCCGCCTCCGCTCCCGAGGGAGAAGCGGCGGTTTTCCCAGTTATGCCACAGTGACCTGCGCGGCGCGGAGTCAAGGAACTCACCTGGGATCCGGCCGCAGCGCCCTGGCGCCTCCCGGCCCTTGCTACCGACCCCTCTTTCAGGTTGAGCAGCTGGGCAGGGGTTGCCGGGAGCAGCCTTTGGAGGTCTAAACACAGGCAGCCGAAGAGGCAGCCAGACCTGGACGGACCCTCTGTTTCTTTGCAGAAAAACACTGGTATTTCCTTAAGCCCGTGCTGCAGAAGGTGGTGGGAGGGGAGAGGTGAGGGAGACCCGGAACGCTGCAGAAGTGGGGGTCCCAGATCTTGCCCGTGTATGGTCTGCGGGCAACGTTTCCCCTGCGGGCTCTGCCACACACTGCTGCTGACCGTGGTCCGCTCCCCACGCTGGTAAGCCCGTATGAGCTCAGGAAACTGCGGGGTCTTCCCAGTGCGCCCTCCTGCTCTTTGGGCTGTCTGTATTTCCAGCTGGGGAGGGGAGTGGGCCCCAAAGCACCTGTCCACTCTCGGCCTGCACCCGCCCGCCCTGCTTCCCTTCAAATGCTGTGGACTAAGGGTCCTCCCTACCCAATTCTGGGGCCTCTGAGCATGAGCAATCAGGGCCCCACCAGTGGGGGCAGGGGAGGGGGGCTGAGAGCATGGGACAGAGGCAGAGGGCACTCCCCTTTCCCCCGCTGCTGCTGCTGTGAGTGGGGACAGCAGACATTTTTAGCTGAATGTAGACTGGGACCTCCAGCTGGAGAAACTGTCAAGCAGTGAGGTCTGGCTGGAGGCTGACTGGGAGTGGTCTGGTCCAGGTGCCAACAGAGGCCGAGGGTGTGCAGGAGACCAGGAGAGGGCGTCAGGCCACAGCCAGAGGGCAGGGGCACTTGACCTGAGATGCCCTCTCTCTGCTGCCATGGTCACCTGGCCTCCCAGGCTGCAGCAGAGTCAGACGCACCTTTGTGACATCCTCAGCAGCATTTTGCCCTATTGACCGTTTGCATCCGGCTACTCCAGTGGCCAAAATTCTTGCTTTCTTCCTTCCCACCTCCTTGCCAGCCTGCATCCCTCTCCCAACCCTCACTGCAGCCCTGAGGCCTTTTCTTCCCTGTCTGTGTCTGAGCAGCCTATGCCATTGGTGGCCTCTGGGGCTCAGTCTGGGGCCTCTCTTCTGGCTCCCTGCCTGTCCTCCGGGCGCAAGAGGCTAGTCAGCCTTCAGCCTCTTGAGTGCCTATCCTCAAATCGCCCTCCCAGCCTCCCTTGGCCCTGCTGTCCCCTCTTGAAGGTGCTGCACAAAACCCCAGACTCAACGCCTTCTCCATAGCACGCCGCGCCCTCCCTGCTGCCATCTTTGTGGGGATCAACAGGATGACTGCCCTTCCTTCCAGCGGGCCTGGTACTGGGGTGCCCCAGGAGAGGGTGTACCAGGGTGTGGCCAGCCAGTAGATGCCCACGACTGTGATGCCACAGCCCTCGGTCCCCCTCTGTCGCGTGTAAGGTGGGAGCAGGAGCCCCAAAGGAGCCAGGGCTCTCGAGCACGAAGGTCTGTTGCCGGAGTTAGGAAAGGGCCCAGTCTCACAAAGACGTCCAGGCCAAGACTCACCAGTGGAGCCCACCAAACACTAATGGAGGAAAAGCACCCCGCTACACAGACACTTCCAGGACACAGAGGAAGACGGGCCATGTCCCAGCTCCTCTGTGAAACTGTCATCACCCTGGTGCCAAAACCATGCAAGGACATGACAAGAAAATTAAAGTCCACTCAGGAGCCTAGACACAAAAATCCCTTAACAAAACATCAAATCAATTCCAGCAATATATAAAGAGAACACATATGACCTTGTGGAGCGTACCCGGGAATGCAAAGTTAGTTTAACATTTCAAAATCAATTGTCATTCACTATTAGCAGACCAACACAGAAAAACCACACGGTCATTTCCACAGATGCAAGGAAAGCATTCAACAAAATTCAGCACTCATTCACGACAAAGGCTCTCAGTAAACCAGGAGGAGAAGATTCGAATCTATTCTGCTCCTGCACTCCCAACCCAACAAAGGGAAACTACAAAAACCCACAGCTAATGTCAGGCTTAGTGGTGAGAAACTGAAAGCTTTTCCTTGGGTCAGGGATGGGGCAAGGTTGTCCATCATCATCATTTATTTCAGTGTCGTGCCAGAGTACATGCCGAAGTAATGAGGCAAGGAAGACAAAATTTGTACCAGTTGAAAAGGAAATTTTTTATTATTATTATTATTTTTTTTTTTTTTTTGAGATGGAGTCTTGCTCTGTCGCCCAGGCTGGAGTGCAATGGCCCGATCTCGGCTGACTGCAAGCTCCGCCTCCCGGGTTCACGTCATTCTCCTGCCTCAGCCTCCCAAGTAGCTGGGACTACAGGTGCCCGCCACCACGCCCGGCTAATTTTTTTTTATTTTTAGTAGAGGCGGGGTTTCACCGTGTTAGCCAGGATGGTCTCGATCTCCTGACCTCATGATCCACCCGCCTCGGCCTCCCAAAGTGCTGGGATTACAGGCGTGAGCCACCGTGCCCAGCCAAAAAGGAAATTTTAGGTGATCTTTATTAGAAGATAACATTAATGGCCGGGCACGGTGGCTCACGTCTGTAATCCCAGCACTTTGGGAGGCTGAGGCGGGCAGATCACCTGAGGTCAGGAGTTCGAGACCAGCCTGGCCAACCTGGTGAAACCCTGTCTCTACTAAAAATACAAAAATTAGCTGGGTTTGGTGATGGGCACCTGTAATCCCAGCTACTCAGGAGGCTCAGGCAGGAGAATCGCTTGAACCCACGAGGCAGAGTTTGCAGTGAGCCGAGATCATGCCATTGCACTCCAGCCTGGGCAACAAGAGCAAAACTCCATGTCAGAAAGTAAAACAAGAAGATAACATTATTGTCTGCAGAAAATTCTAAGCTACAAACTGGTACTAAAACGAATAAGTAAGTTTACCAAAGCCACAGGGTACAAAGCCAAAAAAAGGTCAATTCTATTTGTGTGCTAACCATCAATTAGAAGTTGAAATTATGAAAACAGTACCACTTACAAAGAGAATTTAAAAACCACGAAATACTAGGGGTAAATTTATCAGAATTTGCATGAGATCTGTACACAAAAAACGATTATACATCTCTCAGTATATTAAGTGAGACTTAACAAGGCCCAAGTAATCGATTTAATTTTAATTTGATTTTTTAAATTTTCTCTTTTTTTTTTTTTTTTTTTTTAGAAATTGACAAGCTGCCAGGTGCAGTGGCTCATGCTTGTACTGCCAGCACTTTGGAAGGCCAAGGTGGGAGGATAGCTTGAGCCCAGGAATTTGAGACCAGCCTGGGCAGCATAGCAAGACTCCATCTGATATAGTTTGGGTATTTGTCCCCGCCCAGACATATGTTGAAATGGAATCTTCAGTGTTGGAGATGGGGCCTGCTGGGAGATGTTTTGGTCATGGGGTGGATTCCTCGGGGCTTGGTGCTGTCCTTGCAATGGTGAGTATTCGTGAGATCTGGTTAAGTGGGAGCCTCCCCTCCCACTCTCTCTTGCTCCCACTTCTGCCGTGTGAGACCCCTGCTCCCCCTTTGCCTTCCACCGTTATTGGAAGCTTCCGGATGCCATGCTTCCTTTACAGCCTGCAGAACCATAAGCCAATTAAACCTCTTTTTAAAATAAACTACCAGTCTCAGGTATTTATAGCAACACAAGAACAGCCTAACACATTATCTCTATGAAAAATAAAAATAAAATAGCCAGGCATGGCTACACACCAGGACTCCACACTTGTAGTCCCAGCTCCCTGGGAGGCTGAGGTGGGAGAATTGCTTGAACTGGAGAGATGGAGGCTTCAGTGAGCCACCATAGAGCCACTACGCTCCAGCCTGGGCAACAGAGTGAGACCCTGCCTCAAAAAAATGATGACGGAAATTTAGACGACACAAAGCACCTCGAACTCTCAGACGTTGCAGATGGGAGTGCAAAATGATGCTTTGGGAACCAGTCTGTCAGTTTCTTATAAAATTAGACACACCGTTACCATACGATCCAACAATCCCTCTTACAGCTATTTTCCCAAGAAAAAGAAAACTTACGGCCACACACAACTTGCATGCAAATGTTCATAGCCACTTTATTAGTAACAGCCAAGAAGTGGAAAGAACCCCGTTGTCCTTGGGTGATGACTGGACAGACAGGCTGTGGTGCACCCACACGGGGAACGCGACTCAGCCGTGACCACAGCGGGCCAGGAAGCGTGGCTGAGATGTGGGCAAATCTCAAACACATTAGGCCAAGTGAAAGAATCTGGCCTCAGAAAGCCATGTGCTGTATGATTCTATTTCTATGATATTATGGAAAAGGCAAAACTGTAGCTACAGAAGGCAGAGGGGTGGCTGTGGGTCCAGGGCGATAGGAATTCTTGCACATCCTGACGGCTGGCTTGTTTGCTAAACTCATCGAATCATATACGTACAATCTTACTTCAGTAAAGCTGCGCAGAGGCTCTTCTGAGCTCCACCCAGAAGAGCCTGTGGGCCACGCGGGGAGACACACCTGGGTGCACCGGGTGCCCTGCCGGCCACAAGGTCCATGGCAACCCAAGGGGAAGCCCCGCCTTTGGGTGGGTGGGTGGGTGGGTGGCAGGGGGAGGGCTTCCTGCAGGAGGCGGCTCCAGCTGCCTGAGGATGTAAGTGCAGGCCAGTGGACAAGTGGGTCATTGAGGCTGGGGGCAGTGGCTCATGCCTGTAATCCCAGCACTGTGGGAGGCCAAGGCAGGCAGATCACCTGAGGTCAGGAGTTCAAGACCAGCCTGGCCAACATGGTGAAACCCCGACTTTATTAAAAATACAAAAATTGGCCTGGCACGGCGGCTCATGCCTGTAATCCCAGCACTTTGGGAGGCTGAGGTGGGCGAATCACGAGGTCAGGAGATCAAGACCTGGCCGGGTTTCACCTGGCTAACACGGTGAAACCCCGTCTCTACTAAAAAAACAAAATACAAAAAAAAAAAAAAAAATTAGCCAGGCGTGGTGGAGGGCACCTGTAGTCCCAGCTACTCGGGAGGAGAATGGCATGAACCCAGGAGGTGGAGTTTACAGTGAGCTGAGATAGCGCCACTGCACTCCAGCCTGGGCGACAGAGGGAGGCCCCGTCTCAAAAAAAAAAAAAAAAATTAGCCGGGCGCGGTGGCACGCACCTGCAGTCCCAGCTACGAGGGAGGCTGGGGCAGGAGAATCGCTTGAACCCGGGAGGTGGAGGTTGCAGTGAACCTAGGTCACACCACTGCACCCCAGCCTGGGAGACAGAACAAGAGGCCATCTCAAAAACAAAACAAAAAAGTGGGTCATTGATCACGCAGCCCTTCCTGGAGGACCCCAAGGGAGAGGAGGATACAGAGGGGGTCACCAGATGTCCCATCTCCATTGCCAGCCTAGAAGTTTCCGGCCGGCGGGGGTGGCCTTTGTTTCCAGGCACCGGCCCTCAGGAGAATGTGTGTGCAGAGGTTGTGAGGCTCCGGGCGTCAGCTGGTGTCTCACGTCCCCGGCCGCGGCCTCCGCTGCTGCGGAACTGGAACCACTGACGTCACCAGCCTTCCCTCCCTCCCCTCCCCGCCACCCCCGCTCCTGGCGCCCCGGCCCGGCGTGTGTCTCCCCGCGCTGAGGGCTCACGGCGCCATCCCTTCGCTGTCTCACTCCACGTTGCCCTGATCCCCGCACCGGCACCGGGGATTAAAGACGCTGTCCCAGCCCCTGCCCCAGACTGAGCAGGCGCACGACCAATGACGAGGCGCC
Source organism: Homo sapiens (assembly GCF_000001405.40). Lineage (NCBI taxonomy): Eukaryota > Metazoa > Chordata > Mammalia > Primates > Hominidae > Homo > Homo sapiens. Next base: position 1,383,204 of record NC_000011.10, on the reverse strand, counting down.
CCGCTAAGCAGCATCTCCGAGCTGCGGGACAAGCTCACGGCCACCAGGAGCTGGGCCGAGGGCCCGTGGGGGGAGGGCAGGTGGCACGGGTGGGCAGACGGCCTGCCGTCGCGCGCATTCCCGGGGCCTCCCAGCCAGCCTCACACCCCCTCCTGGACCCGCCCCCTTCACCGCCTGAGAGCTGGGCTTCCTGCGCCCGCCCCGTCCCTGACCCGCCCCGTCTCCCTCACCAAGGTGGCTGTGTGGAGGAGGAAGAGCAGCCGCTTTCTTGGTTGCCAGGACCATCCACGGACATCAGGGACACCTCTGGCCCAGCCGTAGGAGCAGCCACCTCCTTCCCCACTGGCAGGGCCTCCCTGGCTGGCCCAGGCTGCCCATGACTCCGTCCTACAAAAAGATCCCCCACTACCACGGGGGACCTTAGAGAAGCCACCCTGCCCACAGCCACACCTGCCTCCGTCCTCTCTGCTCACACCCCGCACCCACCTGTCCCTGGACAGGGGTCAGACGGCTGGGTCAGCGGGCTCAGGTTAGGGTCTCTGTTGTGCGGCCCCCGTCCCACTCCCGCCCTGCCTTCGTCATCACCTCTGGTCCTCCCGCTGCTCTCTCATCAGTCGCTTCCCGGAGGCTTGCCCCACGCCCCGCCAGCCTGGCGCCCACCAGCTCCGTGCCCGACAGCTATCGGCCTCTTATCTCGACAATCGGTTGCTCTTGGCCAGCCCGTCCTGCTGCAGAAAGGAACGGGGTGCAGTTCTGGAGAGGGTGGCCACAGTCTAATTCCCCCTCTGTTGTACATAGGTGGCCAGAGTCCCCCATAGAGACAGGCGGGAGGTCAGTGTGCAGGTGGGAGCAGGTGCGGGGGTCTCCCACCCAGGCCCCTCTGGGTGTCCCCACCACCAGGTGCTCCCAGCCACACTGGTGGAAAGCAGAGCCTGTCACAGTGGGGACATTAGCTGTTGAACCTCCTGTCTCCATCTGAGCTCCTGTCCCTGCCCCAGCCCGGGGGCTTCCTGCTGCACCCAATGGAGGTGACCAGGAAGCCTGGAGGGGCACACTGAGGCCTCTGATGCTCAGAAGCCCAGCACAGATCCAGCATCTGCCGAGCATGTGTGCTCAGACCCCCACGATGGCCCCCACTGAGGGACAAGGAGGGAAGCCTGGGAAGGGCAGTGCCCAGGTGGCCCTTGCTGGGGGTGGCAGGGGGGTCAGCTCCACACTGCACACATTGTCCTGGAAGCTCTGCAGGTCACCAGCACACAGAGGTAAGCGTTGCCCACCCAGGAGCCAGACACCCAAGGAGGGCTTGCAGAGTGAGAAGACAGGCCAGAGGGTGGGGAGGGCGACACGGAGGGATGGTGCAGTAAGGGAAGGCCCCGGGAGAGAAGGAGCAGAGCAGCGGGAGGAAAGCAGGGGACAGAGTGTCATGGAAGCAAGGTACAGCTCCCGCAGTGGGGAAGAGGATTCTGAGGGTCAGAGTGGTGACCTGACTTACCCAAAGCCGGCCTTTGACGCAGAGGCCCCTGCTCCTCTTCCTGTTGAGAGAAGCCAGGAATGGGGAGGGAGAGGCAGCAGGATGAGCTGATAGCCAAGATTTAGACAGGAGGGTGGGACCAATGTGTCTGAAAAGACAGTTGAGAAAGTGATGCTATGTGGCTCTAAATTGACAAATACATGTATGGGTATTGAAGAAATTTTGAAAAATGTAGCCAAATGAAAAGACAATAAAAATCACCTCTGGTCCCACCACCTAGAGCAAACCACTAGTTCACCTCTAGCTCTGTGTCTGCCAGCTGTCTTCTGCTAAATGTGATGTTTGTAACATCCTCCTTTCCGTTAAAAATGTTTAACGGCTTTATTAAAATATAATTCACGTATCATACAATTCACCAATTCACACTGCACAATTCAGTGATGTGTATTTTTTAGTGTATTTACAGAACTGTGCAGCCATCACCACAATCAATTTTGTAACATGTTCATTATCCCCCCCAAAAACCCACATCCATTAAACACACTCCCCACTCCCTGCCCCTGCAATTTCAGGCAACGACAGATGTACATCTTTCTTTTTTTTTTTTTTTTTTTTTTTTTTTTTTGAGACGGAGTCTCCCTCTGTCACCCAGGCTGGAGTGCAGTGGTGCGATCTGGGCTCACTGCAACCTCTGCCTCCTGGGTTCATGCGACTATCCTGCCTCAGCCTCCCGAGTAGCTGGGATTGCAGGCGTGCGCTAATTTTTGCCTTTTTAGTAGAGACAGCGTGTTGCAATGTTGGCCAGGCTGGTCTTGAACGCCTGATCTCAGGTGATCCACCCATCTCAGCCTCCCAAAGTGCTGGGATTACAGGCATGAGCCACCGCGCCCAGACCATTCACCAATTTAAATGGCTCAATTCAGTGATTTGTATTTTTTAGTGTATTCAAAGAACCACGCAGCCATCACTGCAATCAATTTTGGAACATTTTCATCATCCCCCCAGAAACCCCACATCCATTAAACACACTCCCCACTCCCTGCCCCTGCGATTGCAGGCAACCACAGATCTATCTCCTCACTCAGTGGATTTGCCTGTTCTGGACATTTTACACGGACAGGATCACACAATATGTAGCCTTTTGTGTCTGGCTTCTTTCCCTAGGCACAGCGTCTCTGAGGCCCATCCATGTTGCGGAATGTGTCGGCATTTCCTTCCTTCTGTGGCTGAATAATGTTCCGTCACACGGACACTGTAGACCATGCCTTACTTATCCATGTAACTGTAGACCATGCCCAGCCCATATGAATTTTAGACTCAGCTTGTCAATTTCTGTAAAAAAGGCAGCTGAGATTTTAACAGCAATCGCATTGAAGGTGTAGATTAATTTGGGGAGTATTGTCATCTTAACAATGGTAAGAATTCTAATCCATGAACATGGGATATCTTACCATTTATTTAGGTCTTCTTTAATTTCTTTCAATAGTGTTTTGTGGTTTTTAGAGAACAAGCTTTGCACATTTTTTATTAAACTTATTTTTAAGTATTTTATTCCTTTTGATGCTATTTTAAATGGAATTGTTTTCTTTTCTTTTCTTTTTTTTTCTTTTGAGATGGAGTAACGCTCTGTCGCCCAGGCTGGAGTGCAGTGGTACGATCTCGGCTCACGGCAAGCTCTGCCTCCCAGGTTCACGCCATTCTCCTGCCTCAGCCTCCCGAGTAGCTGGGACTACAGGTGCCCACCACCACGCCCGGCTAATTTTTTGTATTTTAAGTAGAGACGGGGTTTCACCGTGTTAGCCAGGATGGTCTCCATCTCCTGACCTCGTGATCTACCCGCCTCAGCCTCCCAAAGTGCTAGGATTACTGGCGTGAGCCACCATGCCCAGCCGGAATTGTTTTCTTAATTTCCTTTTCAGATTGTTCATGGCTAGCACACAGAAATAGAATTGATTTTTGCATATTGATCTGCACCCTGCAATGTTGCTGAACTTGTTTGTTAGAACTTGTTCTAATGGCTTTTCAGTGGATTCATTAGGATTTTCTATATACCAGTTTATGTCACCTACAAATAGAGATAGTTTTACTTCTTCCTTTCCAATCTGGATGTGTTTCGTTTCTTTTCCTTGACTGATTACCCTGTCTAGAATCTCCAGTACAATGTCAAATAGAAGTGGTGAAAGCAAACATCCTGGTCTTTTCCTGATCTTAGGGGAGAAGCAGCAGTCCTTCATCATTAAGAATAATGTTAGCTGGCCGGGCGCGGTGGCTCACACCTGTAATCCCAGCACTTTGGGAGGCCGAGGCAGACAGATCACGAGGTCAGGAGTTCGAGATCATCCTGGCTAACATGGTGAAACCCCGTCTCTACTAAAAATACAAAAAAATTAGCCAGGCGTGGTGGCGGGCGCCTGTAGTCCCAGCTACTCAGGAGGCTGAGGCAGGAGAATGGCGTGAACCTAGGAGGTGGAGCTTGCAGTGAGCCGAGATTGCACCACTGCACTCCAGCCTGAGCGGCAGAGTGAGACTCCATCTCAAAAAAACAAAAAAAAGAATGATGTTAGCTGTGGCTTTTAAAAAAAAAATGCTGTTTATCAGCTGGGCGTGGTGGCTCACGCCTATAATCTCAGCACTTTGGGAGGTTGAGGTGGGTGGATCACAAGGTCAGGAGTTCAAGACCAGCCTGGCCGAGATGATGAAACCCCATCTCTACTAAAAATACAAAAAATTAGCCAGGCGCAGTGGCACGTGCTGTAATCCCAGCTACTCGGGAGGCTGAGGCAGGAGAATCACTTGAACTCGGAGGGCAGAGGTTGCAGTGAGCTGGGATCGTGCCACTGCACTCCAGCCTGGGCGACAGAGTAAGACTCCGTCTCAGGAAAAAAATCAAAAACCAAAAAACAAACAAAAAAATTGCTCTTTATCAGGTGGGAGATATTCACTTCTATTCCTACTTTGTTGATTTTTTTTTAATTATGAAAGCATGTTGGATGTTGTCAAATGTGTTTACTGCATCAGTTAAGATGATCGTGTGGCTTTGTTTTTTATCCTATTGATACGGTGTATTTCATTAACTGATTTTTGAATTTAAACCAGCCTTGCACTCCTGGGATAGGCTCCAGAAATTGGTCATGATATATAATCCTTTTCTGTGTCACTGTATTCAGTTTGCTAATATTTTGTAGAAGGATTTTTGTGTGTATATTCAGAAAGGATATTGATCTATAGCTGCATAGCTGCCTTTTTTTTTTTTTTTTTTTTTTTTTGAGACAGTCTCACTCTTTGCCCAGGCTGGAGGGTTGGAGGGCAGTGGCGTGATCTCAGCTCACTGCAACCTCCGCCCCCTGGGTTCAAGCAGTTCTCCTGCCTCAGCCTCCCTAGTAGCTGGGATTACAGGCATGCGCTACCACGTCCGGCTAATTTTTGTATTTTTAGTAGAGATGGGGTTTCACCCTGTTGGCCAGGCTGGTCTCGAACTCCGGACCTCAAGTGATCTGCCTGCCTCGGCCTCCTGAAGTGCTGGGATTACAGGCGTAAGCCGCCGCACCCGGCCTATAACTCTTTTCTTGTGATGTCGTTGTCTGATTTGGGTGTCAGGATGGTTCTGCCCCCATGGAATGAATTAGGACATGTCCCCTCCTCTTTGATTTCCTGGAAGAGTTTGTGAAGGATTGGTATTAATTCTTCCTTAGGTGTTTGGTAGAATTCACCAGTGAAGCTATCTGGTCCAGAGTTTGTTCCTTCAGGAAATTTTTAAATTATTCCTTTAATCTTGTTTATTCAGTGTTTCTGTTTCTTCTTAAGTCCATTTTGGTAGATTGTGTTTTTCTAGGAATTTGTCCATTTCAACTAACTTACCTAATTTATCCAGTTAAATGATCTAATTTGTTCAACTAAATAATTTAATTTGTTGGTATAACATGTATATTCATATTGATGAGTTCTCTGTGGCCTTTGACTTTTACCCTTGGCCCCTTATGAGGTAAACACAGGCTCCGAGGGACCCTCTAAGAACATAAGGCAGAGTCCATCCCCCATCTGCTTGCAACTCTTCCGTGAGCCCTTCTCACTCAGGGTCAAAGCCAAGGTGCCCCCCATCTCTCTGACCTCATCTCCCACTCACTCACGTGCCGTGCACTGCTCCAGCTGGCCGGCTTCTCCTCACGGTGCTGTGTGGTGGGCACACGCTTGCCTCAGGCCACCACCCTGGACTTGGCCCAGAGGGCCTTCCCTTCCCATGCACTTGACTCACTCCCTCAAAGCCTGCCAGTTTTTCACCAAACGCCAGTGCATTCATCTGCTATGGCTGCCAAGACAAAGCACCCAGGACCAGGCGGCTTGGACAACAGACACTGATTGTCCCACAGTCCTCGAGGCTGGAGCCGGAGATCAAGGTGTCAGGGCTGGTTCCTCCCAAGGTCTCTCTCCTCGGCTTGCAGACACCGCCTTCTCCCTGCATCCTCACGTGGTCATCCTTCTGTGTGTGTCTGTGTCCTCATCTGCTCCTCTTATAACACACCAGTCCTATTGGATTAGGGCCCATCCCAGGGACCTCATTTAAAATCAATTACCTTTTTAAAGACCCTCTCCTCAGATACAGACACATTCTGAGGCCCTGGGGGCTAGGACTTTAACCTCTGAATTTTGGGGGGATGCAGTTGACCCCATAACGGTCAGCATGGCGACTGTCGCCCAGGCTGGAGTGCAGTGGTGCAATCTCAGGTCACTGCAGCCTTCTGGGCTCAAGCAACCCTCCTACCCCAGCCTCCTGAGTAGCTGAGGCTATAAGCATGTACCACTACTCCTGGCTAATTTTTGTATTTCTTGTAGAGATAGGGTTTCACCATCTTGCCCAGGCTGGTCTTGAACTCCTGAACTCAAGAAATCCTCCCTCCTTGGCTTCTCAAAGTGCTGGGATTACAGGCATGAGCCACCGCGCCGGGCCGAGTTGCACTGATTTTACGGCCATGGGCTCACGCCCGTTCCTTCCTCCATCAACTGTGGATGTGAACCAGCCACCCTGGTGTGCCCTCATGGGCCGAGCTCTGACGCTTGTTACCCTGCACGTTTTCATTCACTGCTGAGGCTCCGCATTTTTTCCATGTATTTAGTAGCCATTTGCCTTTTTCTTTTGTGAGTTGTTCATGTCCTTTCCGGTTTTTAATACTGATTTATAAAGCCCTTTGTAAACGGAAGATATTAGCATTCTCTGTGGCGTACATGTAGAAATGTTTCTTTCCCAGATCGTTTGGCTTTCGGATTCATTGTGGTATTTTGGGGGCTGGGGACATTTTCCCATCTGTGTTTATTTTATTTTATTTTTTATTTTTTTGAGATAGAGTCTCACTCTGTCACCCAGGCTGGAATACAGTGGCAAGATCTCAGCTCTCTGCAACTTCTGCCGCCTGGGTTCAAGTGATTCTCCCGCTTCCGCCTTCCAAGTAGCTGGGATTACAGAGATCTGCCACCATGCCTGGCTAATTTTTGTGTTTTCAGTAGAGATGGGGTTTCGTCATGTTGGCCAGGATGGTCTCGAACTCCTGACCTCACGTGACCCACCGACCTCAGGCGATCCGCCTGCTACGGCCTCCCACAGTGCTGGGATTCCAGGCGTGAGCCACTGCGCTCGGCCTTCCATCTGTGATGTCGGAGCTCATGGCCTCCCTCTCTGCAGCTCAAGTGCAGCAGGGGCCTCGGGCTGTCGCTCCAGGTCAGGGCTCTCCTCGCTGTTGAGCTCTCATCTAGGGCTGGGCCCCGAGTGGTTCTGTGCGGGTCCCGGCTGTGGCTCCGTGGACCGTCTGCCTATGTGCAGCCCGCCAGGTCCTCCTGATGATTTAACAGAGAAGCCCAGAGGTGCCCCAGGCTGCTGCTTGTGTAACCTGAGGTCACATAAGCTGGGATGCTACGAAGGTGCCACAGGGGCCCTGAGAGGCGAGGAGGGAGGGGTGTGGGAGAAGAGGCTTGAGGGGATGGGAGGTGCATGGTGGACGGAGGCCAAGAACCCAGCAGGACCCGGAGGCTCCTCGGGCCGGGCCCTGCCTCACAGGCGCCAGTCCCGTATCCCCAAGGACACGATCCTGTCCGCCGGGCTCACCAGGTGGGTCACTGGCCACCCACCGTCGAGGGGACCAGAGCAGATCCCAGAGCTGTGTCTGGCAGCCTTACTCTCTGCTGTGAAAATGATAACCTTTGTGAGGGCCAAGTGCTGCCCACCTGCGTCACCCCCTCAATACCCCCAGCTCACCCTGGGGCACCCCAAGTGAAAGCTCCACTCTCTTCCCAGCTGGGCTGGCCGCTACCCCATCCCCTGGACTCAGGGTGCGGGAAGGAGAGCTGAGGGGGTGGGAGGCGCTGGGAGCACCCCGTGGCCAGTCCCCACTGCCCACCCTTGCTGGGTCGTGCTGAGGCGGCTCCCAGAACCTCTGTCTGCTGGGGTTGGAGGGCCCAGCCTCTGTAGCCCAAGGGTGACGGTTCCTGCCCACTCTTTGGGCAGCTGAGGAGGGAAACAGGGGTGCAAGGGGGCTCGGAGTCTGTGTCTGCCTCTCATTAGCACAGGCTGTGCTGGAGAAAGATGGGGGCCTTGTTCCTGGGTGGCTCCGAGGCCAAAGGGCCCAAGTCCCAGGGGGCAGGACCCAGCCACAGGCTGCAGAAAGACCTTCCAGGGACTCAGAGGTGGGCAACCGCCCTGGGGCCCCAGGAGGCTCAGCCCAGCCTGGGTGGGGCTTCCGTACATGGGTGGGAGGGAGTGGAGGGGTCAGATGTCTGGGAGCGTAGGAACCTTCAGACCCGGCCTCAGATGAAAGCCCACAGCTCTGCCTGCTGCCCGTGAGAGCCCCTGCAGTTCCCCTCCTCGCTAGGTATCCATCAGCCGTGAGCAAGGAGGAGGTGGGGGTATAGAAAGCCCGAGAGCAGGCTGCGGGGGGCGGGGGGAGGGCTGCGCAGTGCAGCATGTATTCGCCCATTCTCGCGCCACTATAAAGAATCACCTGAGACTGTGTACTTGATACAGAAAAGAGGCTGAATTGGCTCACGGTTCTTCAGGCTGCAGGGGAAGCCTGATGCTGGTGTCTGCTTGGCTTCTGGGGAGGCCTCAGGAGACTCTCAATCGTGGCGGAAGGCGAGGGGAAGCAGGCTGGTCTAACCTGACAGGAGCAGCAAAAGAGTGAGCGGGAGCTGCTGCATCCTTAAACACCCAGAGCTAGAGAGAACTCAGGCCGGGTGGGGAGGACAGCACCCAGGGACGGCACTAAAATCGCCCCCCACCAGGCCTCACCCCCAACTCTGGGGATTACAATTCCACCTGAGATTTGGGCGGGGACACAGAGCCAAACCGTATCAGTGCAAACGTACTGAATGCTCCCAAACTGTATACACTTAGAATGTGTCAGGTGGTGCCTTTTATGTATATTTCAGAACAATTTTTTAAATGCTTAAACAAGCTGGGAAAAACATGGGGGTCACATTCTTAAAAGTGGGGTTTTTCCCACTTTCCCCTCCATGGACTTCTGGGGGCTGCACCAGGCTGTCTCTAGCTGGTGCTGGGTGCAGGGTGGGAGGGGCAGGAAGGAAGGCGTCATCTCCGAGGGGCTCCCAGGTGCAGGCTGGATACTTTTGGAGCATGAATCCCATTCCTCAAGAGGAACAGGCCGAGTCCACACAACCAGCATCGTGGTGGTTAACCGGAGCGGAGTGAGGAGGGACAATGGGCCCCACCCGCAAAGGAGGAAAGAGGGGAGGCCACGCCTGACATCAGGCTTACTAACAAAGCACGGCATGCCGAGGCCACAGGAGCCCAGGAGGCCACTCTCCTCCCTCCTGTCCCTTCCTGAGATAGCCACGAAGAAGTGATGTAGAAAGAAACTGTGTCCAAAGCAATTGAGCCGAAAATGCACCATGAGGAGCCTCCACCTCTGACCGATAACAGGAATATGAAGACGGAATGGTGTTTATAGTCTGGTGAATTGTGGCTTAACATTCCATGAATTTTTAGCATGACTGTCTTTGTATTTATTTGTTTAATGAAATATGGCTCTCGAGACCATGGCGAGGTCCCCGCTGGGGAACAGCCACCACGGCCGCAGGGGTGCCCCAGCCCTGCCTTCCCATCCACCTGCACCTCGCCTGTAGTGAGACCGTTTATTTACGATTTCAATTTGTTTTTTATCATTACTATTATTTGTTTTTCAGATTTAGGAGAAGTACATCAGACATTCTCTCACCCCCAGAACAGGGCCACACAGCCCCACTGCACAGGAACAGAGCTTTCCTCGGATGCAAGGAGAAAGATAGCTCATAATTACACTGAACGTTAATAATTAAAGTTAATACGGCTCGATGGGTTGAGCCCGTATTTCTTGAAATGTGCCTGTCCATCGCTAGGCAACCCTGCGTGACAATTCCTCATGCCTAAAAGGCTGGTAGATTTCCAGTTTTGTAAAGTTATTGTTTTCTGTGAAATCTGCGTTTAATAAGAGATTTTCTCTTGGTTCTCCAGATCCCCCTCAATACCAGGACTGGTCGCCTGATCTTCTTTTACTGAGACAGGGTCTCTCTGTCACCCAGGCTGCAGTGCCTGGTGCGATCTTAGCTCACTGCAGCCTCGACTTCCTGGGCTCAAGCCATCCTCCCACCTCAGCCTCCCAAGCAGCTGGGACCACAGGTGCATGCCACCACGCCCTGCTAATTATTACTATTATTATTTTATATTTTTTTATTTTTATTTTTATTTTTATTTTTGTAGAGATGAGGTCTCCCTATGTTGCCCAGGCTGGTCTCGACCTCCTGGGCTCAAGTGAGCCTCTCTCCTTGGCCTCTGAAAGTGCTGGGACTGCAGGCGTGAGTCACCGCGCCCGGCTCCATCACTTGACCTTGACCTGTCTCTGGTGTGAGGCCATCTGTGGCTGGGGGTGTGGCCATCTGGCATACGTTGCGCTGGTTCCCTGGAGAAACCTTTGTCCTATCCACCATCCCAAAGAGCCGTGGCTCTTGGGTCTCCAGCCCCTTCTGTGAATGAGCCCCACAAAAGGTTCCTGCCTCCCTGTAGGGGAATGGGGTCTGTGGGTCACCCCCACCCCGAAGGCAGCTCTGCAGCATCCCTGAAGCTGGGCACTTTTGGACAGAGACTCCCTGTAGCCAGACCCCCATGGGGTAGCCTGGGATTAGGGTGAGCTCAGGTATGGGGGAGCCTAGGATTAGGGTGAGCTCAGGGTAGGATTAGTCATCTTTTCTGGCCACCTGAAGGTGAAGCCTCCCAATGGTTGGGTGCAGTCGCTGGGACCCCGTGTGAAATCCTGGAGGCCCCTTTGCTGAGGGAGGCCATGGTTGGGCCTCAGTGCAGTGGCTGGGACAGGGCGGCGGCAGTCACTGAGGGGCTGATCCCAGAGGGCCCGGTTCCCACAGGGGAGGGAGGAAGGCCCACCCTGGTACAGCAGCTGCAGGTGCAGTGGCGCTAGGGAAGACTCCCTCCATGGGCCTGTTGGCCCTCAAAGGGTTGAGTCCTTCGTCCTTCCCTGACGCTCCCTGGCCTGGAGCCTGTCCTCCTTCTCTGTTCCTCAGCCGGCGCCAGCCCGACGTGGAGCCGCAGCAGGGCGGGTACAGAGCCTGATGGGCCAGCCCAACCCGAGGGGAGGCCAAGGGCACTGCAGGCCGCCAAGGTCGGCCGCTCCCTTGGTCTCTCCCGCACCTGCCGCACCTCTGCTCCCGGGACTCCCGTGGTCCCCAAGGCCCCCTTGGCCCCTGTGCACAGAGCTCCCTGCTCTGTGTCCCGTGGCCTCCCCTCAGGCTCGGGGCCCCCAGCTCCCCCCACCATCCCTTCCCCTTGCTCCCTCCCGGGCTCCTCCATGACTCCTCCCACCCGGCCCCCTCCTGTGGGTGTTCTGGGGTCTCTGGTCTGCAGCCCCTCTCCCCTCTCCTGTCTCCCGCACGAGGTCCCATGCACTCTTGGTGAAGATCCCAGCCCCACCTGGATCCTCCGTCCCGGCCCCTGCTGAGGGGAACAGCCCCTGTCACTGGCTCCTTGGCATCAGCATTGGTCTTTTATGTCTCCCTGCTCTTGACCCTCTAATACGGAAACCACAGCTGGGGTTAGAGGGGAGAGGATACAAATTCTCAGGCTGGGGAGCAGGGGCCCCCCGGGAGGACGGCCAGAGCCAGGCTGGCCCCAACTATGCAGGCGAAAGCACATGGAGGGCGGGTGTCACCGATGCCGTCCTGCATCGGCTGCATCGTGTCCCCCAGATTCATGCGTCAAAGTCCTGACCCCCAGGACGTCCATGTGGTTGCATTTGGAGGTAGGGCCTTTCAAAGGGGAATTTTGTTAAAATGAGGTCTTTGGGGCAGGCCCTGTTCTGGTCTTCTCCCCGTAAGAAGAGGAGACTTGGACACTTCCCCCCCGCCCGCCCCCCGGGGAGCCTGTGCACAGATGGACAGCCCCGTGAGGAGGCGGGGAGAGGTGGTGTCTGCAGGCCTACGACAGAGGCCCCGGGAGAGCCCTGTGGTGCTGTGGTCTCCACTTTCCCAACTGTCCGAGCAGGTGAGAGTACCCTCAGCACCTTCCCGCCGCTGCCCAGCCCTGGGTGTGCTGCTGTCTAGTGATGGCAAGAACGCCCAGTGCCACCCTCAGAGGCTTACAAGCCTCCAGGGCAGGCTGCATCCAGCTGTCAAGCAAGGCCAGGGCGCAGGGCCGGGGATGTGGGGTGAGTCGCTGTCCCCCGCTCCCTCCAGCCCCACCAGTCCCCGCCAGCTTCCCTCCAGTCCCTGGTGGTGCCTTCCACGGACACAGGTGCACACGTCAGAGGTGGCCACGGGCCTGGTGTAGGCCAGTGGGACGGGCAGAGCGGTGAGGCACTGGTTCCCAGCTGGACCCGCGAGGTGCTGTGTGCTCCACAGTCACCTGGGGACGGCAGGTCTCGGGGGCTTCCCCAGATGGGACTCGGAGCAGAACAATCCCCAGCCCTGGCCACGGCCGTCCTTGAGCCTGCTCCATTGCCCTGTATGGCACCGGGTGACCGAGGCTCCAGCAGTGCTCTCTCCCCTCGGCACCACCCATGACAGCACACAGGGTCCAGCTGCCGAACGCCTTGGTCCAAGGTTTGTATGCCTTGGTCCCCGACACATGCAGGGACTGCTGGCCTCATTGCCACTGCCTGGCCGAACCCAAAATGCACAATGACCCCAGCCCACGTTGGCTTCGACCAGCCCCCCAGGGCCGGGCAGTGGGACCCATGCCTGGGACTCCTGTGCCTCGGGGGAGCCAGGAGGCCCCAAGGCCCCAGGCCGAGCTCCCGACTGCCTGCACGGCCCTGCTGCCCCATGGGCTGCCCTGGGACCCTGGGTGTGGGTCTGGGGACAGATTCAAGTCCATCTCTGCTGTGAGTGTCTGTGCTGCCCAAACGAACGGGAGGATGGACTGAGGGCACAGAGGGGACCCTGCCGGGTGTCTGTGGGCCTGAAGGTGCTGCAGCACCCGTCGTCCAGCGTGGAGGGCAGCGGGCGGGGGGAGGGTCGGCGAGAGGTCATGGGAGGTCAGGGCCCCCCACCAAGCCCCAGTGCCTGCCTGGCAGAGTCCCCCACACACTCAGGGCGGCCAAGGAGGACCCCCAGACAGGATGAGCCTCACCGCCCCTCCTCCTCCTCCTCCTTCCCTTCCTCCCCCTCGTTGCTTGTCCCTGGAGAACTTAGCTGGGCTGGGCCGCAGGTGACATACAGCTCCTCCATGGGGCTCATGGGGGCAGGGGGGCCCCACCTCTTGCTGAGTGGCAGGGCTGGAAGGAACGGGTGGGACCAGAAGTGTCGCTGAGGCCACTCTGGGAACCCATGACGGGCCACACCAGCGCCATCCCCTGCTGACCTGGGTTCCCCTCGCTCCTGCTTCCAGGGCTGTCTTGAGTCCCTTTCTTGCCACAGGCCTCCCACACCCGTCCAGAGCACGGCCAGCTTTCTCCCATCCCAATAGCTTTGGGGACCCCAGGCAGGAAGCTCCTGGAGCCTGGCGCCGCCTCTCCCACCCAGCCACCCCACGCTGGACTGCTGGGTCCTCAACCCCAACCCCATTCCACCATTGCCTCCCTTCCTGCAGCCCTGGAGGGTACAGTGCCCAGACCCTGGTACGCAGCTGGGGCCTGAGCCGCAAAACCTCGTGCTACAGCGGCTCTGAGACGCCTCCTGCCTCCTTCTGGTCCTCCATGAAATGACCAGAGCAGCAGGTGTGGGAAGTTCCAGCCAGTTCACCCCTCCCTGATCTATTGCTGAGTTCCCTGGGTGAAGGCTGGGACCTTCTGCTGTGGCTCCCCTGACCTCTCCACCCCGGCGTCCGCACTCCACTGGCCAGTAGGTCCCCATTCAGCCCTTCCCTGGATGCCACCTCCTCTCCCTTCCCTTCCCTGTCCTCCGCAGCACACACACACATGCCCTCACACACATCTCCGCCCTCCCTGGCACGCACACAGGTGCCCTCGCACACCTCCGTCCCGTTCTCCCTGGCACACACAGGTGCCCACACACGCCTCTGAGGTCTGGCCAGGGGGCATGGGATCCCCTCCTCTGGGAAGCCCCTGGGACTCCTGCAGGGCCACATGTCCACCCCGGACTCCAAGGGCTGCACGTGCCCAGTGAGTGTCGGCTCCACTCAGGGCTGAGTCGATGAGCTTGGCCAGGAGCTCCTCAGTGACCCCCGCCTCCCACCGGGAGGGTCGCCCCTGGGTTCAGCTGGAGCCCACGTCAGCTCCCAGCAGGTGGGCTTGGAGGCCGTGGGTGCAAGAAGGTGACTGCTCACCCAGCTCCCGTCCCCGACGCACGTGCATGATTTGTTTTGCAATTACATCATCTGTCGAGTTGATTTCATGTGGGTCCTTGCTGCTCCCCCAACTCGACTGTAAACCCCGTGACACCAGGGACCTGGCACCTCCTCTGCCATTCGCAAAGTTAATAATGATGATTTGTATCTGAACCAAACTCTGAGTTTCCTAAAACCATTCACAAAGTTAATTATGATGATTTGTGTCTGAACCAAGCTCTGAGTTTCCTAAAACCCGTTCACCCAAATTATTCTACTCACCAAATCAGCCTTGCACAAGGGGCTTAGTGTCCCCAAGGTCACAGGTGAGAGGCATGAGGCTCAGGGTCACTCAGCATCTAGGCCATGGCTGCAGGAGGAGAGATGGAGAGGCGGGCACTGCTTACCCAGAGGGCAGCCACAGAGGCCAGCCTGGCTGGGGAGGCAGACGCAGGGCAGGGTGACCCTGCAGTAAGAGGTCACGTCCAGTCCCGCCAGGGCCCAAGGCCACTTTCCAACAGGGTGGAGGAGGCTCCAGGTGGCTTTGGGTCAACAGAACACAGGGGCGTTTGGGGCAGGGTGAAATGGGTGTTGCGGGTGGGCGAGCAGGGACCCAGTACAGCCCTGAGTGCCACGTGGAGCTGAGGTAGGGGCAGGACTTGGTGACAGAGGCCAGGCTCTGACACCGGACCAGATTGAGGACTAGGTAAAACAGGGCAGGGTGAAAGCAGCTTTCCAATCAGACCTGCCCTCCGCCGTGCCAGGTCAATTTACCGTTGACGTGGCAACACCCAGGCCTTGCCGCCCTTTCCACAGCAACGACCTGATGGCCCAGAAGTTACTACCACTTCCCTAGAAATTTCTGCATGAGCCACTCTTTAAAGTGCATGCAATTACAAGTGGGTATAAACGTGATGCAAACGGCCCTGAGCAGCTGCTCTCTGCCTGCTCGCCCTTGGATTCTTTCCTGGGCAAAGCCAAGAATCCCCAAGGGCCAAGCTCCACGCTGGGGCTCACCTGCCCTGCATCAGAAGGGCTGGGACACGACCATCACACACAGCCTGGCTGGGAGCGGGGTCTCCATCTCCCAGTGTGGGGGGGCCTCCTGGTACCCCCACCCCTGGGTCCTGGCAGAGGTCCACCATGCCCAGAGAACACTGTCCAATGCCAACCTTTCAACCATGTGGACATCTGTGCTGTGGCCATGACACGACGTGTGCTCCCATGTTCCATTTACACCCAGAAAGAGGGGGCAGGGTTCCACAGGTGGTGTTTCCGGGAGCAAGTCTGTCTATCATGGGCTCCAGAACGCCTGTCAAGTTATTGATCTTTTTCCTTCTTGTTTGTTGTCTACCGGAGGAAGTGAGTTAAGATTTCCAATGACAAGGCCAGGCACGGTGGCTCACGCCTGTAATCCCAGCACTTTAGGAGGCCAAGGCGGGTAGATGCCGAGTTCAGGAGATTGAGACCATCCTGGCTAACACAGTGAAACCCCATCTCTACTGAAAATACAAAAAAATTAGCCAGGCATGGTGGCAGGTGCCTGTAGTCCCAGCTACTCAGGAGGCTGAGGCAGGAGAATGGCATGAACCCAGGAGGCGGAGCTTGTAGTGAGCCGAGATGGCGCCACTGCACTCCAGCTTGGGCGACAGAGTGAGACTCTGCCTCAAAAAGAAAAAAAAAGATTTCCAGTGACAAATGTGGCTTTATCAACTTCATTTAGCTCACAGGTTTGTCTTAAAATCAAGAGGGAAAACATCACAGACAGTGAGATGCAAAGGTTTTCAGTGCATACGATTGCGTGGGTTGTGGCGGAGCCACACTCCCATGTGCCCAACATGTCCCTTGAGGGAACCAGGAATGTCGTCACCACTAGCCCCAATGCCCCCTCACCCGCTCCAGCCTCCCCTCCGTGGGCAAACGCAACCCCAACTTCTATTACCCCGGGCCCATTTTGCCGACTCTTGGATTCCACAAAAGTGAAATCAAACTGTGTGTTGTCTTTTGTGTCTGGCTTCTTTCACAGGTGGTAACGCCTTTAAAATGTGGATTAAATCTATTTTGCAGCTTTATGTTGTTGGGAGCAAGCCTCCCAAAATCTGGCCATAAACTGGCCCCAAAACTGGCCATAAACAAAATCTCTGCAGCACTATGACATGTTCATAATGGCCCTAACGCCCAGGCTGGAAGGTTGTGGGTTTATGGGAATGGGGGCAAGGAACACCTGGCCCACCCAGGGCGGAAAACCGCTTAAAGGCATTCTTAAGCCACAAACAATAGCATGAGCGATCTGTGCCTTAAGGGCGTGTTCCTGCTGCAGTTAACTAGCCCAACCTATTCTTTTAATTTGGCCCATCCCTTCGTTTCCCATAAGGGATACTTTTAGTTAATTTAGTATCTATAGAAACAATGCTAATGACTGGTTTGCTGTTAATAAATACGTGGGTAAATCTCTGTTCGGGGCTCTCAGCTCTGAAGGCTGTGAGACCCCTGATTTCCCACTTCACACCTCTATATTTCTGTGTGTGTGTCTTTAATTCCTCTAGCGCCACTGGGTTAGGGCCTCCCAGACTGAGCTGGTCTCGGCATTATGCAGATACAATGGAAGTCCATGCTATTAACACAGAACCAATGGTTACCACACGAATTCATTTCAGGTGAAGTTAACTCTTTTTCACTACAGTGGAATGCGCATAACATAAAATTTACCATTGTAAATGCATGCAGTTTTAAAGTGCACAGTTTAGTGCCATTAGATACATTCACATTGCTGTGCACCTGTCACCACCATCATCATCTCCAGAACTTCTTCAGCTTCCCAAACCGAAGCTGTCCCTGATACATTCACGTTGGTGTGCACCTGTCACCACCATCATCATCTCCAGAACTTCTTCAGCTTCCCAAACCAAAGCTGTCCCTGATACATTCATGTTGGTGTGCACCTGTCACCACCATCATTATCTCCAGAACTTCTTCAACTTCCCAAACTGAAGCTGTCCCTGATACAGTCACGTTGGTGTGCACCTGTCACCACCATCATCATCTCCAGAACTTCTTCAGCTTCCCAAACCGAAGCTGTCCCTGATACATTCACATTGGTGTGCACCTGTCACCACCATCATCATCTCCAGAACTTCTTCAGCTTCCCAAACCGAAGCTGTCCCTGATACATTCACGTTGGTATGCACCTGTCACCACCATCGTCATCTCCAGAACTTCTTCAAGTTCCCAAACTGAAGCTGTCCCTGATACATTCACGTTGGTGTGCACTTGTCACCACCATCATCATCTCCAGAACTTCTTCAGCTTCCCAAACTGAAGCTGTCCCTGTCCCCATGGAAGACTGACTCCCATCCTCTCTGCCAGCCCCTGGTGCCCACCATCCACTTCCTGTCACTGGGGATTTCACTGCTCTGGGTTCCTCATATACGGGGAAGCTTATAGGATTTATCCTTTGCTGAATGGCTTCTTTGATTCAGCATAATGTCCTCAAGGTTCATCCATTTTGTAGCCTGTGTGAGAATTAATTTCTTTCCTTTTATTTTTTTTCTTTTTTAGAGACAGGAGAGATCATAGCTCACTGCAGCCTCAACTTCCTGGGCTCAAGCTATCCTCCTGCTTCAGTCTCCTGGGTAGCGGGGACTACAGCAAATTTTTTAAATTGTTTTTTGTAGAGACGGGGGTCTCATTATGTTGCCCAGGCTGGTCTCAAACTCCTGGCCTCAAGCCATTCTCCTGCCTCAGCTTCCCAAAGAGCTGGGATGACAGGCGTGAGCTGCAGGATTTCCTTCCTTTTTAAGGATGAATAACATTCCCTGCTATGGGTAGATCACACTTTGTTTCATTCATCAACGTCCGTTTTGCAGAGGCCCCTGCAGTCATTGGCAGCAGTGTACCTTGGCTTCTGGAGTCAGTTTGAGAATCACCCTGAGGTGCTACAAGCAGCTGGGATCACTGGGGTGGTTTCTAGCCATGTCAGTGGTACAGTTATCAGGGGGCAATGGATGCTACCCTTCTATCCCTGCACTTCCAGATCTCCTGAAATAACCTTCAGTCCCCAAAGTTCTCAACATTTCTGTAAGCCTAGAGTTCCCTGCAATGAATCTCCTTCTACCCAAAATACCTAGAGTGACTTTAGTGTTCCCGACCAACCATTCCTGGTACCAGCAGTGTTTCCAGGAAGGCAGAACCTTGAAGATGGGAATCTGGAGTTAGTAATTGGACAGACCAGGTTTTGTCTGATGTCAGTGAGGACCACGTGAGGAGTGGGAAGCAGGATGCAGATAATCTATAAACATTGTCACTGGTAAAATCATTACCTTGAGGTCTCTGCGATGCAGTGCCCATCACAAGCCTGGGTTTCAGACACCAGGGGGCTCTTGCAATAGGACATTAGGATGTGGATGGAAACCATGCATACAAGGATGTGGCATGGGGTGGCTGCTGCTTATTGCACTGGGGAACTGACAAAGAAAATGACAAGCTGTGGCCTTAAGTGCTCAGCTGAAGGTATAGACAGAGAACCAGAGCCCTTCTATAGCTGTCCTAAAAAAACCATTTTAGTTCTTGTAGCTGTAGAGTCAACTTTTTTTTTTAAATGCAGAGTACAAATTTGATCTTGCAGGCTAATGAATTACAACTAAAGAATAATTAAATGTCTTACTAAATCTCTTAAGTCAAAGTTAAGGCATTTATTTGGAAAGAATGAGACCTCGAGAACTGGAGAGGGTGGATTTCTCTGACTCTGAGTCCCCTGAACATTAGACCTTCCTGAGTCTCCCTGTAAGCAGAAGTGACTCTTCCTTAGAGTCTGAGGTGAGTAAAACTGTGCCCAAAGATCTGTGATGGCTTCACTTGAGGAAACAGCCTTGCAAGATGACAGATCTCCCTTGAGATCCACCTCCACCGACCCTCATTATTCCCAGAGCCATGACTAGAGTTGGGTGCAGAGGGATAAACACACAGTGAGACCCAAGAGGAGCCACATACACACTGAATGCAAGTTTTTGCCAATTTACATCAGCAGAAACCCAGGGGCGTCTGAGGCCGTGGACTCTTGGAGTGTTGGACCACAAAGGAGGTAACAGAATGTTAGATCAGGGTAGTTTTACCAATGAGACTCACACAGCAGAGACTCACTTAGCAGAGAAGTGTGCAGAAGCAGTGGCTGGAAGTGGTTCTCATAGTTTGTTCCGTTGTTTGACAGAAGCTTGCACACCACGTGAAATGAAGTGAGCTGTCAGAACTTCCTCCATACAACGGAGAGGAAAGGAGGCAAAAGCACAGACGTGGCAACGTTAGAGGATTTATCGCATGGCCCTGTTCATCCATCCCAGCAATGCATCCTGGGAGAGAAAGGCGTGGCAATATGCTGATGGAGGGCACCGCATCTTGGAAGGCTCTGTGGACCAAGATAGTGGTGCAAGTTGCTCTCATTGAACAGGCTGCCTGAGTGTTGGCAACCAGGTAGCAGCTCCAGCACAATGGGGTGTCCTGGTCTCAATGGGTGACAGGGCCAGGGCAGCAACTGTGTCCTTCACCCTGTAGGACTTTGGGGAATGTCTAACTGATTGAAGTGTCCCCAGGACTAAAACACGTAAGTAGCCTGCCAAAGTGTTCTCTGGTCTCTGTCTTAGTCTGTTTGGGCTACCATAACAAAAATATCATTAAAGATCTGGGTGGCTTATAAATGACAGAAACATGTCTCACAGTTCTGGAGGCTGGAAGTGCAAGACCAAGGTGCCAGCTGTGTTTGGTGGAGGCCAGTTTCCTCTCAGACAGCAACTTCCGGCTGCACCCGTACATGGGGCAAACAAGGCTCCCATGGGCCCCTTTCATAAGGGCACCAATCCATTTATGAGGGCTCTGCCCCCATGACCTTGCCACCTCTTGAAGGTCCCACCTCCCAACACCATCACCTTGGTGATTAGGTTTCAATACCTACCTTTCGAGGAGGACACAAGCATTCAGACCATGGCAATCACTGTAAGTGACAAAACCCTGTAGGTCTGGTGAACAGAGAAATGGCGTCAGCCAGCATGGTGGAGAATCCTGGCTTTTCCCCATATCCCAGAACTGAGCAGCTCAGAACCCCTGAATGCCGGGGGACCAGACCTCCTTACAGAAGGGCTCTGAGATACCACTGGCCCCACGATTGTGGGCCAGTCAGAGCGGGTGGGATGCTCGGCTCAGAGGTGCTGCCTAGCCATTCTCCAGGGCGAACTGTTTCCTTCCTTCCATCTGCAGCCACGCTGCCAAAGGGCTGCAGACTTCTTCAGAGAAATCTAGGAGAAAGATTTACAGTGCATACTGGCAACGGTATCCTGGATTCCTCTTTTTTTGTTTGTTTGTTTGAGACAGAGTCTTGCTCTGTCGCCCAGGCTGGAGTGCAGTGGTGTGATCTTGGCTCATCGCAGCCTCTGTCCCCCAGGTTCAAACAATTCTCCTGTCTCAGCCTCCCGAGTAGCTGTGACTGCAGGCGTGCGCCACCATGCCCGGCTAATTTTGTATTTTTAGTAGAGACAGGGTTTCACCATGTTGACCAGGCTGGTCTCAAACTCCCAACCTCAGGTGATCCACCCGCCTCAGCCTCCCAAAGTGCTGGGATTACAGGTGTGAGCCACTGTGCCCAGCCGATATCTCAGCTTCCTATCACATCGTTTTGCTTCACCTCTTTGGCCTGTGAAGGACAGAGGTGGATTTTGGAGAGTGACTGTGGATGGCTGCAAACACAATCGGGTGGGGACTCCAATTGCATCTGCCCCTCCAGATGTACCTCGTGTGATGGAACACCCAGCCATGGCTTCCATGAGGAAACTCATCTGACCAACGTTTCCTTCCACACACAACAGCTGAGCCACAGGGGAAGGCTACTTTCACCTGGCAGGGACAGCAATACACCCCGGCTCGTGCTTCTCAGAACTGTGCCCATCGTCCATCCCTTTGTCAAAATATAGACCTCAGGGCCCTTGACCATCTCAGTCCTGGCCATCCCATGGGACAAAGTGCCAGTTCACTATGCCGATGGTGTAATGGAGATCAGACCTGGTGGCAGGAAGTAGTAAATACTCTAACTGTCTTAGTAAGGCCCTTTCGTGCCTCCATAGTAGGAGACGCACCTCACAAAATGAAGGATTCTGTCATTTCAGTGAAATTTCTAGACATCCTGTGGTCTGGGATATATGAAGATATGTGCCCCCAGCCAGGCATGGGCTCACACCTGTCATCCCAGCACTCTGGGAGGCCATGGCAGGAGGATCGCTTGAGCCCAGGAGTTCAAGGCTGCAGTGAGCTGTGATGGCACCACCACACTCCAGCCTGGGCAACAGAGTGAGACCTTGTCTCAACAATAATGATTAATAATAATAATAATAAGATACTTGACCCAACTTCCTGTTCTTTGCACTAAGAAGGTGGCACAATGCTGCTTGGTAGGCCTTTTTAGACCCCAGAGAGCTCATGCACCATATTGAAGCAGGCTGCTTCGACCATATGGAAGCCTCCGAGGCTGTCAGTTTTGAAGGGGCCTACAGCAGCAGAAGGCTCTGTAGCAGGTCCAGGCTGCCATCAGGCACCTCTGCACGCGTGTCTCAGCAAATCAGACGGTGACAACAGGTCCGTGTCAGACAGGGATGCCGTGTGGAGCTTCCGACAAACCCTTCAGAAGAATCCCAGCTCAGCCACCCAGCGTTTTGGAGAAAAATCATGCCCTCTTCTGAAAGTAACCATTTTCCTTTGGAGACCCAGCTCCTGGCTTTCCACTGGGCCTCGGAAGAGATGGAAGTGTCAGATGACCACGTGACCTACCGGTCATGAATGAGGCAATGCAAGATTCACCAAGCATTAAAGCTTACCGTTCCCAGCATCCCTCCACCGTCACTTGGGGTGGAGACTATGGCACAGTCTCTGGGAGGGCCTGGGACTGCACTCCTCCCACTCGTTCAGGTGGCCGCCCATCTGTGCCATGCACCCACGTCCACGGCACCCAGGCCCACGGCACCCAGGCCCACAGCACCCACGTGCACAGCACCCACGTCCACAGCACCCAGGCCCACAGCACCCACACCCAGACATTGCCATTTCTCCCTCCACAAGCACCAGTGCCTTCCAGGGCAATTCCCAGCCACCAGGGGAGTGAGGAATCAAACACTCACACTCAGTTTCCAGGTAGGTCCAGACAGTTCCAGACAACACTGGCACCAGCTGAGAGCACACGGGGCAATGCTGCAGCCTCATCTGGGGATGGCCCTGTAGGGAGGCAGGACAGGGGCGTCGTCCTAGCGAGCAGCGCTTGGGGCGGCCTCACTGGCTGTGTCCTGTGCCTGGACAAGAGGACAGGACCAGACCTCTTCAGGGGATGTGGCTAACGGTTTGCCGGATGGTCCGGGACTTGGAAGCCATCTGTTTGAAAGGTTGATGA
This sequence comes from Homo sapiens, assembly GCF_000001405.40. NCBI lineage: Eukaryota > Metazoa > Chordata > Mammalia > Primates > Hominidae > Homo > Homo sapiens. The sequence continues at coordinate 1,360,542 of NC_000011.10, read as the reverse complement.
CAAGGAGGCTGGGGAGAGACTTGTGGACGAACCTTTCCAGAGGGGCACAGGACGTGGGGATATTTGCGTGTCCACGGAGGAGGCTCATCACAGCCAGCTGAACACACGGCTTGTTTTGGGGATGTCACCAGCCACCCCAGGCATGCTTGATGGCTCCTGGGCAGTGCCCACAGCAGTGAGCATGGAAGCTGCGCCCAGCCTCAGACATGGGCCCCCCACCACGGCCAAAAGCCCAACAACCAACAGCAGAGAGCCAGAGCTGTGGGCCTGAAACTGCACTGTTCCCCACGGGATGAGCCGGTCACGGGGGGAGGTTGGTTTCACTGGACCCCTCCATCAGGGAGGGTGCAACGATGTGTCCCGGTTGGAATAGACGCTTCCTCTGGACATGAGTTTCTGTCCCTGGTCATGGCACTTCTGCCGACACCACATGCAGAGTCTGAGCAGCTGTCATGGTCCTCCACAAAGCATTAGCTGCGACCCAGGGCCCCATTCCACAGAGGAAAGGGAGAGAAAGGGCTCAGGCCCATGCGTTCCCTTGCTGTACCTGGGCCACGTCACCCCCATCATGGGCTGTTGAAGGCTCACTTGTGTGACAATGTGTGACAGCTGTCTACAGGACGAGGCCTCTGGAGGGTGTGGTCCCACAAGGTGGGCCAGGTCCATGTGTGATGTTCTCCCAGAGCCGGGACACGTAGGCCCAGGGTGGTTCCCTGCACCATGGCCCTAGTGACGCACCGGCTAAGCCCATGCTCCCCGCGTCAGCACGTCTGGGTTTTGCAGGTGCTGAGGTGGTGCGGAGTATTCACGTCACACACACGCTTCCCCTGAAGGGGACGCCTGGACAGCCACAGGCCCAGGAGTCCTCTTGCCACCAGAGCAGTAGACCTCCTGCTGGGGCAGCGGGCTCAGGCGGCCAAGGACAGTCAGGACGGCTCCTTCAAGGGAGCAGCGGGAGGAGGCTGAGCCTGGAGTCTCCCCAAGACCACCTGGAAGCCAAAGTTCATGAATGACATTTTGTTGTTTTTATGTTTTGCTATTTTTTTTTTTTTGAGACAGAGTCTCGCTCTGTCGTCCAGGCTGGAGTGCAGTGGTGTGATCTCAGCTCACTGCAACCTCTGCCTCCTGGATTCAGGTGATTCTCCTGCCTCAGCCTCCTGAGTAGCTGGGATTACAGGCGCCCGCCACCACGCCTGGCTAATTTTTGTATTTTTAGTAGAGACGGGGTTTCACCATGTTGGCCAGGATGGTCTCAAACTCCTGACCTCAGGTGATCCGTCCGCCTCGGCCTCCCAAAATGCTGGGATTACAGGCATGAGCCACTGCGCCCGACCATGGATGGCATTTTGGAACAACCCCAAAGAAAAGGACGAATAACGGCTCAGTCCCTTTGAGAACACAATGGCTATGGAGCCACGGACAGGACACCGTGCCGTGCAGAGGCGGCGGCGGGGCTGGGGCAGCCACGCACGTTTTCTCCTCCCACCACTTCCCCTCCTTGAGCCCTTCCCTGCTGTTTTACATGGGGTGTGGTCAGCATTTATTTATTTACTTATTTATTTATTTTATTTTTCCATAAGTTATTGGGGTACACGTGGTATTTGGTTCCAGGAGTGAGTTCTTGAGCTCTGATCTGCGAGATCCTCGTGCACTCATTACCTGAGCAGTATACACTGCACCCTATTTGTTGTCTTTTATCCCTCGCCCCCTCCCATTCTTCCCCTCCAAGTCCCCAAAGTCCACTGTATCATTCTTATGCCTTCGCGTCCTCACAGCTTAGCTCCCACATATCAGTGAGAACACACAATGTTTGGTTTTCTGTGGTCAGCTTTTAAACTTGGTATCTGATTTACAGGATGGCAAGAGAGGACCAGTGTTGACCTAGAAAAGCAGCTCGCCTGGACTGGAGGTTGCCACACCGACTCACAGGCCTCTGTTTACCCGTGCGGGGGGATGGCAGGTGGGCCTCACTGGAGAGCCGTCGCTGGGGGGCAGCAGCCGGGTGGCGTGGGCCTCACTGGAGAGCCATAGCCAGGAGGGAGCAGCCGGGTGGCGTGGGCCTCACTGCAGAGCCGTCGCCGGGAGGGAGCAGCCGGGTGGCCTTACAGGAAGTCTTCACTCTGCAGCAGGGCAGGCCTGGCCAGTGACCAGAAGCAGGCCGTGCTGGCCTGTTTGCTGGTCACAGCCCTGCACACCCCCACCCTCATGTGCTTTCCTCCCACAGCGCAGGAGAAGCTTGGACTACACCACTTGGGATGTCTTTCCTGAATGGTTCTGGGTCAGCCTCTGCCCGTGGCATCATCCAGGAGCCCTGAGTGTGGCGGCAGCATCTTCTGAGCCTGTGCCTGGTGCTGCACAAAGCAGGGGCCAGGCAGCAACTCCCCTGCCTCTCCTGTCCAGAGCCCACCTTCCCAGGTCTCCCGAAAGCCTCTCAACCTCTGTGCTCCCTACAATCCAACAGTTGAGTTCCTCGGGGAAGTGGAGAAGGAATCGGAAGACTGAGGAGTGCAGAAGGTTGGGTGGAGCTCAGGCATGACCAGCTCACCCGCCCGAGTCTCCCAGGAGATAGTCACTCCATGGCCCAGCCTTGTGATTTGCCACAAAAACAGTGCAAAAAGAAAAACCACATGTCAATTTCAATAGAGGCAAGATAAATACTTGATAAAATTCAACAGTATTTTAAGATAAAACTCTTACCAAACTAGGAATAAAATAATTTTTTTAACTTTATAAAAGGAATACGCAAAAAAAACCAAAAAAAAACAAAAAAAAACAAAGCACAGCAACCATCACAATTACACATTTTTAAATAAAATCAGGAATGAGACAACTCACCCTCACTGCCTCTAACCCACAAAGAACTTGAGGACCCACTCACCACCAGACAAGAAAAAGCAACAACGGGCCGGGCGCGGTGACTCATGCCTGTAATCCCAGCACTTTGGGAGGCCGAGGCGGGTGGATCATGAGATCAGGAGATCAAGACCATCCTGGCTAACATGGTGAAACCCCGTCTCTACTAAAAATACAAAAAAATTAGCCGGGCGTGGTGGCGGGCGCCTGTAGTCCCAGCTACTCGGGAGGCTGAGGCAGGAGAAGGGCATGAGCCCGGGAGGCAGAGCTTGCAGTGAGCCGAGATCGCGCCACTGCACTCCAGCCTGGGTGACAGAGAGAGACTCCATCTCAAAATAAATAAATTAATAAATAAATAAAATAAATTTTAAAAAGAAACAATGGATATTAAAAATTGGAAACAAAGAAACTAAACTATGTATTGAGGAAATGATTACTTACAAAAAATACTGCAATCCACAAATTATGAGAATTAAAATAGTTTAACAAGATGCTCCAATCTAGAAATCAACATTCGAAAGTCATTTGCAGTTTTCTATATGGGCATCAAACACAAATGTGAAAATTCAAACCCCAAAATAAAAAATACTTAGGAATAAACCTAACAAAATACATATAAGATCTGTGAGCAGAAAATTATTAAAGTTTAATGAAAGACTTCAAAGAAGACCAGAGAGAGAGAGACAGAGTGAGAGAGAGCAAGAGAGAGACAGCATGAGAGAGCGAGAGAGAGGGAGAGACACAGAGAGAGAGCGAGAGAGACAGAGAGAGAGAGAGAGCAAGAGAAACAGAGAGAGAGAGAGACAGAGAGAGAGCCACAGAGAGCATGAGAGAGCGAGAGAGAGAGACACAGAGAGAGCGAGAGAGAGCGACAGAGAGAGCAAGAGAGAGAGCGAGAGAGACAGAGAGAGAGAGAGCCACAGAGAGAGTGAGAGAGAGCAACAGAGAGAGAGCATGAGAGAGTGAGAAACACAGAGAGAGAGCGAGAGAGACAGAGAGAGAGAGAGCAAGAGAAACAGAGAGAGCGACAGAGACAGAGAGTGAGAGAGAGCGACAGAGAGAGAGCATGAGAGAGCGAGAGGGACACAGAGAGAGCGAGAGAGACAGAGACAGACAGCAAGAGAGACAGAGAGAGCGAGAGAGAGTGACAGAGAGCATGAGAGAGCGAGAGAGAGTGAGAGACACAGACAGTGAGAGAGAGCGACAGAGAGAGCAAGAGAGAGAGCGAGAGTGAGAGAGAGAGAGACAGAGAGAGAGCGAGAGAGACAGAGCGAGAGAGAGCAAGAGACAGACAGAGAGAGAGCAAGAGAGAGAGCGAGAGAGACAGAGTGAGAGAGCGAGAGAGACAGAGAGAGAGCGAGAGAGAGAGAGCAAGAGAGAGAGAGGTTTGTGTGTGGGAGTCAATGTTGTAACAATGTTATTCCTTCCCTCTGTAATATCTGTGTACAATGCAACTCCTATCTAAATTTCACCGGCATTGTTTGCAGAGGCAGGGAAAGGGAGTTGATAAGAAGGCAGAAAAGGGCCACAAAGATAAAGTAGTCTAAGCTCCAGAAGCTCCGAGTGCCGTGGTGACGGCAGGGCAGCGTAGGTGGACGGCAGGGGAGCATGGGTGGACGGCAGGGCAGCATGGGTGGGTGGCAGGGCAGCGTGGGTGGACAGCCAGTGCTGGGGCCGGGTAGAAAGTTGGTATTCTGAAAAAATCACATCTGCCTTTTCTCCTGTCCTATTCTCAGTGGGTCCCTAACCCAGGCAAGGAAAAGAGGGGCTGTTTGTGGTGGTTCACACCTGTAATCCCAGCACTTTGGGAGGCCGAGGCGGGCAGATCACGAGGTCAGGAGATCGTGACCATCCCGGCTAAAACGGTGAAACCCCGTCTCTACTAAAAATACAAAAAAAATTAGCCAGGCGTAGTGGCGGGCGCCTGTAGTCCCAGCTACTTGGGAGGCTGAGGCAGGAGAATGGCGTGAACCCGGGAGGCGGAGCTTGCAGTGAGCCGAGATCCCGCCACTGCACTCCAGCCTGGGCGACAGAGCGAGACTCCGTCTCAAAAAAAAAATAAAAATAAAAATAAAATAAAATAAAAAATGAGCTGGGCATGATGGCACAAGCCTGTGGTCCCAGCTACTCAGGAGGCTGAGGTGGGAGGATGGTTTGAGCCTGGGAGGTTAAGGCTGCAGTGATCCATGATCATGCCTCTGCACTCCAGCCCGGGTGATGGAGCAAGACCCTGTCTCAAAACAAACCAAAAAACCCCCACGTAAAACCACGCTGTAGGCTGGGCTCGGTGGCTAATGCCTGTAATCCCAGCACTTTGGGAGGCCAAGGCGGGCGGATCACGAGGTCAGGAGATCGAGACCATCCTGGTTAACACAGTGAAACCCCGTTTCTACTAAAAACACAAAAAAATTAGCCAGGCGTGGTGGCGGGCGCCTGTAGTCCCAGCTACTTGGGAGGCTGAGGCAAGAGAATGGCGTGAACCCGGGAGGCAGAGCCGGCAGTGAGCCGAGATCGTGCCACTGCACTCCAGCCTGGGTGACAGAGCAAGACTCTGTCTCAAAAAAAAAAAAAAAAAAAAGAAACCACCTGTATAGTGTTGAGGGTCACATGTGTGCTGTGAGGTCTACAAACGTGCCCCGGCACGACACTCCAGATGTGGAATCTGCCCCAGGAGGGAGAGCAATGGCACCACAGGGCACCAGGGGCTTTGGGTGGATTGGACGGGTTGAATCCACTTAAAATCATGGCACAGACACAGCCAAATGTCAGGGAGTCTTAGAGCTGGGAAGGGCTGAAGGTGCTTATCATATCATTCTCTATGGTTTTCCGTATGTTAGAGACATCCCATAACAAAACAGAACAGAGGAAGAGGAAGGCCAATCCGTGCTGCACTGATTTAGCAACGAGCAACTCACGAGGGAAACAAAACCCTGGCTGGAGGCACTGGCCAATTTCCGTGGTGTAAACATTCCCACCATGGCCGACGCCCAAACCACCCACCTGAGGGGGCTGACAGAGCAGACACATAGCACCGGCCTCCCAGCTGGCAGGGGCCGGCCCCCAGCACACATCGTGAAGGACACACAGCACCAGCCCCCAGCGCACACCATGAAGGACACACAGCACTGGCCCCCAGTGCACACCATGAAGGACACACAGCACTGGCCTCCCAGCTGGCAGTGGCCGGTCCCCAGTGCACGTCGCGAAGGACACACAGCACTGGCCTCCCAGCTGGCAGGGGCCGGCCCCTAGCGCACGTCGCGAAGGACACACAGCACACCTCCCTGAGCTGGAGCCAGCAGGCAAGGGTCACGTCTCTACAATCAGGGAGAAGAACAGAGAGGCTGCTGTGGGAACCCAGCAGGCATCCGGCTCACCGGCACACCCGGAAGCTCGTGTGGAGCAGGGCCGGGCACGTGCAGGCTGTGCCCACCCTCGCACTCACGTTCACGTCTGGAAGGCAGAGAACGGCCCAGCAGGGCAGCAGGCAGGTGGTGAAGGATGCACCTATGGTGATGGCTTAGACAGGAACTGGAGGGGCAGGCCCTGCCGCTTTTGTGGCCAGGATCTCCCCAGTCTCTGCCACTCCGGCCGCCACAGCAAAACACCCCCGTCGGCGGCTTCAAGCAACCGACATTTAGCTCACAGCTCTGGAGACTGTGAGTCTAACAGGCCCCGGCAGACTGTGGTTCACAGCCAGCGCCTCCTGGCCACATCCGAACGTAATGAAGCGGTGAGGGGCTCTCTGAGGTCCCTTTTGTCTGGGCACTAATCCATTTACGAGGCCGACCCTCACGGCCAGACCCGCCCAAAGGCCCCTCCTCCCAATAGCATCACCTTGGCAGTGAAGGTTTCAACAGAAGAATTTCTGGGGATAGACGTTCGGGCCATGGTGACCTCTCTGGGGGTGCCCCTCAGTGTGAGAAGGACGGAGAGAAGGCGCCGGCTCCACAGGTAGCTGCGGATTCACATTCCAGGCGGAGGTGCTGGGGCAGAGGCAGGGACGGGTGTCTGGGTGTGATCTAGATCCTGAAGGGAGGCCCGGGGGCCAAGCAAGGCGGCTGGAGCGGCCCCAGCACCATGGAGGCCACTCACTCACAGGCTCTCAGAGGCATTGGGCTTGATGCCCCCCAGGCTGTCCTGTGGGTCGGGCACCGCAGTAGGGCTGGGAAGACCAGGCCTGGCCCTGGCCGGCCCAAAGCAGGAAAATGGGTCGGCAGGTGGAACGTTTGCCCTTTGAGGGAACTGGGGCTGAGGTAGGCAGGGAGGTGGCACTCTGCTCCGTGGGCTGGAAAGAGCCCTGGGAAAGGGGGAGAAGAGCCACGTGCAGCCACGGCCATGCTGAGTCCAGACCCAGGACCAGCAGGGGTGGCTGAGGAAATGAGATGCAGAGAGGTGGTCATATAGTGACTAGAGGAGGGGGTGGTCTTGGATGGGGCGTCTTGGATGCAGGGTCTTGGATGGTGGGTGTAGACACATTTTTTGAGACAATTTGCTATGAATAGAAGAAAATTAGGGAGTTGCTAGAGGGGTTCCATGTTCCAGGAGGCACTGTGACAGGCAAGAGGGGGTGGGGGACCTGGTGTAGGCCTGGGAGGGGAGTCGGCGGGGATGAGGGGTAGGGGATGGGGGTCCAGGTGTGAGGCCTGGGAGGGGAGTCGGTGGGGATGAGGGTGAGGGTGGGGGTCCAGGTGTGAGGCCTGGGAGGGGAGTCAGTGGGGATGAGGGGTGAGGGTGGGGGTCCAGGTGTGAGGCCTGGGAGGGGAGTCATTGGGGGTGGGGGTCCAGGTGTGAGGCCTGGGAGGGGAGTCGGTGGGGATGAGGGGTGGGGGTGGGGGTCCAGGTGTGAGGCCTGGGATGGAAGTTGGTGGGGGTGGGGGGTGGGGGGTCCAGGTGTGAGGCCTGGGAAGGGAGTCAGTGGGGATGAGGGGTGGGGGGTGGGGGGTCGAGGTGTGAGGCCTGGGAGGGGAGTTGGTGGGGGTGGGGGTCCAGGTGTGAGGCCTGGGATGGAAGTTGGTGGGGGTGGGGGGTCCAGGTGTGAGGCCTGGGAGGGGAGTTGGTGGGGGTGGGGGTCCAGGCATGGGGCCTGGGAGGGGAGTCAGTGGGGGTGGGGGTCCAGGTGTAAGGCCTGGGAGGGGAGTTGGTGGGTGTGGGGTTCCAGGTGTGAGGCCTGGAAGGGGAATTGGTGGGGGCAGGGGTCTAGGTGGGAGGCCTAGAAGGGGAGTGGGTGGGGGTCCGGGTGTGAGGCCTGGGAGGGGAGTTGGTGGGGGTGGGGGGTCCAGGTGTGAGGCCTGGGAGGGGAGTTGGTGGGGGTGGGGGGTCCAGGTATGAGGCCTGGGAGGGGAGTTGGTGGGGGTGGGGGGTCCAGGTATGAGGCCTGGGAGGGGAGTTGGTGGGGGTGGGGGTCCAGGTGTGAGGCCTGGGATGGAAGTTGGTGGGGGTGGGGGGTCCAGGTGTGAGGCCTGGGAGGGGAGTTGGTGGGGGTGGGGGTCCAGGCATGGGGCCTGGGAGGGGAGTCAGTGGGGGTGGGGGTCCAGGTGTAAGGCCTGGGAGGGGAGTTGGTGGGTGTGGGGTTCCAGGTGTGAGGCCTGGAAGGGGAATTGGTGGGGGCAGGGGTCTAGGTGGGAGGCCTAGAAGGGGAGTGGGTGGGGGTCCGGGTGTGAGGCCTGGGAGGGGAGTTGGTGGGGGTGGGGGGTCCAGGTATGAGGCCTGGGAGGGGAGTTGGTGGGGGTCCAGGCATGGGGCCTGGGAGGGGAGTCAGTGGGGGTGGGGGTCCAGGTGTGAGGCCTGGAAGGGGAATTGGTGGGGGCAGGGGTCTAGGTGGGAGGCCTAGGAGGGGAGTGGGGGTCTGGGTGGGAGGCCTGGGAGGGGAGTTGGTGGGGGTGGGGGGTCCAGGTGTGAGACCTGGGAGAAAAGCTAGCAGAGGCAGAGGGTTTAATCCACCCACCTCGCAAGAGTGTCAGGAACAACAGGTCATTTCTCAAAGGCAGTGAGGCATAGAGGTTGGAGATCAGACCTCACATCACACTGAGGGTGATCCCGGTAATTACAAATTACATTTGCAACAGATCAGTACACAGAGAACATTTAAATAGAACATAATTAGTACGCTCAGAAAAATCGGTAAAACACATAATTAGTAAGCTCAGAAAAATGGTAAAACACAGAAATACTAATGAAAACAAACACATCTGCATATTCCAGTGCGGCCGAGCTTCTGTGAGAGACCCGTTGCCGTTCGCAAGTCCGAGGTGATTCAACCTTTTAAAGCCAAGGTCAGCGTGATTCTTCCAGGATAATGAGAACATCGACACCATTTGACTCAGGATTATAGTTTCTGGGCCAAATTTTAAGGAAACAATCCCTAAGGAGAAACAATTGTTTTCTCCTTTCCATGTTAGAGTGTTAGCTCTAAGAGTCAATATTACTAGCCTAAGAGTCAATATTACTAGCCTGGGTGCAGTGGCTCACACCTGTAATCCCAGCACTTTGGGAGGCCGAGGCAGGCGGATCGCCTGAGGTTGGGAGTTTGAGACCAGCCTGGACAACATGGTGAAACCCCGTATCCACTAAAAGTTAAAAAAAAAGTAGCTGTGTGCATTGGTGTGTTCCTGTAGTCCCAGCTACTTGGGAGGTTGAGGCAGGAGAATCACTTGAACCCGGGAGGCAGAGGTTGCAGTGAGCTGAGATCACACTACTGCACTCCAGCCTGGGCAACAGAGCATGACTATCTCAAAAAAAAAAAAAAAAGAAAAAGAAAACAAATGAGAGTAAACATGATTGGAAATCACTCAAGTGTCCACAGTAAAAGAATGGTTGGGCAGATTACGGTACATTCACTTAAAATCCTATGCCATTGGGGATATATTGTCATAATGCCGAAGGGAAAATGAAAAATTACAGTGGCCAGCGTTTTACGACACTCACCATGGGTCAAGAATGCTCCGTGTTGAACTCATTTAATCTTCACAAAGGTCCAAGGAGTAGCTTTGATCGGTCCCCACCTTTATGAATCAGGAAATGAAATCTCGTGCCCACAGTCACACAGCCCGTGAGCTGCAGATCCCAGGCCCACCCTCCCTGGCCTCTTGTGGTCCCAGCCTTGGGGTCAACTCTCTCCCACGCAGCTGGAAGGCTCGAGAACGGAGAACTCTTCAGAAAACTGTTTCCTGGGCAGAGAAGGGCCAGCTGGAGGGAGAGGAGCCCAGGGGAGCTGACCAAGACCACACGTCTGGGGTGTCGCTGCCTGGTTTACACCTGGTCCTATGGGTGGGGCGGGTACCAGAGGGTTTGAGCCTGACCGGTCAGGTGGGCCTGGCTGGGTGGTGTCCACTGCTGTGGGGGCCTCCACGTGGGAGGAGAAATTCCCAGAGCCAAAGAGGAGTGTGGTCCCAGAGCACGGCTCCCGGGCGCCAACCTTGGGGGAAGCGGAGGAGGCTCCCAGGCCAACCCTGGGGGAGGTGGAGGAGGCATGGGGAGAGGGTTGGGCAGCAGTGCAGGGAGGGTTGTCAGAGCCAGGGCGGGGCGGCCTCGCCCTCCCACATCAGCCTCGCTGCCTGCCGGGGGTCAGGGCGCCAGGGCCTCTCCTGGGGCTACGACTGCACCCGGAGCCGTCAGATTCTCCCAGGCAGAGGAGCCAGGTCCAGGACCCTCTCATTCTGCAGGGCTCTGCGGAGCATGGGGGCAGGTAGGGGAGGGCAGCAGGACCCTCAGAAATGGACGGACTCGGGCTGGACCCGTAAGATGTGGCTGCACCCAGGCTGAAGCCAGCTGTGCTCTGGGAACAGCTGGGGAAAGGAGCTGTGTCCCCCGGGGCCATCGTTCCCTCTGTCGGGGGCTTTGACTGCCGGAGAAGAGGGAAGGGAGGAGTTATCCGGCAGGACCAGGGTGGGCACAGGTGGCCTCTGAGACCCTGTCTTTGTGCGTTGCTCTCCATGCAGCGACGTGGCTGGAAAACCAGAGCCCTCGCCAGGAGAGAGTGAGGCTTGACAGACAGCGCCTCTCCCTCCGCAGGGCACCGGCCCTGAGATGGTACAGGAGCAAATCTACCCACTGGGCCCCAGGCTGGCCGCCGCATAGGAGGGGCTGGGTCGGCCGAGACGTCTCAGAGGGAAGCTGGAGTCCCCGGAAGGTTCTGGTCCAGAGGCCCAGTGGAGGGACACACAGACCCACCCCCGAGAGCACTGAATTTGGGTCAGCGCCTGGGCCATCTGCAGCCCCGAAGCCCACACCCTGGGGTCTCCAAGCCCCCCCCAGCACAGGCTAGCGGCTCCAGGCAGAGGCTTTTCTTCCTGAGGGGTGTCTACCCGGCCCCCCGGCCTGCAGGGCAGAGTCACAGCGCAGGGCTGGCAGGCCTGGCAGGGAGGACAAAGGGACAGAGGCCGAGTCAAGACGTTGTGTCTCCCGAGCAGACGGAGCAGGTGGGGCCTCAGGCCTCCAGGGCCGCAGGAGTCATCCATCAAACTGAGTGCCCCTCATTGAAATTCTAACGGCAATGCGGCCACAGGCAGGGCTCCTCCAGGGCATGCCCTCCCTGCCTGCCTGGTGCTCCTGAGAGCCAGACCCAGGTCACAAGGTCATGAGGCCGCACGCAGAGGCCATCCCCGGGGAGCTCCGGGTGGGCGCCCTGCATGGCCTTCCTGAGGACCACACGCCCCTCCCCCAGACGCTGGACAGACACACTTCTCATGGGGAGCTGGGTTTTTCTCGGGTTCTCGGTGCCCACATGGCTCTGCCGTATATGATAAAGCATGTCCTTTGCCACCAGCTAGTGCTTTGTGTGTGTGAGTTAATCTCCCCTCCCGGGCGGAAGGATGCCGCCCTCCCCAAGCTCCCCACACGGGTCGGCCCACCCACGACCAGGGTCGGCCGCCCAGCCTGATCCACATGTAGGACCCAGCTTGGCCCCCTGTGCTCATGCAGAGTCTTGCTTTTCATTTAGTTCAGAAGGTGGGTAGGGAAGAGAGGGCTGGGGTTGATCCCTCCAGCCTCCCACAGTGTCTGAGGACCAGAGAGGGGCCCTGTGATACAGAGAGAGGGTGACGTAGAAGGGGGTGCGGTTTGCAGAACAGGCTCCTGCCAGCTGTGGCAAGGACTTGGGGTTTTATTCCAAAGGAACTCCCAACTAATCATTAGCCAGAAACACAGAATCTGGGTCATGACCCCTGCTTGGTCCCCAGCATTGTTTGGAAGTGGAGGTGAGGATGGGGGAAAGTCACAAGCGTTCCTGGCACTCTTTCTGCTTAAGCAGTGGGTGGCTGGTGGTTCTATTTACAGAGATGGTGGGGTTGAGTCTGGGGCCCTGTGGGTAGATGGGGCTGAAGACCCGGCGTGGGAAGCGAACCACAGACATGAGTGACTGTGACGGCGCTACTGACAGCCGGCATCTGGAGTGTAACATGCCAGGCATCGTCCCCGCACTTACACGGATTGTTCATGAATCCTGCTCTGCAAGCGTCTCCCTCCTATTGGAGGGAATCTCCTCAAATGAGGCCATTCCTATAACTAAGGAGGGTTGACCAGGCCCCTGAGGAGGCCGCAAGACCTCTGGAGAGGCCACAAGACTCCTGAGGAGGCCAGGAACTCCGAAGAGAAAGGGAGTGCCAGCTGAGCATGGAAAACTCAGCAAAGATGTCTTTCAAAACTGTTTCTTTGCTGTGAGGCCAGCGTGTGTCAGTGGGGTCCTCTGGACCAGCTGAGTCAACAGTTTCGTAGGTATGCAGGACCTGAAGGAATTTTTTTTTTTTGAGACGGAGTCTCCCTCTGTCACCCAGACTGGAGTGCAATGGTGCGATCTTGGCTCACTGCAGCCTCCACCTCCCGGGTTCATGCAATTCTCCTGCCTCAGCCTCCTGAGTAGCTGGGATCACAGGCACCTGCCACCAGGCCCAGCTAATGTTTGCATTTTTAGTAGAGATGGGTGGTTTTGGCCAGGCTGGTCTCAAACTCCTGACCTCAAGTGATCCACCTGTCTCGGCCTCCCAAAGTGCTGGGATGACAGGCGTGAGACACCATGCCTGGTCCGTACCCACCTTCTGAACCAAATGAAAACCAAGACACAGCCGCCACCCCATGAGGCCAAGCCGGGTCCCACGTGCGTATCTGCTGGGTGACTGCCCCGGTCCTGGGCACACATGCAGATGATCCGTGACGTGCTGTACACTGACAGGGCCACAGACAAACGTCACGTTTATTCCATCCCGGCGGACATGGAAAAGCACTGGACAAAACCCATCACCCACTTGTGATAAAAATTCTCCCACCAGGGCCAGGAAGGAGAAAGGGCAGCTCCGTGTACACCGACTCTTCACTCAGCGAATTGTTCGTGTGCGTCACTGTGGGCTCGCGGCTTTTTATTCTGTGGGTTACAATCCAGTAAACTATCACCCGGCGCGTGGGAGCTTTCATCTTGACTCCCAGGTCCCCTCCCCACAAGCCCTGCTCCCGTTCACGCATTTCCTCACGTTCCGGGACTGTGAGTGCTCCAAGCTCAGCCTGACGTTTCCCTGCCCCGGCCTTGGTGCCAGCCGAGACTCCGAGGCCTGTGGGGTCCTCTCACTGGAGGGTGACGTCGGGGACCGAGACCTGCACCCTGTGCTTCCTTTGGTACTGGGGTATCCCGGTGTCTAGGCCCTCTTGGTGGACAGAGCCAGAAGATGCATGCCTGTGTACTCACCCCCATGCACAAACAATCTACATGTGTGTAGATTGACCGTGTGAGCTCATGCTGCTGCCACCCACCCTAGGGCACACGTCCATCCTCGCCCACCCCAGCAGCACCGGCCCCTCCTCACCCACCTCAGGGGCATGGGCCCTGTCCTCACCCACCCCAGCAGCACACACCCCATCCTCACCCACCCCAGGGCACACATCCATCCTCGCCCACCCCAGCGGCATGGGCCCCTCCTCACCCACCCCAGGGGCATGGGCCCTGTCCTCACCCACCCCAACAGCACACGCCCCCTCCTCACCAGCACATGCCCCCTCCTCACCCACCCCAGGGCACACATCCATCCTCACCCACCCCAGGGCACGTGCCCCATCCTCACCCACCCCAGGGCACACGTCCATCCTCACCCACCCCAGGGCACACGTCCATCCTCACCCACCCCAGGGCACACGCCCATCCTCACCCACCCCAGGACACACGTCCATCCTCGCCCACCCCAGTGACACGGGCCCCTCCTCACCCACCCCAGGGCACACGCCCATCCTCACCCACCCCAGACGCATGGGCCCTGTCCTCACCCACCCCAGGGCACACGTCCATCCTCACCCACCCCAGCGGCACGTGCCCCATCCTCGCTCACCCAAGTGGCACACGCCCATCCTCACCCACCCCAGGGCATGCGCCCATCCTCACCCACCCCAGGGCACACGCCCATCCTCACCCACCCCAGCAGCGCGGGTCCCTCCATGCCCACCCCAGCAGTGCAGGCCTGTTCTCGTCCGCCGCTTTACCTGTTGCATCTCTTGTCTGAAGAAACCTGGCTTTCACACCTTCACCTGCTTGTCTAGTCCCAGCTGCGGGTGAACTGGCTCCAGACTTGCTGATACACCCCCGTGAGGGACAGACCCACCACCCAGAGCCTGGCATCCATGCACAGCGTGTCTTGTCTTCAGCCTCACCTTCAGCGTCCAGTCAACGCTGTCCCCGCGGTGACTTCAGGCGTTCCTTTACTTCTCGACTTCCTTCAGTGTGACTGTGTCATTCCTCTGCAATATGGTCACATTCATCTGTTGGGTGGATGTGGTTAACCCTTGAACGATGCAGGCTGAGGGGCAATGACGCTTGCACAGAGAAAACCCACATAGAACTTCTTTGACAGGGTCTTGCTGTGTCACCCAGGCTGGAGTATAATGGTGCAATCTCAGCTCACTGCAGCCTCGAAATCCTGGGCCCAAGGGATACTTCCTCCTCAGTCTCCCAAGTAGCTGGGACCGAAGGTGCACGCCACCACACCCGGCTAATGTTTGTGTTTTGTAGAGATGGGGTCTCCTTTCATTGCCCTGGCTGGTCTTGAACTCCCGGGCTTAAGTGGTCCTCCTGCCTTGGCCTCCAAAAGTGCTGGGATTACAGGCATGAGCAACCGCGCCCAGCCTGATTCCCTAAAACTTAACTGTTAGTAGCTTATTGTTGACCGGAAGCCTTCCCCAATAACATAAACAGTTGATGAACAGATATTTTGTATGTTATATATGTTATCTACTGTATTCTTACAATCAAGTAAACCGGAAAAAAGAACGTTATTTAAAAACTCATAAGGAAGATAAAATATATTCACTAAGTGGAAGTGGATCATCATCAATGCCCTCATCCGTGTCGGCTTCACATTGAGTGGGCTGAGGAGCAAGGGCTGGTCTTGCTGTCTCAGGGGTGGCAGAGGCGGGACAAAGTCTTTGTCCAAACGGACACTGGGTTATTAGCCAGCACCATTTATTCAAAATTCCAGCCTTGCCCCTGTGACTTGTGCAGCTACCCGTGTCCTGGGGTCTCCTGTCTGCAGGCCTGGGGCATCTGCACCTGCAGCCACCCATGTCCTGGGGTCTCCTGTCTGCAGGCCTGGGGCATCTGCACCTGCACCAGACACAGTTTCTTTCTTTTTTCTTGTGGGGGGGACAGAGTCTTGCTCTGTCGCCCAGGCTGGAGTGTACTGGTGGGATCTCGGCTCACTGCAAGCTCTGCCTCCCGGGTTCACGCCACTCTCCTGCCTCAGCCTCCTGAGTAGCTGGGACTACAGGCGCCCGCCACTACGCCCAGCTAATATTTTTGTATTTTTAGTAGAAACGGGGTTTCACCATGTTAGCCAGGATGGTCTCGATCTCCTGACCTCGTGATCCGCCCACCTTCACCTCCCAAAGTGCTGGGATTACAGGCGTGAGCCACCGTGCCCAGCCTGCACCATCCACAGTTTCTGCCTTGAGGTTTCAAGGAGTGTTCTGTCTGCTAGTGTGTTCCCACCTCTTCTTACCTGAGTGCTTTCCTGTAAAAACTTTGCTATCAACCCGTCTAACTCCATAAAACTGCAAAAAAGGTGTGGGGACCTTTGCGGCATTGCACTGACCTCGCCTGATGCTTGGCCCCACGTACATCTGCTCGGTACCACTCAGGCCTCCTTTCGGGGTCTTAAGGTTTTCCCTAGACACATTTCAGCATTTCTCAAAACGGTGGCCCACTGACACCGCCGGGGTTTTCTTCTGAGCGGCTGCTGACAATTTTGCAAATTCTAATGCTGGCACTTAAGAAAAAATCTCACTGAAAGGTGTTAAGCCAGGCTTCAGCCAGGGGCAGGACTTGTGTTCCTTCTCCAAATTGTCCTGAAATGGCGTTTTGCAAGACACCTGCCGAGGGCCACTGCTGTCCAGCCTCGCCCAAGGAGGAGCCGCCCAGGTGGAAACTGCCAACCGTGCCCGTGTCAGCTGTCCTAGGCAGTGCGATGACAGTCGTTAGGAGATGGCGTCCACAGCAACGTGGAAAATCCATGCCTGAGGAGTCACCGACCCAGGACCCCGTGAGCATGCGACCCGTAGAAATGGCATCCGTGCGTGCACCACGTTAGCAAAGGAAGGAAGAAAATCGCACACTCATCTCCACAGATGCCAAAAGTGCTTTTGATAAAATCCAACATTCATTCATGGGTTTTTTAAAAAACAACAAGAAAACCTAGCAGACCAGGAGTAGCAGGAAACATCCCCAGCGTAACTGTGGGTGAGGCACAGGAGCCGTCCCTGACGGCGGGAACAAGGCTGGGGGCCTGGTGTCGCGCTGTGTGCGGCGCTGGGCTGAATTCCAGTGCCCAAAAGAAGAGAGATTAGAGGAGAAAGCAAGGTGATGGCGTCACACAGGACGTGGTTGGGTGTGTAGAAGACGCAGAAGAACCTCACGTCCCGGGCTGAACTGGGACCCCCGCCCTGCACTCGGATGTTACAGCCCTGACCCCAGGACTTCAGAGGTGACCCCCGGGACCTCAGAGGTGACCCCCGCCCTGCTCTCGGACACTACAGCCCTGATCCCCAGGACCTCAGAGGTGACCTTATTTGGAGATAGGGCCTTGCAGATATAATGAAGTTAAAGTGAAGCTATCAGGGTGGGCCCTAATCCAACATGACCAGTGTCCTAGCAGAAGGAGGACATTTAGACAGAGCTGTGCACGAGGGGGACGCTGTCTACCAGCCAAGGTGAGAGGCTTCAGAAGGACCCAGCCCTGTGCGGGTCCAAGAAGAAACCTTGATCTTCGGCTCCAGCCTCGAGGACTGTGAGAGTAACTGTCTGCTGCTCCCGCTGCCCGCCCATGAAGCTTTGCTTTTTTAGAAATGGCGTCTTGCTCTGTCACCCAGGCTGGAGTGCAGTGGTGTGATCTCGGCTCACTGCAACCTCCGTCTCCCAGGTGTTCAAGTGATTCTCCTGCCTCAGCTTCCCAAGTGGCTGGGATTACAGGCATGTGCCATCACGCCCAGCTAATTTTTGTGTTTTTTAGTACAGACGGGGTTTCACTATATGTTGGCCAGGCTGGTCTTGAACTTCTGACCTTGAGTGGTCCACCTGCCTCGGCCTCCCAAAGTGCTGGGACTACAGGCGTGAGCCACCACGCCCGGCCAACTGTGGGGCTTTGTTAAGGCAGCCCTAGCCAGCTACTTAATACCACCTACAGGAAAAATCAAGCACTGGGAAAATGCTTAATGCTGCTGAACTACACACTGAAACATATTTAATATGAAAAAATTAGCCGGACATGGTGGTTCGCACCTATGGTCCCAGCTACTTGGGAGGCTGAGGCGGGAGGATGGCTTGAGCCCAGGAGGTGGAGGCTGTAGTGAGCTGTGATTGTACCACTGCACTCAGCCTGGAAGACAGTGGCACCCTGTCTCAAATTTTCAAAAAAAGTTTAATACAGTAAATTGTATGTTATGTGTATTTTAACATAATAAAGAAATTAATATATAAAAATTTACACATCAGTAACAAACCACTAAAAATCAAATTTGGAAGCTATTATTTATAATAACACCCAAAATATCAAGTGTCTATAAATAAACTTAACAGAAGATGTGGAAGAACATGGTGGTGGAAATTATGACATTTCAAGAGAAATTAAAGATTGTCACTGAAAATGGAGAAATAGACCCTATTTAGGGACCAGAAGACTCGGTGTTGTTAGGGATGTCAATTCTCTGCAAATCCCCACCCACATCTTATTCCAGAGTTTCATGGATGCCTCTGAGGTTTTAGAATACGTAAGACAGACACTGTATGTTTTAGTAGACACCCTGGATGGAATGCAGGAAGTGCTTTTCCATTCCCGATTTCCTGAGACTGCACCCAAGCTCCGGGTGTACTGAATTGCATTAATAGACTTCCTAATGTCAGAACGCCCTCGCATGCTGAGATAAACTCGCTTCTGACTATGACGAGGTGCTATTTCCATCCCTTGCTGGCTTCTGTCTGCTCGTGTTTTATTTAGGCAAGAAAGAAAGCAGCACTGTGTATTTCCATAAGCAGCAAAGACGCCATCCTAAACCATGCGGACAGTGGTCACACTGTGTGTTTCCATAAGCAGCAGAGACGCCATCCTAAACCATGCGGACAGCGGTCACACTGTGTATTTCCATATGCAGCAGAGACCCCACCCTAAACCATGCGGACAGTGGTCACACTGTGTGTTTCCATATGCAGCAGAGACCCCACCCTAAACATGCGGACAGCGGTCACACTGTGTGTTTCCATATGCAGCAGAGACCCCACCCTAAACATGCGGACAGCAGTCACACTGTGTGTTTCCATATGCAGCAGAGACCCCACCCTAAACATGCAGACAGCAGTCACACTGTGTGTTTCCGTATGCAGCAGAGACCCCAACCTAAACCAGGCAGACAGCAGTCACACTATGTGTTTCCGTATGCAGCAGAGACCCCACCCTAAACATGCGGACAGCAGTCACACTGTGTGTTTCCATATGCAGCAGAGACCCCACCCTAAACATGCGGACAGCAGTCACACTGTGTGTTTCTGTATGCAGCAGAGACCCCACCCTAAACCGTGCGGACAGCGGTCACACTGTGTGTTTCCGTATGCAGCAGAGACCCCACCCTAAACATGTGGACAGCGGTCACACTGTGTGTTTCCATATGCAGCAGAGACCCCACCCTAAACTGTGCGGACAGTGGTCACACTGTGTGTTTCCATATGCAGCAGAGACCCCACCCTAAACTGTGCGGACAGTGGTCACACTGTGTGTTTCCGCATGCAGCAGAGACCCCACCCTAAACCGTGCGGACAGCAGTCACACTGTGTGTTTCCGTATGCAGCAGAGACCCCAACCTAAACCAGGCAGACAGCGTCAGCTCTGGGGAGGTGAAGGGGCTGGGCCATGGGACAGCCATGGGGGATCTAGGCACTATCTGTGTCGTTGTATCATCTATGTGTGGCTTGTGAAATTAAAACTGTAAAATAGAAATTTATAGAATGCTTGTATCCATATTTTTGTGTGATATTGTCCTGTGGTTTTCTCTTTTCCATTTTTTTTCTTGCTGTATGTTACTGGCTGTGTCTATGTGTATTACTGGGTGTCTGCCTCTGTGTATTTGTGTGTGTCTGTGTCTCTATGTGTCTGTGTCACTGGGTGTGTGTGCACCTGTGTGTTTTTCTCTGTCAGTGTGTGTTACTGTGGGTGTGTCTGTGTGTGTCTGGATGTGTTTGTGTGTGTGTATCTCTAGGTGAGTGTGTCTCTGTGTGTGTCTGGATGTGGGTGTGTCTGTGTGTATTTCTAGGTGAGTGTGTCTCTGTGTGTCTGGATGTGGGTGCGTCTCTGTGTGTGCCTGGATGTGTTTGTGTATGTGTGTATATCTGGGTGAGTGTGTGTCTCTGTGTGTCTGGATGTGGGTGTGTCTGTGTGTATTTCTAGGTGAGTGTGTCTCTGTGTGTCTGGATGTGGGTGCGTCTCTGTGTGTGCCTGGATGTGTTTGTGTATGTGTGTATCTCTAGGTGGGTGTGTGTCTCTGTGTGTCTGGATGTGGGTGTGTCTGTGTGTATCTCTAGGTGAGTGTATCTCTGTGTGTCTGGATGTGGGTGTGTCTCTGTGTGTGTCTGGATGTGTGTCTGTGTATTTCTAGGGTAGTGTGTCTCTGTGTGTGTCTGGATGTGTGTGTATCATATTTCGAGGTGAGTGTGTATGTGTGTCTGTGTCTCTCAGTGTCTGTGTGTGCGTATTTCTGGGCAAGTGTCATGTCTGCCTCTGTGTGTGTCGTGTCTGTCCATGGGTGGGCCACAGTAGGAGGTCCGGGCGTGCCCAGGTCTGGCCCCACGGCCATGGGAGCTGTCCATCTGTCCCTGGACTCTGTGTCCATGTAACACAGGCCAAGCCTGCTTCTTAGAGATTTGCGAGGCTGGCTCTGCAGGTCTCCCGGCTGCTGGTGGCGGTACGGGCACCATCTTACGTCTTCCTGGTCATGGCTCATGGTTTTCTGCCTCACTTGGGTCCTGTGAGAAGGTCAGTGCCTCAAGGGCGGGGGTCCCTGTCTGTTTGTCTGTCTGCCTCCTGCGGTCTCAGCAGCCTGGCTCCTGGGAGGGCCTCCAAATATCTAGGAATGAATGAGTTAAAGAATAAGTCCGTTTTTCCGATGTTGCTTTAGAAATGACCCATTTCATCAAGGTCTTCAAATGTATCGGTATCGATGTGTGTGACGCGTTCTCTCTTAATTTTCAAACATCTTCAGAATCTATCCTTGCTCCTTTTCCTCTTTCCCATGGTTGTTCTTTCTTTCTTCCTTTCTTCCTTCCTTCCTTCCTTCCTTTCTTTCCTGTTTCTCTCTCTCTCTCTTTCTTTCTTTTTTGGAGTCTTGCTCTGTCGCCCAGGCTGGAGCACAATGGTGTCAACTTGGCTCATTGCAACCTCCACCTCCCAGGTTTAAGTGATTCTCCTACCTCAGCCTCTTGAGTAGCTGGGACTACAGGCACCTGCCACCACGCCCAGCTAATTTTTGTATTTTTAGTAGAGACAGGGTTTCGCCATGTTGGTCAGGCTGGTCTTGAACTCCTGACCTCAAGTGATCCACCCGCCTCAGCCTCCCAAATTGCTGGGATGACAGGCGTGAGCCACCGCACCTGGCCAGTTTTGTCTTTCTATTGATCCATTTCTATTTACCTTGGTCAAATTCATTCTTTTCCAAGTCTAGCTTTGGGTTTTAGTGAGCAAGTTTGCTTTTCAATTTTTCTATTTTATCACTTTCTATTTTGCTTTCAATAATTCCTTTCCTCTACTTTCCTGGAGTGTGTTTTACTGCCTCACTCCAGCCTAATGGGCTTGCTTTCTGTCTTTCCTGTTTCATAGCCAAGGCCTTTAAGTTGCCCTTGGAGCTCCCTTTGGCGACTTCGTGGAGGTTTTGCTTCAAGAACTCAAGAGGCCCTTCTTCTCTAAACAGCTTGTAATCTAAGTTTTCATTTCCTCTACAACCAGAAAGTTATTTACAAAGGTATTTGCTTCATGTCAAGGGTACTGATTTCAAAATCTTATTTCACGGCGTGCACGTGCACACTTACGGACACGCCACATCCATGCAGTGTGGAGGCGACATCCTCACACACGCACGTGTACACTCACAGATGCACGCGTATGATCCCATCAGTTGCATCCCCCACGCCCGGAGCAGTGCCGGATCCCAGTGGATGCCCTGACAGATGAGCGCCTGAGAAATGCCAAAGCTGCTCGCCAGGTGCAGGCGCAGCACATTGAGAAGGTTCATCCTTTCGGGAAGTGGCGTGGGAGTTCCCGCAGACACTCAAGTGCAGAAGAGGAAGGTTTCCTGCTGGAGGCCGGGCAGCTCCAGAACCATCCACCGTGGCCCGGGCCCCCCACCCCCGTGGGACTCTGCCAGCGATCACGACCGGAGTCTTGGTGCTGGGGATGCCTCCGGGACTTGGACAACCTCCAGCCTGGGACACACCTTGTATGAGCCCATTCTCACGCTGCTATCAAGAAAACCCAAGACTGGGTAATTTATAAAGAAAGAGGTTTAATTGACTCGCAGTTCTGCATGGCTGGGGAGGCCTCAGGAAACTTACAATCATGGCGGAAGACACCTCTTCACAGGGTGGCAGGACAGAGAATGTGTGCTGAACGGAGGGAGAAGGCCCCACGGGGATACTCACTCGTTATCACGGGAACAGCATGGGGGACCCGACCGCATGATCCAGTCACCTCCACCTGGTCCCGAGATTGACACGTGGGGATTATGGGGATTACAATTCAACCTGAGATTTGGGTGGGGACCCAGAGCCAAACCATATCACACCTGGAACAGGGGCGAGGAACTGAAAGGGGGTCTCTGGAGGACCAGCAGATGGAGGATGCAGAGAGGTGGAGGAGATGGGGGACCAGAAAGGATGGAGGACGGGGAGGGGTGCAGGAGACGGGCCTCCTGCAGGCTGAGCTGGGGAAGAGGCCAGGGCCCGGAAAAGGACAAGAGAGACAGAGATGAGCAGCACGTGGGGTGAAGGGGTGGAGGGGCCCAGGCCCAGGGGAGAGACAGAGAAAGGACAGAGAGATACGGAGAACAGAGACAGAAAACAGAGAGAGACAGAGAACAGAGAGAGACAGAGAACAGAGAGAGACAGAAAGAGATAGAGAGAAACAAGAGTAATGAGAGATAGAGGCAGAGATGAGAGAGACACAGAGAGACAGAAATAGAGAGAGACAAAAGATAAAGAGATAGAGACGGAGAGACAAAGAAGAGACAGAGAGAGACCAGGAGGAGAAGAGAGATTGGCAGAGGAGACTCAGGGGCTGGCAGGTGAACCTGGGAGGGGCGGCTCTGGTGAAGAAGGGAGTGAGGAGGTCTGAAGCCGGTTGCCCCGTGAATCTGAATTTCGCGAGTGTCCCGGGAGCCCCTCCGTGGCCGCCTCTGTCCCCCGGAGGCGCCCCCCAGGCCCTGGGGTCCCTCCCCGCGGTGGCTCCGGGGACAGGACCGCGCCCTCCACGGAGCCGCCATATGGCCGCGGGGACTTCCAGGGGGCAGCGGCCCCGCGGGGACTCGGGTGGGACTTCGGGGCCTCCCACCCTCCCTCTTTTTAACGTTTGTCAGATAAGATGACGCGGAATGAAAAGCGCGCTTGGAACGGAGCGGCCGTGGCCGGTGGGCTGGGAAGACCCCCGCGAGGGGAAGAAGCGAGCGCGCCCCCCGCCCCCGCCTCGGGCCCCCGGGAAGGCGGCGCAGCCACTGGGGAGTCTCAGTGCCAGGCGGCTCCGTGTCGCGTCTCTGCCCCGCGTTTCTGAGGCTCCAAGCTGCCGGGGGAGCTGGGGGTGGCTTCCGAACACGCCGAGCGGAGCCTCGCGGCCTCCGAGGGACCCCGTGCGAGGCGCCATTCCCAGCCGGGGACAAGGGGCTGTGCGGGGCTGGGGGCTCCGAGGCCGCGCGCTCCCGGGAGTGCCAGGCGGTGGTGGGGCCGCGGCTCCGGGGGATCGGGCTAGGGAGGGACGGGGACCCCCGGGCGGCGGCGACACCTCTTCCTGGAGAAGCGGGAGCGCGAGGCGGGGGCCGGACAGGTCTCACCTTCTCCATCCCGCTGTCCGCGCGTCTCATCCGCACCTGGAGGGCGCGTCTCCCACCGCGGGCGGGGCGGGCTGGACGCGGGGCCTGGGAGGGGGGAAGACGCAGGATCAGCGGCAGCGCGAACCCACAGCCCTGCAGGGTCCCCGCGCCTGGGCACGGACGCGTTTCGCACAGGAGGAGGCTCTAGCGTAAGCGCCGGGAGCGCTCGGAGCCCGGGCCATCTCGAGACACCTGAGGGCCTGGGGTGAGCCCAGCGCCCCACGACCCCTACCTTGTCCCCATCCCCCCGCCCCCCGCCCTCCACGCCCCGCCCCCCCGCCCTCCACGCCCCGCCCCCACGCCCCGCCCCCGCCCCCACGCCCCGCCCCCGCCCTCCACGCCCCGCCCCCCGCCCTCCACGCCCCGCCCCCCCGCCCTCCACGCCCCGCCCCCCCGCCCGCCCCGCCCCGCCCCGCCCTCGCCGGGCGCCCGCGTGGCGGGAACTCAGGAACGCGCCGCCGTCCCGCTGCTTCTCAGGGCTGAGCCAGGGACGCTTTGTCTTCGCGTCTGAATGACGGATTGACGGCCGTTTGCAGCGGCTCTGAAGCGAGTGCGGACGGTCTTAGGACGGTTTCCCTGACGGATGCGCTTCCGGGGGAGAAGTGAGGGGGGCACGGGGCGGTACTGGGGGCCCAGGGCCAAAGACGGGGAAGCAAGCGGCCTCTGGGGAGTGGTGGGCGGTGAGCAGCGGGGCGGGGGGGTGCACGCCGGTGGGAGAGGGCAGGGGAGGTGGGAGGAGGGAGGAGGGTGGGAGAGAGGGCGGGGGAGGGGGGAGGACGGCGGGGGAGGACCCCGGGATGGGAGCCGACACCCACAAGCCCCAGGTCCCTGGCCCAGCCTCACCCCAGGCGTCCATTCGTCCACAGCCAGGAGAGACACACAACATCGCCTGGGGCCACCTGCCCGAAGGTGCCCGGGAACACCCACGAAAACACAGAAACCTGGGCTTCGTTATGCAGGAGTTTTGTTCCTGAAGATGGCATTGCTTGCGACCTCCCTCCCCACCCCACTCCTTTCTCCGGGAACATGAACGTCTCTGGATTTCTCAATCTCTGAATTTGCCAACACCACGAAAATTCACACCCGATGCTTTGCAAGAGCTGCTATTTATAGGAGCGCTGGGTTTCAGTGGCTTCTCTCCAGAGTTGCAAAGTCACTCTCTAATGCAGCTGTTTCATCAGGCACCGCCCCGTGTCCTGGGCATCTGGTCTTTTTACATTCCTTTGGGTGCACCCATAATATTCTACTGGGGGCCGGAAGAGAGAATTTTGGGCTCCAATTTAGCTTCATCATGCAGAATCGACCTTCCTTTTACAAACTCATCCAGCCATCCACTCACTGTTTGTGTGAACTCAGCAAGTTACTGAACCCCCCAGGCTCAGTTTCCCCATTTGTAAGATGGGGCCGAGCAGCCCTTATGACGAGTCCGGGGAATTGTGAAGTCCCCGGTGCATGAATGTCACCGCGAATGTTGGCTGTATGATCACCAGTCACTCAGCAGCACTTGTGTGCACCTGCATGGGGGCCCCGGGCCCACCAGACTCGGAGGTGACCAATCTCAGTGCTGGTGAGAAGGGCTATGACAGGGGCCCTCCAGGGCACTGGCCCTGAGCCCACATCCCAGGCAGCAGTTAAAGCTGCCAAGGAGAGTGAAAAAAGCCACCCAGGAGCAACCCAGGGCTGGGTCTTGATGGGATGAATAGGAGTTTTCCAGGTAGAAGGTGGGGGAGAGGGACTCGTATGCAGTGGAGTCAGGAGTCATTCTCAGGGACAGGTGGAGTGCAGTGGTCTCTAGGAAGAGACAGGTGCCTCATACCACATAGAACAATTAGTTTAAAGTGGGTTAAAGACCTAGATGTAGAAATTCAAACTATAAATCACTGAGAAGACATGGGGTGAATCTTTTTGAGCTTGGTTTACTTAGATATGACCCAAAAAGCACAGAAACAAAAGAAAAAGATAGATAAACTGAATTCCTCAAAATCAACAAATTTTGTGCTTCAAAGGACACCATCAAGAAAACCAAAAAACAATCTGCAAAATGGGAGAACATATTTGCAAATCACTTGTCTATAAGAGACTTGTATCTGGCATATATAAAGGGGGTTATATTACACAAAGAACAATTGCAACTTGACAACGAAAAGACAAGCAGCTCAATTAAAAAATGGCAAAGGGGCCAGGCGCAGCGGCTCACGCCTGCAATCCCAGCACTTTGGGAGGCTGAGGCGGGCGAATCATGAGGTCAGGAGATCGAGACCATCCTGGCTAACACGGTGAAACCCTGTCTCTACTAAAAATACAAAAAAAATTAGCCACACATGGTGGCGGGCGCCTGTAGTCCCAGCTATTTGGGAGGCTGAGGCAGGAGAATGGCGTGAACCCGGGAGGCGGAGCTTGCAGTGAGCTGAGATCGCACCACTGCACTCCAGCCTGGGTGACAGTGTGAGACTCTGTCAAAAAAAAAGCAAAGGATATGAGTAGACATTTCTCCAAGCTGATGCACAAATGACTGATCAACACAAAAACATGCTCCACATAAGTAGCCCTCAGGGAAATGCACCCACTAGGGTGGCTACAATCTCTATTAATAATTTTGTTTAACTGGAAAACAGCAAGTGTTGGTGGGGATGTGGAGAAATTGGAAACTTCATTCATCGCTGGAGGGAATGTAACATGGTGCGGACACCGTGGAAAACAGTCGGGCAGTTGTTCCAAACGTTACACAGAGTTGTCACATGACCCAGCAATTCTGCTCCCACATATATGCCCAAGAGAACTGAAAGTGTGTCCACATTAAAAACCTGTCCACAAATGTTCATAGCAGCATTATTAATAATACCCCGATGTGAAATTAACCTACATGTCCATCAACTGATGAAACATGGGCTGCATCCATCCAACGGAATATTATCCGGCCATAAAAAGGAATGACATCGAGTTGAAGGCAGGGTCTTGAGGAGATATTTGCACACCCATGTTGCATGTTCATTGCAGCATCATTCATGAGAACTGAGAGGTGGAGGAACCCTGTGCGCTGAAATTGGGGCTGGCCGAGCCAGGTAGGAGGTGGACAGGCTCCCTGGCGGCTCTCCAGGGACGTCCTTCAGGGACAGCTTCGAGGACGTCCCATGAGCAGTGCCCATGTGGTCAAGGGCTTCAGTACCCGGCAGCAGCTCTCAGCCACCTTGACCATGAGCAAGGAGAGGACATATCTGGTGCCTCAAAAGAACATCTTTGCCTAAAGCTCATCTGGGAGAGAGAGCAAGCAGACTGCAAATTTCTGAAACTGCTTGAACCAAGTGCATGAATTTGGTGCATCCTGAAGTCCCTCTGCCCAGAGAGGGCTGCTAGTCTGTGCATGGCAGGATGGACCGCTGCTCTGAGTCACCTTTGCTGAGCAGCCAAGGCTGGGCTTCCCTTGGAATTGCTTCCGGAATGAGATATTCAGGGCCAGTCCTTGGCTGTAGTTTCTAGACTTCTCCTCGACAGGGCAGCTCCTTGGTGCAGCTCCTGCTGCACTGCTGGCCCCGGTCTGGCTCTCTTGGTGGCTGTGGCCACCCGTGCCATTGCATGGTCCTAACAGTCTCTGTGTATATTCAGCTTGCTTCCTGCTGTGGGGCCCCACTCCTACTGCAGAACTCAGCCCCTGGTTCAATGCTGACCTTTGTACCCCAGTCCCTTAACTACGCAGGCATCTTCCTGTGTGTGTGGTGTTTTGTAGGTATACATCTCTCTTTCAGCAGCTAGCTGAAGTATGATTTGCATACAACAAGCCGCATTTATCTAAAGTGTTATCAGTTGATATGTTTTGCCTTTTGCAAATGACACCAAAAGCATCACCACAATCGAGATAATAAACAGACCCCCCCAAGCCTCCAGTGCCGCTTACCTTCCTCCCGCCCTCTCCCTCCACTCTCTCTCTGCAGCCCACTGACCTGCCTTCTGTTTTCATAGGTGATATAGTTTGGATCTGTGTCCCCACCCAAATCTCATGTCAAATTGTAATCCCCAATGCTGGAGGTGGGGCCTGGTGGGAGGTGATTAGATCGTGGGAGTGGTTTCTCATGGTTTGGCACCATCCCCACTGGGAACTCTCATCGTCATAGTGAGTTCTCATGAGATCTACTTGTTTAAAAGTGTGTGGCACCTCCCCTCCCCCCTCTTGCTCCTGCTCTAGCCACGTGACCTGACCTGCCAGGTCCCCCTTTGCCTTCCGCCATGATTGTAAGTTTCCTGAGGCCTCCCTAGAAGCAGAAGCCACCATGCTTCCTGTACAGCCTACAATTAAGCCCTCCCTTTTTTTTTTTAAATAAATTACCCAGTCTCAGATATTTCTTTAGAGCAATGCAAGAACCAACTAACACGATAGGTCAGTTTATATCTCCTTACGTTTTGAACACATGGAATCTCTTACAGTGTTTACTCTGTCATGTTGTGCCTGCTTCTTTGAGATTCTTTCATGTTGTGTGTGCGAATAATTCACTCCTTTTCATGACTGATTGGACCTCCACTGGTTGGATATAACACGGATTATCTGTTTCCACATCGATGGACATTGGGGTTGTTCCCAGTCTGAGACCATTACAGATAAAGCAGCCATGGGCATCCTTCATAGGGACAGGCAGTTTCATACTTCCCAGTGAAAGGCCTAGGAGAGGAATCATACAGCAGGTGTGTGTTAACCTTTTCAGAAACTCAGTAACAAGAATACAAAACTTTTTCAGAAACTACAAAACTGTCTTCCAAAGCAGCTGCACCATTTTGCTTTCCCAGCGTCAGTGATGGGAGATCCAGTTCCTCCATGTCCCCAGCAGCCATTGGTATAGCCATTGTTTTTAATGTAGTGCTGGAATAGGCATGCAGTGGCAGCTTGCTGTGCTTTTAGTTTGCATTTCTCTGATGATGGACGTGCTGAGAGTGCTTTCAGGTGCTTCTTTGCCACTTTTTTTTTTTTTTTTTTGAGATAGAGTCTCACTCTGTCGCCCAGGCTGGAGTGCAGTGGCGTGATCTCGGCTCACTGCAATCTCCACCTCCTAGTTTCAAGCAATTCTTCTGCCTCAGCCTCCTGAGTAGCTGGGATTACAGGTGCCCGCCACCACACCTGGCTAATTTTTTTTTGTATTTTTAGTAGAGACAGGGTTTCACCATGTTGGTCAGGCTCATCTCAAACTCCTGACCTCAGGTGATCCACCTGCCTCAGCCTTCCAAAGTGCTGGAATTACAGCCATGAGCCACCACTCTCAACCTCTTTGCCACTTCTATGTCTTCCTTGAAGTGTGTGTTCCAATCTTTTGCCCATTTTTAGTTGGGTTGTTGGTTTTCCTGCTGTTGAGTTTAAAGAGTTCTTGATATATTCTACTTACACATCCTTTATTGGATATACAATTTGCAAATATTTTGTTGGTCTATGGCTTGCCTTTTTATTCTTTTAGCATCTTTAGAAGAACAAAAGTTTATTCTACTTAATGAAGTACGATTTATTCTTTTTTCTCATATAGATTGTGCTTTTCCTATTGTATCTAGAAAATCTTTACTTTGAGAGTACAAAGATTTTCTACTGTTTTCTTCACTAATATTTATATTTTTACTTTTATACCTAGATCTATGATTAATTTTCAGTTAATTTTTTTCATGATGTGAAATACTGATCAAAGTTATGGTTTTGCATGTGGATATACAATTGTCATAGCACCATTTGTTGAAAAGACCATCTTTTCTCAGCTGAATTGTCTTGACTCTTTTGTTAAAAATTAATTCATCAAGAATTATTCACAATAGCCAAGAGGTTAAACCAACCCAAATGTCCATCGTCTGGTGAGCAGAAAAATAAATGTGAAACATGCTTACAGTGGGACATAATTCAGCCTTAAAAAGGAAGGAAATTCTCACACATGTTGCAGCGTGAATGAATCTAGGGGTTCATCTTCATAAAATGAGTCAGTCACTAAAAGACAAATACTATCTGACTCCACTAACATGAGGTTTTCTAAGTGGTCAAATTCATATGAACAGAGAGTAGAATGCCGGTTACCAGCGACTAGGGGAGGGAAAATGGGGAGTTGTTGTTTAATGGTACAGAGTTTCAGCTTTGCAAGATGAAAAAGTTTTGGAGATTGGTTGCACAACATTGTGAATATATTTAACACTACTTAAATATACGCTTAAACATGATTAAGGCCTGGTGCAGTAGCTCACACCACTTTGGGAGGCCGAGGCAGGAAGATCACTTGAGCCCAGGAGTTCAAGACCAGCCTGAGCATCATAGTGAGACATCGTGTCTTACTAAAAGAAAAAAGAAAAAAAAAAAAAACAGTTAGCCAAGCACAGTGGTTCCACCTACTCGGGAGGCAGAAGTGGGAGGATCACGTGAGCCCAGGAAGTTGAGGCTGCAGTGAGCCATGATCATGCCACCACACTCCAGCCTAGGTAACAGAGTAAGACTGTGTCTCAGAAAAAATGATTAAGGTGGTACATTTTATGCTATGCATTTTTTAACCACAATTAACCACGTATCTGTGAATCGGTTTCTGTCCTCTATGTTGTCCTGCCGACCTACTGTTGATATTGACATCATCAGTGCCACAGTGGCTTGATGACTGTAATTTTATAATATCTCTTGAAATAAATTAGCATAACTCTTCCAATTGTATCCTTCTTTTTCTTTTTTCTTTTTTTTTTTTTTGAGACAGAGTCTCACTCTGTCACCCAGGCTGGAGTGCAATGGCGCGATCTCAGCTCACGGCAACCTCCAACTCCCTGGTTCAAGCAATTCCCTTGCTTCAGCCTCCCAAGTAGCTGGGATTACAGGCACACGCCACCATGCCTGGCTAATTTTTTTGTATTTTTTAGTGCAGATGGAGTTTCACCATGTTGGCCAGACTGGTCTCGAACTCCTGACCTCAGGTGATCCACCTGCTTTGGCCTCCCAAAGTGCTGGGATTACAGGTGTGAGCCACCGCACCTGGCCATTCTTCTTTTTCAAAGTTGTTTTGGATTTTCTAGATCTGTTGCATTTTCATATGAATTTCAGCAACAATTTATCAATCCCTTAAAAAGAGCCACTGGGATTTTGGTTGGAGTTGTATTGACTCTCTAGACCAATAAGGGGAGAATTAACATCTTAAAGATATTGAGTCTTAACATGAACAAAATGTATCTTTCCATTTATTTAGCTATTCTTTAATCCCTCAGCCATATTTTGTAAAAAAAATTTTTTTTTTTTTTGAGACGGAGTCTTGGTCTGTCGCCCAGGCTGGAGTGCAGTGGTGCCATCTTGGCTCACTGAAACCTCCGCCTCTGGGGCTCAAGGGACTCTTGTGCCTCAGCCTCCTGAGTAGCTGGGATTGCAGGCATGTGCCACCATGCCTGGCTAATTTTTTTGTATTTTAATAGAGACAGGGTTTCACCACGTTGCCCTGGGTGGTCTCAAACTCCTGAGCTCAGGTGATCTGCCCACCTCTGCCTCCCAAAGTGCTGGGATTACAGTCGTGAACCACCACTCCCAGCCTACAATTTTCAATATATAAGTTTTGCACATTTTTGTCAGATTTATTTCTAAGTATTTAAGTTTTTGATGTTACTGTTAATAGAATTGCTTTTTATTTAATGTATGATTGTTTATTACTGTAGAAATACAACAGATTTTTTTTTACTTCCCTTAAAGTATGCAAACTTGCTAAACTCACTAATTACTTCTAGTAGCTACTGCATTCTACAGATTTTGTAGGATTTTCTACATAGGCAATCATTTGTCTGTGAATGAAAACAGTTTTACTTATTTTTCAATTGGGCACTTTTTTTTCCTTTTTCTTGCCTGATTGGCCTGTTTCCAGCCTGCATTGCAATTTTTAGTAGAAGTAATTAAAGTGGACATCCCTGCCTTGTTCCTGATCTTAGGGGAAAGCATTCCTTCTTTCACTATTGGGTACAATGCCAGCTGTATGTTTTTTTGCAGATGCCCTTTATCAGATTGAGGGAATTCCCTTCTATTCCTATTTTGCAGAAAGCTAATATCTGGAATGGATTTTGGATTTTGTCAAATGCTTTTTCCGCCTCTATTCCGATGATCATCTGGTTTTTCTATTAACGTGGTAAATTACTTTGCAGGATAATTTGCAAGTGTTAAACCACTCTTGCATTCCTGAAATAAATGCCACTTTGTCATGATGTATTATCCTTACTATACACTGATAAATTCATTTTGCTCGAATTTTTGTTGAGAATTTTGCTTGTGGGTTTGTGAAGGCTGTTGGTTTGCTCTTTTCTTTTCTTACCATGTATTTGTCTGATGATAGTACCAGCATATGCTATAGCCTTATGGAATGAGTTGGAAAGTATTTCCTCCTACACTATTTTCTGGAACAGTCTCTGTAAAATTGGTGTTATTTCTTTCTCAAATATTTGTATATGTTTGAGACTTATTATTTGGGACTCACCAGTGAAGACTTTGAGTCTGGAGTTTTGTTTGTAGAAAGGTTTTTTTTTTTTTTTTTTTAACTTCTTTAGTAGATAAATGAATATTTTTTCTATTTTTTCTTGAGTGAGTTTTGATAATTTATGTCATTCAAGAAATGCGTCTATTTCATTATGTTTAACTTAAGTAAAGCTGTTCATAACATTCCCTTATTATTCTTTTAATGTCTGTAGAATCTGTAATGATGCCTCCTTTCTCATTGCTGGTGCTAGCAATTTGTGTTTTCTGTCTTTTTTTTTTTCCTGGTCAGTCTACCCAGAGGTTTATCAATTTTATTGACCTTCTCAAAAATAAGCTTTTGTTTTTATTGATTTTCTCTGTGGTCTTTCTGTTTTCTAGTTCATTTGATTTCTGCTATGACCTTTACGTATCACTTTCTGCTTCCTTAGAATTTAATTTTCTCTTCTTTTTCTAATGTCCAAAGAAAAATGCTAATATCAGTTATTTCAGACCTTCCCTCTTTTTTAATGTAGATATTTAGTGCTATGAATTTCCCCTTAAATACAGCATTAGCTGCGTCCCACAAAACATAATATATGTTTTTATCTTCATTCAATGCAAAATACTACCTAATTTTCCTTTTGATTTCTTCTTTGATGCATGGGATATTTAGTAGTATGTTAGTTTCCAAATATAACGGGAATTTTGCAGATCACTTCTTACTGTTGATTTCTAATTTAATTCCATTTTGGCTAGAGAACGTACTCATTTTAGACTTCTTTTCTGGCCCAGAATGTAGTCTATCTTGATACACGTTCAGTGTATTCTGCTGGTCTTGGGTGGAGTTTTCTATAAATATCAGCTGGATCAAGTTGTTTGATAGTGTTGTTCAAATCTTTTCTACCTGTACTAAGGTTCTCTGTTTGTTTTATGGAATGCTGAGAAAAGATTGTTGAAATCTCCAGCTACAGTTGTGAATTTGTCTGCTTCTCCTTGCAGTTCTATCAGGTTTTGCTCTTTTGAAGCAAAACTTCAAAAGTATTTTGAAGCTGTATAACTAAGTGTACAAACGTTTAGGATTTATATGTCCTCTGATTTGTTTCTCCCATTATCATTATAAAATGGCCCACTTATCCCTGGCAACATGAAGGCAAAACACTTTCGAGTACTCTACTCAGTATCCTGTCAATTCTGTGGTTTTTCACTCTAAATGGTGGGAATAGGAACTATTCCTGGCCCTGTGTTAGCTAACAATGTTATTTCTGAAATTCTTTCCTTGGCTGGCTTCACCAGATGCATGTACTCATCAGTACTGAGCTGAAGATGCAAGGAGGAGCCTCTGTAGGCCTCTGCTCCTCTTTCACTGTGCAGCTCTCTCCTCCCTGGCACTCGGCCCTGAGAACTCCAGCTTTCCTGTCCTCCTTGGACTCCCAGCGAAGTCTCCTCAGCTCAAGGAGACCACGTGTCTTTGCCTATGTTACACATCCCTGTGCTGCAGCCTGGAAATTCTAGGTGGTGCACAGAGGCAATCACAGGGCTCACCTCATTTGCTTTCTCTCTCGGGGGTTGCTGAACTTTACTGCCTTTTACATCTGATGTCTTGAAAACTGCTGCTTAAGATATTTTCCTGGATTTTATAAACATATGCAAGTGGTTCTGTGAACACCGACTTTATTGTCTCTCTGCACTGCACAGTGTCCCAGAGTGCATATTTATCACATTTTGTTTATTCATTCTTCTAAAGACGAATAATTAGGCTACCAATTTCTGCTACACAAACAGCTGTGCAAAAACAGCCTTGAATGCATTCCCCGGTGAGTCAGTGTGAGCATGTTTACAGGATATGCTCTCGAGAGACAGCGCTCACAGGGCACATTTACTTTCACTAAGCACGTCCATATTACTTCTCAGAGATCCTCTGCCAGTTCCTACTCAGGGATGCAAGAGCCTCCCATCTCCTCAACTCTCATCCAAACTTGATTTCCAACCCCTTTCTAATTTTTACTATTCTGAGGGATGTAAAGTGGTATGTCAGTGTTGTTTTCTTTATCATATTGTGAGAAAACATTTTAAATGGTCCATTTTCAAGGCATGATAAATCTAAGCACTGGCAGCCAGCCTGAGGATGTAACAAACCACACGGCTCATGCGCCTGGAAGGTCACGATAAGCGAACAGAATGTAGAGGAGGGGTCAGCCCATAAAAGGGAAGAAAGTTTTGTTATTGGAAAATCAAAACTTAAGCGGGGAAGGGGACGGGGTATAACCTTATAAGGGGGAAAATGAAACTCAGGTGACATTGGGGAAGGTTGTAAACCCATAGTACTTGACCAATGAGGACCTGGGGGAGGGCTTGTGTGCTAGGAGATCAATTACCTGCTGTAACTGCCCGGGGTGTGCCTGCCTACCAGACACCCGGTCTTGCAAGACTGCCATTAAAAGTCTTGCTGGCCGGGCGCAGTGGCTCATGCCTGTAATCCCAGCACTTTGGGAGGCCGAGGCCGGCGGATCACGAAGTCAGGAGATAGAGACCATCCTGGCTAACACGGTGAAACCCCGTCTCTATTAAAAATACAAAAAAATTAGCCGGGCGCGGTGGTGGCACATATTAAACACTCGAAGGTGTTTTGTATCATTATCACTCAAGAATCCCACTAACGTTATGCAGAAAACTTGTCTGGGGCTCTTGGTACATTAGAATGTTCCATGACTACTCAGACCCGTGTGTGCCATTATGAGTTGAAATCTAGAAATAGAAAGATCAAGGGGAGTGGAACGCCCATGACAACGTGGAACGGGGCTGGAAGCAATGACGGTTCCACAGGCAGATGACCTCACTCAGGTGATTCACAGGGTCAATGTGCATGCATATCAAGCTCTGGATGTTGGCATCTGCTATCTAAGGGAATGGGAGCAATTACTTGGAGCATCTAACATTTAAGTCAGAATTTCCTTTACAGTCTACACTTAGAACATTCACTTAACTCATTCACTTAACTTTGCCCCCCCTCCTTTGTAAACAGTCCATCCATTACAATCTTTCCAGTCATCTTTTCCAGCTATCTTCATATTATTGATTTCTAATTTTAACGTAACTGTGGTCTAAGAGTACAACAGAAATATATCTGGCTGGACCCCAGGCCTCCAGAATTGCCCCTTCTTTTTTTTTTTTTTTTTTTTTTTTTGAGATGAAATCTCACTCTGTAGCCCAGGCTGGAGTGCAGTGGCACGATCTCAGCTCACTGCACCCTTGCCTCCCGGGTTCAAGCGATTCTCCTACCTCAGCCTCCTGAGTAGCTGGGATTACAGGCATCTTCCACCACACCCGGCTAATTTTTGTATTTTTAGTAGAGACAGGGTTTCACCATGTTGGTCAGGCTGGTCTTGAACTCCTGACCTCGTGATCAGCCCGCCTCAGCCTCCCGAAGTGCTGGGATTACAGACGTGAGCCACCACACCCTGCCGCCCCTTCTTTAATTATCTTGACAAAGATGTCATCTCTGCTTACCTCTAAGGCCACACCACTCCACTCCTTAAAGCCCCATGATACGGCTCATTGTTATACATTGTGATGGTTCCTGATGCTCCACGCTAGCATTGAAAACCCTCTTTCTGGCCTACCTCACTCTTATTCTTCCACCCATTCGCCCCGCTGCCTTTCTCCCGCGTTTGGTCTGCTGGACACCTTTCTGCCGCGTTTGGTCTGCTGGACGCCTTTCTCCTGCATTTGGTCTGCTGAATGCCTTTCTGTCATGTTTGGTCTACCAAGTGGCTCTCCTTTGCTCATGGAGGGTATCTCCTGACACCTCAGTGGCTGCTCAAACTTTCTGAGATGGATCAGAGGAGAGGCAACAGTTTTTCCTGATTTTATCCTTTCCAAACATGATGTAGACGCTGAATTCATCAAATATTTATTGGATTAATTCCATTAAGAATTGCTTTTCTGTTTGGCATAAGGTAGAGGTGCAAATGGATTTTTTTCATACGTACAATTAATTGTTGTGGAGCATGTATTGAAAAATATTTCCTTTCCAAACTGTTCAACAGTGACTGTACTCTGATAAATCAAATAGTCATGTTCTGTTGCACTGGTGAAATTTGTCTATCCCCATATCACAGTCTTAATTATAGTTTTATAATACATTTTTATATCTCCTCTGACATTTTCCTTCCACTGCCTCCTTCTCCTTTTCTTTCTTTTATGTTTTGGCTATTATTCAGCCTTTGGTTTTTTTGTATGAATTTTAGAATCCATTTGTTAAATTCCTTTTAAAAACATTTATGGAGTTTTAATGGAAATTGCTTTTTGCAGAATGATTTAGGGGAGAATTGACATATTTTTAATACTGACTCTTTCTATCCATGAATCTGGTTTATAGTCCTCAATTTATTCAGGTCTTCATTAATGTCTTTCAATAAAGTTTTATAATTTTTCCTTCACACTTTTGCCCACTTTGAAAATATCTTATTTTCTGTTCCCTCCTTATTTGTGTTGCTTTTTTCAGTGATACATTACAAAATTGTATCTTCTGGTTATGGCTGATATTTGGATGCATGTGTAGTATAGTTTCTCAATTCACTCTCTGTCTTTCTCTGCCTTTCTTTGTGACCCAGGAACCTGGTGTCTAACAAGCTGCATCACCTGGTTAGGCTAATGAGAGGCACCTGCAGGAGATGAGCGGCGAGGAGAGAGGTCAGAGTTCTCTATTTCCTGAGATCCCTCCTTGTAGGCTTGTGGTTTGGCAGTGACTTTATTCCTCTATGTGAGACCACAACTTCCCCCAAATAAGTCCCTTTCTCTGGTAACTATGACCTTCCCTTGTCCTTTCAAGGCCAGGAGTGGTAGCAGCTTCCTGAAGCTAAAAATGTCCCGAGGCTTCACTACACCTTGTTCATTCACTGAACTCTGCCCCTCCTTTGTAAAGAGTCCATTCATTACAATCTTCCCAGTCATCTTTTCCGGCTTTCTTTATATTATTGATTTCTCATTTAATTTAACTGTGGTCTGATCTTACTGTACTATGGTTTTAAATTTGTGAAGGTGTGCTTCATGGCCCAGAATATGGTCTATCTTAGTAAATATTCCATGAGAGCTTGAGAAAAATGTGCATTTTGCTGTTGTTGGGTGATTTAATCTATAGGAGTCCATTATATTCAGCTGATTGATGGTCCTGTGGAGTTCAGCTATGTCCTTACTTATTTTCTGCTGGCGGTATCTGTCTATTTCTGACAAAGGGTGTTGACGTCTCTAAAGTGTATTCCTCAGTTTTAATTAGTCTTTGTTGTTGTTGTTGTTTTTGTTTGTTTGTTTTTTGAGACAGAGTCTCACTCTGTTGTCAAGGCTGGAATGCAGTGGCCTGATCTCGGCTCACTGCAACCTCCACCCTGCAAGTTCAAGCGATTCTCCTGCCTCAGCCTCCCAAGTAGCTGGGATCACAGGTGCCTGCCATCGTGCCCAGCTAATTTTTGTATTTGTAGTAGAGATGGGTTTTCACCATCTTGGCCAGGCTGGTCTTGAACTCCTGACCTCGTGATCCACTTGCCTTGGCCTCCCAAAGTGCTGGGATTATAGGTGTGAGCCACCGCACCCGGCCGATTAGTTTTTTCCTCATGTATTTTGATGTGCTGTTTTTAGACAGATATGTTTTAAGGATCGTTATATCCTCTTGGAGAAGTGATTCCTTTATCATCACGTAATATCCTTCTTTATCCCTAATAATTTTCCTTGCTCTGAAGTTTGCTCTGTCTGAAATTAGTATAGCTACTCTAGTTTTCTTTTTCATCATGGTATATCTTTCTCTTTCCATTTACCTTTAATCTATATATGTCTTTTTATTTATTTATTTATTTATTTATTTATTATTTATTCATTTTGAGACAGAGTTTCATTCTTGTTGTCAAGGCTGGAGTGCAATGGCGTGATCTCAGCTCACCGCAACCTCCACCTCCTGGGTTCAAGCGATTCTCCTGCCTCAGCCTCCCAAGTAGCTGGGATTACAGGCATGCACCACCATGCCCGGCTAATTTTGTATTTTTAGTAGAGACTGGGTTTCTCCATGTTGGTCAGGCTGGTCTTGAACTCCTGACCTCAGGTGATCTACCACCTTGGCCTCCCAAAGTGCTGGGATTACAGGAGTGAGCCACCGCACCCGGCCTATATATGTCTTTATATTTAAAGTGAGTTTCTTGTAGTCACCATATAGTTGGGTCTTATTTTTTAATCCACTTTGACAATCCCTGTCTTTAATTGGTATTTTTAGACTATTGATGTTTAAAATGATTATTGCTATAGTTGGATTAATATCTACCATGTTTGTTGCTATTTTCTATTTGTTGCCTGATATGGTTTGGCTGTGTCCCCACCCAAATCTCATCTTGAATTGTAGCTCCCATAATTCCCACATGTTGTGGGAGGGACCCGGTGGAGTTAATTGACTCATGGGGGTGGTTTTGCCCACACTGTTCTCGTGGTAGTGAATAAGTTTTATGAGATCTGATGGTATTTTAGTGGAAACCCCTTTCATTTGGTTTTCCTTCTCTCTCTTGCCTGCCACTATGTAAGACATGCTTTTGCCTTCTGCCATGATTGTGAGGCCTCTCCAGCCATGTGGGACTGAGAGTCCATTAAACCTCTTTTTGTATATAAATCACCCAGTCTCAGGTATGTTCTTCATCAGCAGCATAAAATCAAACTAATACATTGCCCTTGTTCTTTGTTACTATTTTTGTCTCTACTCTTTTTCTGCCTTTTGTGGTTTTTACCAAGAATTTTATATGATTCCATTTTCTCTCCTTTCTTAGCATATCAATTATACTTCTTTTTAGATTACTTTTTTTTAATGGTTGCCCTAGAGTTCACAATATACATTTACAACTAACATAAAAGTCCTCTTTCAAATAAAACTATACTGTTTCATGAATAGTGCAAGTATGTTATAATAACAACATAATTCTAATTATTCCCTTCCAGCCCTGCATTATTGCTTTATTTTGTGTAATTACTGTGTAATTACACTTACACTTAAACTATAATCATCAAATATATTGTTGCTATTATTTTGAACAAGCTATTATCTGTTAGATGAACTAAGAATAAGAAAAAGCTATTTTACCCTCAATTATTTCTTCTCAGATGCTCTTCCTTTCTTTATGTGGATCTGAGTTTCTGACCTGTATTATTTTCCTTGTGTCTGAAGAACTTCTTTTAGCATTTCTAGCAAGGCAAGTGTACTGGCAACAAATTCTCTCGATTTTTGTTTGCCTGAGAAAGTCTGTGTTTCTGCATTACTTGTGAAGGATTTTCACAGGATACAGAATTCTAGCTTGGTTCAGTTTTATTTTCCTTTCAACACTTTAAATATTTCACTCTACTTTCCTCTTACTTGCATGGTTTCCAAGGAGAAGTCAGATGGAATCATTATCTTTGCCCCTCTATAGGTGTATTACTCTAGCTTCCCTCAGGGATCTTTCACTTTCTGTAGGTTGCATATGATATAACTAGGTATAGTTATTTTGTATTGTTTTTGTTTTTTGTTTATCCTTCTTGGTGTTCTCTGATCCTCCTGAATCTGTTGTTTGGTGTGTGACAATTAGTTAGGAGAAATTCTCAGGCATAATTACCTCAAATGTTGCTTCTGTTCTTTTTTTTTTTTTTTTTTTTTGAGATGGAGTCTTGATCTTGTTGCCTAGGCTGGAGTGCAATGGTGTGATCTTGGCTCACTGCAACCTCCACCTCCCAGGTTCAAGTGATTCTCCTGCCTCAGTCTCCTGAGTAGCTGGGATTACAGGTGTCCACCACCAAGCCTGGCTAATTTTTGTATTTTTATTTTATTTTATTTTTTTTGAGACGGAGTCTCACTCTGTTGCCCAGGCTGGAGTGCAGTGGTGTGATCTCAGCTCACTGCAAGCCCTGCCTCCTGGGTTCACGCCATTCTCCTGCTTCAGCCTCCTGAGTAGCTGGGACTACAGGCGCCCGCCACCACGCCCGGCTAGGTTTTTTTTGTATTTTTAGTAGAGACAGTGTTTCACCGTGTTAGCCAGGATGGTCTCGATCTCCTGACCTCATGATCCACCCGCCTCGGCCTCCCAAAGTTCTGGGATTACAGGCGTGAGCCGCTGCACCCGGCCCTGTTCCTTTCTTTCTTCTCCTGCCGGTATTCCCATTCCCATTACACATATTTACACCTCTGTAGTTGTCCCACAGTTCTTGGATATTCTGTCCTGTTTTTTTCAGGCTTTATTAATGTAGCCTCAAGTTCAGAGATTCTTTCCTCAGCCATGTCCAGCCTACTAATAAGCTCATCAAAGGGAATTTTAATTTTTATAGCCACTATTCTTATCTTTAGCATTTCTTTTTTATTCTTTCTTAGAATTTTCATCTCTCTGCCTTCATTTTCCATCTGTTCTTGCACGTTGTCTACTTTATCCACTAGGGCCCTTAGCATGTTAATCATGGTTGTTTTAGATTCATGATCTGATAATTCCAACATTGCTATCACACCAGGGTCCAGCTCAGTTCTGGTGCTTATTCCATCTCTGCAAATGGCATTTTTGTTTCTTTGTTTTGTTTTTGACTTTTAGTACGCCTTGTAATTCTTTGTTGAAAGGCAGACATGATTCACTGAGTCAAGGGAACTACAGTAAATAGGCCTTTAGTAACATAGTGGTGAGGTGTGAAGAGAAGGAAAGCATTTTACAGGCCTGCGATTAGGTCTCCCGGTGAGTCTGTCCTGCTGGGTTGTGAACCTCATAAGTGCTTCTCAGGTTTGTTTTTTGTTTTTCACCCCTTTAGGCGGCACAGTGTCCATAAGGGGAGCTGGAGTTGAGGAGTTCCCTCCTCCAACATGGAAAGCTAGAGGGAGCTGGAGCTGGGCATTTTCCTTCCCACAGGTCAGTGAGGTTCTGATAAAACCCCAGTAGGGTAGGCTCTGGTAAACTAGTTTCTGCTGAGGTGAGGCCTTTTTAAGAAGAACAGAATGTTTTAACCTATTTCAAAATGGTTCCTTTTCCTCTCTGCCTGCTGTAAACCCCGGGAGATTTTTCTCTGCTCTTCACTGCGAGAATCTGGTAGAATTCCTGGAGGTAAAACTCACAAAAGCAGAAATTGGGGGGCGCCTCATGACTGTGGGGTGCTGAAGACTGACTCGGTCCTCCTGAAAGAGCAGGGTGAGGGGGGCTGATGACTGTGGGGGGCTGATGACTGCCTAGATCCTCCTGAAAGAGCAGGGTGGGGGGGTCCTGATGACTATGGGGGGGCTGATGACTGTTGTGGGGGCTGATGACTGCCTGGGCCCTCCTCCTCCTGAAAGTTTTCCCTCTCAGACCTGTGGACACTGAGCCTCCAGAAATTTACGAACTACAGTTCAGGTTTTCCTCCTCCAGTGCTGGTTCTTGCAGAGGTGGATCTCCGCTTTGGTAAGTTGTGATTGTCTGTATCCACCTGTTTATCTCTCTAATTTTCGGGGCAGCAGTTTGCCCAGAGAGCTCACTTCTGTGATGGTTCTAAGAAAAGCTGTTGATTTTTCAGGTTTTTTTTTTTTTCAGCTGTTTGCTTGTTGTTAGGTCAGAGCATCAACTTTTTTTTTTTTTTGAGACAGAGTCTCGCTCTGTCACCCAGGGTGGAGGGCAATGGTGCAATCTTGGCTCACTGCAAGCTCCGCCTCCTGGGTTCACACCATTCTCCTGCCTCAGCCTCCTGAGTAGCTGGGACTACAGGTGCCTGCCACCATGCCTGGCTAATTTTTTTGTATTTTAGTAGAAACAGGGTTTCACCGTGTTAGCCAGGTTGGTCTTGATCTCCTGACCTCGTGATCCACCCGCCTTGGCCTCCCAAAGTGCTAGGATTACAGGCATGAGCCACCGTGCCCGGCCCAGAGCATCAACTTTCAAGCCCCTTACATGATGGACCCGATTAGTTATCCTTCTGAGTATGCCATCGGCTTCATAATGGGCCCTTGACTGATACAGTCATTGGTATCGGAATTGGTCCCAAGAAACAGACTCTCAGAATGGGATTCCAGGACTGGATTGCTCATACATTTGATGAACACGGGGATAAATCCTTGCTGGGGGAAACAGAACACTGGGAGCTCACATCACACAGTAGCACCTCAGTTCCTCACGTTCTCATCAACAGCAGCATGGGGCACCATGCACGTGGAGGGAAAATAGATGGGGAATCACATGGCTGAGACACGCAGTTGCTTCAGCAAAAATGGGGATTACAAAGACTGTGGAATGGGCTGGCTTCCTCTGACGGCTCCAGAAAGCGTTCACAAAGGAACAGGACAATTCAAGCTTCGGATGTGCCAATGCCTCCAGCGAAAGACCACTGGGAACACACCTGTAATGGAGCAAGCTGGGTTTATCACTCGTTGCAGTGAAGGAGAGCACACACACACCCTGGAGAACTACAGGTTAACTTCGTAAGAGGGCACCGGAAAGGACTTACAGTGGCATTGGGGCTTGTGGAGGTATTCTGGGGAGGGTTTAAGGAAGTGGGGTTTTGTTCTGGGTTTGATGCAGTCAGGAAGCAGGGGTAGTTCCATGAGTAGGCTTCTTTTTGTTTTTCCTTTTTTTTTTTTTTTTTTCTGTGAAGGAGTTTTGCTGTCCTTACCCAGGCTGGAGTGCAATCGTGCCATCTCAGCTCACTGCAACCTCCGCCTCCTGGGTTCAAGCAATTCTCCTGCCTCAGCCTCCGGAGTAGCTGGGATTACAGGCACCTACCACCACGCCCGGCTAATTTTTTGTATTTTTAGTAGAGACTGGGTTTCACCATGTCGGCCAGGCTGGTCACGAACTCCCGACCTCAGGTGATCTGCCCACCTCGGCCTCCCAAAGTGCTGGGATCACAGGTGTGAGCCACTGCACCTAGCTGATTAGGCTTCTTAGTAATTTTTCTCTAGAAGGAGGGAAGAGTAGGCGGAGGCTAAAGTTGTAGTTAGTAAAGCAGCAGCTGTCAGACTGGCCAGGGTAGGTGATGTGGTCATTTGTCTTGGACAGTATTCAGACGTGATTAGAGAGTGGTGTGTTTTTGTACTGAGGCGTCACAACCACAGACTGGCTTTGTATGACGCGACTCTCCAGCAAAGTCGATATGTTTAACAGAACACGGCGCCCTAACTGGGAGTGCCAGGCCAGCTCATAGCAACACCAAGGCCTCGCTAAAAGAGAGCCTTTTCACCTCTTTCTCTGATGGAAATTGGGAAAGCCTCAGTGCAGACTTGACAGGAACTTCTTATCTACACCACCTTCAGGGCGGATAGGGCTGAGGCACTTAGCAAAGAAAAGGAGAACGTGAAATGGATGGTGGACTAAGGAAGCTATGAGTATCACCACAGGCCTCATCACAGATACAGAAATGGAGAATAGAGCAGTTGTATATTCTGTTTCTGGTTATTGTTTTCCCTAACAAGTCACAGTTGGTAGCTAATGCTTCAATTCTTGCTGTAGGTGGCAATATATCTTAGTTGACCCACCCATGAAAATATGGTGGCGAATGGCACCTTGTATTTCTCCTATGCTGGGAACACAGGGCTTTTTGTCCAGAACAAAGAATAAGAATCTAAGTAAAAAACAGTATAAAGAGACAAAGAAGGTGGCTGGGTGCAGGGGCTCACGCCTGTAATCCCAGCACTTTGGGAGGAGGCGGATGGATCACCTGAGGTCAGGAGTTTGAGACCAGCTTGGCCAACATGGTGAAACTCTGTCTCTACTAAAAACACAAAAGTTAGCTGGGCGTGGCAGCATGTGCCTGTAGTCCCAGCTACTTGGGGGGCTGAGGCAGGAGAATCGCTTGAACCTGGGAGATGGAGGTTGCAGTGAGCCGAGATTGCGCCACTGTACTCCAGCCTGGGCAACAGAGTGAGACTGTGTCAAAAAAAACAAAACAAAACAGAG
The DNA here is from genome assembly GCF_000001405.40 of Homo sapiens. Classification (NCBI taxonomy): domain Eukaryota; kingdom Metazoa; phylum Chordata; class Mammalia; order Primates; family Hominidae; genus Homo; species Homo sapiens. The sequence continues at coordinate 1,316,793 of NC_000011.10, read as the reverse complement.
AGAGAGACAAAGAAGGTTATTATATAATGATAAAGGGATCAACTCAGCAAAAGGACTAGCAATTCTACACAAATATGCACCCAACACCAGAGCACCCAGATATATAAAATCAACACCATTTAATCTAAAGGGAGACGTAGACTCCAATACAATAATAGGAGCGTCAATAGCCCACTCTCAGCATTAGACAGATCATCTAGACAGAAAATTAACAAAGAAACATTGGACCAAATGTAAATTACACACTAGACCAAATGGACCTGACAGATGTTTACAGCACATTCCGTGCAGCAGCTACAGAATACACATTCTTCTCATCAGCTACACAGAACATTCTCCAGGTTCAACCCTATGTCAGAACACAAAACAAGCCTCAACAAGTTTTTAAAAATCAAAATAATATCAAGAACCTTCTCAGACTACAATAGAATAAAAACTAGAAATCAATAACGAGAACTTTGGAAACTGTACAAATACATGGAAATTAAACAATGTGCTCCTGCAGGGTGCAGTGGCTCATGCCTGTAATCCAGCATTTTGGGAAGCCAAGGCGGGGGGATCACCTGAGGTCAGGAGTTTAAGACCAGCCTGGCCAACATGGTGAAACCATGTTCTACAAAAATACAAATATTAGCCGGGCATGGTGGTGGGCGCCTGTAATCCCAGGTACTTGGGAGGCTGAGGCAAGAGAATTGCTTGAACCCGGGAGGTGGAGGTTGCAGTGAGCCAAGACCATGTCACTGCACTCCAGCCTGGGCGACAGAGTGAGACTCCGTCTCAAAAAAAGAAAAAAAACAAAAACAAAAACAAAAAACAATGTGCTCCTGAACAACCACTGGATCAGGAAGGCATTTAGGAGTAAACCAAAAAACTTACTGGAAATAAATGAAAATAAAAGCACAACATAGAAAAAACTATACAGCAAAAGCAGAGCTAAGAGGGAAGTTCATAGCAGTAAATGCTTACCTCAAAAAATAGAAAGATTTTAAATAAATCATCAAATGATGTACCTCAAGGAATTAGAAAAGCAAGAACAATCCAAATCCAAAATTAGTAGAGGAAAGAAATAATAAAGATCAGAGCAGAACTAAACAAAATAAGAGAGTAAAAAGAGCAAAGGATCAACAAAACAAAATGTTGGTTATTTTGAAAAAAAAAAAAGTTGGTTATTTTGAAATGTTGGTTATATTGAAAATCAATAGACCTCTTGCTAGACTAACAAAGAAAAAAGAAAAGAGACTCAAATAAGCATAATCAGAAATTAGAAAGGGGACCATTACATCTGATACCACAGAAGACAAAAAATCATCAGAAACTATTACGAACAACTATACACAATAATGAACTGGAAAACCTAAAGAAAATGGATAAATTCCTAGGCACATACAACTTACCAAGATTGAATCAGGAAGAAACAGAAACCTGGAACAGACCAATAATGAGTAATGGGATTGAATCTATAATAAAAAGTCTCCCAGGCCGGGCGCAGTGGCTGATGCCTGTAATCCCAGCACTTAGGGAGGCCAAGGCAGGCAGATGACGAGGTACAGAGATCGAGACCATGGTGAAACCCTGTCTCTACTAAAAATGCAAAAAAATTAGCCGGTCATGGTGGCAGGCGCCTGTAGTCCCAGCTACATGGGAGGCTGAGGCAGGAAAATGGCATGAACCTGGGAGGCGGAGGTTGCAGTGAGCAGAGATTGCGCCACTGCACTCCAGCCTGGGCGACAGAGCAAGACTCCATCTCAAAACAAAACAAAACAAAACAAAAAAGTCTCCTAATGCAGAAAAGTCCAGGACCAGATGGCTTCACTATCAAATTCGACCAAGCGTTCAGAGAAAAACTAATACCAATTCTCCTCAAGCTATTCCCAAAAAAATTAAGAGGAGGGAATTCTCCCTAACTCATTCTACAAGGCCAGCATCACCATGATACCCAGACAAGTATGTAAGGAGAAAATAAGACTATAGGCCAATGTCCCTGGTGAACATAGACACAAAAATTCTCAATAAAATACTAGCAAACTGAATCCAACAGCACACAAAAAAGATAATATGCCATGACCAAGTGGGAGTTATCCCAGGGATGCAAGGATGGTTCAACATATGTAAATCAATAAACGTGATACATCACATCAACAGAATGAAGGACAAAAATCATATGATCATCTCAATAGATACAGAAAAAAGCATTTAATAAAATTCAACATCCCTTTATGATGAAAACTCTCAACAAACTTGCACAGAAGGAACATACCTCAATATAGTAAGGACCATATCTGGCAAACCCACAGCTAACATCATGCTGAATGGGGAAAAGTTGAAAGCCTTTCCTCTAAGATCTGGAACAAGACAAGGATGCTTACTTTCACCACTTCTATTCAACATAATACTGGAAGTCCTAGCCAGGGCAATCAGGCAAGAGAAAGAAATAAAAGGCAAAAAAAAAGAAAAAAAGAGGAAAATAATAATTCAAATTGTCCCTCTTTGAAGATGATATAATCTTATATTTGGAAAAACCTAAGGACTCCACCAAAAAGTTATTAGATCTGGTAAATGAATTCAGTAAGGTTGCATGATATAAAATAAACATACAAAAATCAGTAGTGCTTCTATACACCAACAATGAAATAGCTGACAAAGAAATCAAGAAGATAATTCCATTTGCTACAGCTACAAAAAAAAATAGGAATAAATTTAACCAAGTAGTTGAAAGACTTCCACAAGTAAAACTACAAAACACTGATGAAAAAAATTGAAGATGATGCAAACAAATGGAAAGATGTCCCATGCTCACCGATTGGAAAAATTAATATTATTAAAATGGCTATACTGCCCAAAACAATCTATAGATTCAATACAATGCCTATCAAAATACCAACATCATTTTTCACAGCAATAGAAAAAACAATCCTAAAATATTTATGGAACAAAAAGAGCCCAAATAGCCAAAGCAATCCTGAGCAGAAAGAACAAAGCTGGAGGCATCACATTATCCAACTTCAAAATAAACTACAAAAGTATCATAACCAAAACAGCATTGTATTCATACAAAAACAGACACATAGACCAATGGAACAGAAGAGAGAATCCAGAAATAAATCCACATACTTACAGCCAACTGATTTCTGACAAAGGCACCAAAAACACACAGTGGGGAAAGGACACCCTCTTCAATAAATGGTGCTTGGAAAATTGGACATCCAGATGAAGAAGAATGAAACTGGACTCCTATCTCCCACCATCTGCAAAAGTCAAATCAAGATGAATTAAAGACTTAAAGTAAGACCTGAAAGTATAAAACTACTAGAAGAAAACACAGGAAAAACACTTAAGGACACTGGTCTAGGCGAAGATTTTATGGCTAAGATCTTAAAAGCACAGGCAATAAAAACAAAATAGACAAATGGGACTATATTAAACTAAAAAGTTTCTGCACAGCAAAGGGAATTATCAGCAGAGTGAGGAGACAACCTGCTGAATGGGAGAAAATATTTGCGAAGTATTCATCCAACAAGGGACTAATATCCAGAATATACAAACAACTCAACAGTAAAAAATCAAAAAATCCCACTTAAAAGTGGGCAAAGGACATGAATAGACATTTTTTTTTTTTTTTGAGAAAGAGTCTTGCTCTGTCGCCCAGGCTGGAGTGCAGTGGCATGATCTCAGCTCACTGCAACCTCTGCCTGCCAGGTTCAAGCAATTCTCCTTCCTTAGCCTCCCAAGTAGCTGGGATTACAGGCATGTGCCACCACGCCAGGCTATTTTTTTTTTTTTTTTTTTGTATTTTTAGAAGAGACAGGGTTTCACCATGTTGGCCAGGCTGGTCTTGAACTCATGACCTCAAGTGATCCACCTACCTTGGCCTCCCAAAGTGTTGGGATTACAGGCATGAGCCACCACGCCCAGCCTGTATGTCTTCTTTTTAGAAATTTGTAGGCACTCTTAATACATTTAGACTAACTCTGTCATATATATTGAAAGTGTTTTCTTTTTGTCATTAACCTTTTATTGAGATAAAACTTACATACATACATCAGAATGCACAAATCATAAGTTTACAATCATGTGAGTTTTGATAAATTTACACATTGGTATAACCACTCCATCCCAATCAAGGTATATAATCTTTCTACCACCCCAGAAAGTTCCCTCATGGTCCTGTCTAGTCAATCTCCAGTCCCTCACTTCCAACACACATAGATAACCACTGTTCTGAAATACATCGCCATATCATTTTGCAAGAAATTTCAATTGACATATAATTTTTTTTCTGTTAGCACTTTAAAGATGTCACTCCATTCACATGACTTACCTTCTTTCCAATGAGAAGTCTGCTATTCTAATCTTCATTCTTCTGGATGTAATGTGTCATTTTCCTCTGTCTGCTTTTAAGAGTTTCTCCTTGCTTTCTGTTATCAGCAGTGTGAATATGACCTGACTAAGTGTTTTGTTTATTTGTTTGGAATCCATTGCTTCCTAAATATTTTGTTTGGTGCCTACCATTAACTTGGAGAATTATTGGCCATTATTTCTTCAGATTTTCTGCCTCATTCTCCTTTTTTCTTCTGGAATTCTAATAATGCTTAAGTCAGATCACGTGGCTGTAAGCTTAGTGGCTTAAAACAACACACACTTATCTCAGAGTTTTTGTGGGGTAGGAGTTCAGGCACAGCTTAGCTGGCTTATTCTTGGGTCTTACGAGGCTATAATTAAGTTGTCAGCTGGGTTGCATTCTCATCTGGAGGCTTGACTGGGGAAGGATCAAAGCCCCCTCAGATTCCTGGCAGAATTTGTTTCCTTGAAGTTGTAGGAATTATGGCACCTCGCCTCTTCAAAGCCAGCAGCTGAGAGACCCTTGAGAATAAGTCTGAGAGCAAGATGGAGTCTTTTATAACATCAGGTAATCATGGGAGGGACATCCCATCACCACTGCCATATTCTGTTGTTTAAAAGCAAGCCACAGGCTCTGTCCACCCTCAAGACAAGAGGATTATTCAAGGATGTGAACACCAGGAGGCAGGGATCATATGTCTACCTTACAACCTGTCCACCCCATAGGGGAATAATATTAAGGCAAGAGCTGAATCTAGTGTTTAGCGGAGGTCCTGGTGGGAGATACAGATTTTAGGATCATCAGCATATGGATGGCATTTAAAGGAATGGAACTGGATGAGCTCACTGAGGATGTAGATAGAAAAGATGTGCAAGGACTGAGCCCTGAGGTAAGGCACTCCGATGTTAAGGAGTCAAAGTGTTACCAGTGTGCCCTGGCATCTTGTAATCTCCCAGGATAGAAATAAAGAGAGATCAGCAGACATAGCAGCGAGGAGAAAGAGAAATCTTTATTTAGCTTGTGCACAAGGAAGTCAGCACCATGAAAGGAAAACGGTGGGGGGCCCCGCCGCCAGGGGGTGGCACGTGGGTTAGTTTCACAGGGAAGGGATTGGTCCAGGCATGGATAGGAGGGGTTTGTCTAGTGCTTCTCAGTAGCTTTGCATGCTTCTTCATGCATTGCATGCAACATTCACATTTTAAATCTCTACCCCTAGGTGTGATTTTTAGCGTGAAAATGAGGAAGGGGTAACAATAGTTGAAGTATAAGTCTAACTGCACATGTGGGGCCCGGGGAAGTCCCTAGGCCCCCAAAGCAGGAACTTGTGGTTAATAGCTTCTTGGGTCTTGTGCTGTGGATTGGCTGGATGTTAAGCTACAACTTGAGGAAGGGGCTTTCGTTCTTTTTCTCTACACCCCATCAAAACAGGCAAGCGGCCAGGCTGCCGGTTTTAAAAGGAGAGACTGGTAACCGAGACCCAAAGATGTGGTCTTTGGGATAAGAGGAAAGTGAGAGCACATGGTGTCCTGGATGGGGAGTGAAGAAAGCATGTGTAGCAAGAATGACTATCGATTTTGCTGTAGTTCCCGGAGGACGAGGACTGAGAACTGACCACTAACAATATAGAGATCACTGACAAAGAGTTTTTAGTGGAGTGGTTGTGTTACCGGAAAAGGGTCCTGATCCAGACCCCAAAAGAGGATTCGTGGATCTTGTGGAAGAAAGAATTCCAGGCCAGTCCACAGAGTAAAGTGAAAGCAAGTTTATTAAGGCAGTGAAGGAATAAAAGAATGGCTACTCCATAGAGCAGGGTGTTCCCAAAAGCACGAGGAGGAAGGCGTCCACCTGGGTACGCTTGTTTATATGTAAGATAAAAGCCAAAAAACATCACGGGGGAGACGTGCTGTACTACCTGGGCTCGTCAAAGGATTGCCAATCTTTGCATAACGCCTGTCCTCCGCAAGCATCTGTATCATTATCTTTAAAGCGAAACTTCAACTAAGAATGCTTCTTGTTCTTAAGATACCCGGACATCGGGACCTAAGTTCCGGGTCTGCTGCGTAAAAGTTTATTAACCTGTTCCCGTGACCGTAAACGCCCGACTCCTGGGGATGCAGCCAGCGGGGTTCAGCCTCAGTTTACCCAGCGCTGTTCGAGCTGGAGTCGCTCTGGTTGGAGCGCCTGACCGCGAGGGCCGAGGTCAGGCCGGACTGGGGTTCTCCGGAGCGAGCAGGAGAGGAGCGGGGCTCCTGCGGAGCGGCGCGGCGGGGAGGCCGAGGGCAGGGCGGGCTCGAGCTCGGGCTCTTCTGGCAGCGCCTCCATCCCCGTTCCGTTCACCCGGCAGCCGCCCCGTGGAGGAACCGCGCCCCATCTTTAGCCCTGTGAAACAGAAAGGCCCTTCCTCCGGCAGGCAGCTGAGGGAAAGATCGCCCTGCAGGGGATGTCGGGCCTGTCACTGCTTTGTTGCGGGCCACAGTTCCCTCCCTTCTCCGAGCGGGTCGCACGTCCGAAGGTCACCCCCGCCAGGTGGCTAGGCCCTGTCGCCACTCGACAGAGGACCGAGGAGGAACCAACCCACTGCCCAGACTGCAGCGCCGCCACGCTAGGGCCCGCGCCGACAACCGTCATGACTGGGCATGCGCAAACGGCCCCGCCGGGAGCCATTTCGCCGGGCTGCAGGGCTCGAGGAGAGAGCAGGTGCGCAGGCGCCGGGCGAGAGGCTGCGCCTGCCCTACCCTGGAGCGCGCGTGCGCGCGAGAGCCGGAAGGGGCGGTGCCTGGCGCGGCGCCTGCGCAGTGGGGCGGTGCCGGGGGCGGGGCGCGGCGGCTGTCAGCTGACTGTGGCGGCGGCGGCCTCGAGGTGACAACTGTCTCCGTCGCAGGCTCCGGCGGGGGCGCAGGAGGTCGCCCGGCGCGTCACTGTCGGGTCGGCGAGCCACGGGGGCCGCCGCAGCACCATGGCGACCACCGTCAGCACTCAGCGCGGGCCGGTGAGGCAGCCGGGCGAGGGTCGGGCGGGGGCGGTGACCTGCGGTTGCGGGCGGGGCCTTGGGTCAGGGCTACTGCTCAGCTGCGGCTGGCGGGCCGACTCCGCGGCTCTCCCGGGGCACGCGGGGCGCCTGGCCGGCCGGAGGGGAGCGGCGGCGTCCACACCTCGGGGCGGGGCGGGCCGGACGGACGCGCCCACGCTGCAGGAGGCTTGAGCTCACCGCCGTGCCGGGGCAGAGCTTTGGGGAGGCAGCCCCGGGGGAGGGGGCCTGCGCCCGTTGTGAGCCCCAGATGGAGGCGGGCCCCGTGCCCCATGGTGCCCCAGAGGGAGGCAGGCCCCGCTCCCCAATGGTCTCCAGATGGAGGAGGGCCCGGTGCCCAGATGGAGGCGGCCCCGAGCTCTGACTCCCGAATGGAGGAGGGCCCCGCACCCTAATGGTCCCCCAGGTGGAGGCGGGCCCTGAACCCTAATGGTCCCCTAGATGGATGCGGGCCCTGCTCCCTGATGGCCCCCCAGGTGGAGGCGGGTCCCGCACCCTGATGGCACCCTAGATGGAGGCGGGCCCCGCACCCTGATGGCCCCCCCAGGTGGAGGCGGGTCCCGCACCCTGATGGCCCCCCAGGTGGAGGCGGGCCTGCACTCTAGTTGGTCCCATAGATGATGGCTGTTTCCTCTTTCTCATTTACACAGAGTGAGGGCAGTGGTGACCACTTCTTGGGCCCAATTGTGTCCCCGGTTAGTGGCCACCGTGCAAAACCTCAGTTTCTTCATTTGCAAATGAGAGGATAGGCGCCAGGAACTTCAGAGAACCTTTCCTGCTCTGAATTCTCTCCTGAGAGTTGCCTGGCAGTTTCTTCTATAGCATTAATATTGCAGGAGAGCTGGTGTAGACTGACTCAGAGATGATGGGCTCCTGGCGTGAGTGGCCTCCTGGCTCACTGTTAGGGCCTTCTTGCATTGCTGTAAAGGAATACCGAGACTGGGTAATTTGTAAGAAAAGAGATTTAATTGGCTCCCGGTTCTGCAGGCTGTACAGGTAGCATGGTGCCGGCATCTGCTCCTGGGGAGGCCTCTGGAAGCTCCCAGTCATGGCGGAAGGCCAAGTGGGAGCTTACACGTCACATGGCGAAAGCAGCAAGAGAGTTGGGGGTGGGGAGGTGCCACACACTGTAATGACCAGATCTTGTGAGAACTCACTATCACCGGGACAGCACCAAGCCACGAGGGATCTGTCCCTGTGACCCACACACCCACCCTGCCAGGCCCCACCTCCAACATTGGGGATCATAATTCAGCGTGAGATTTGGCGGGGACACAGATTCAAACCGTGTCACTCACTGAGGCTGGGCTGGGGCAGGCTGTCGTGAGCGGTACAGTTTTTATCAACAGTGGCTCTGAACATGCCGTGGGTGGAAAAAGTCCTTTTTCACGATGCTCCAAGGTCCCTGCCCTCGCGCAGCCCAGTACTGGACGTGGTGGAGGGGTCACCAGGGCTCCCCACCCTTAACACTGTATCCACAAGTCCTGGTGTTTCTCCCGAGGAGATAATTCTTCAGGTAGAACATTTTTTCTGAGTTTAGAATGAAGCCCCAGGTTTTGGGCATAGCTGCTTTTTCTGAGGACTTTGAAGGAAACCTCCTGACACTTATGAGACTCAGGTGTGGAGCCTACGGGTCGGCAGAGGTCCTGGACGGCCTCTGATGGCAGCGTCTCTACCTCTTCATCTTTACTCCACCACAGTGAGTCCCCGCAAGTTGCCGTGGCAGCCAAGTGCTCCTTTCTGCCTAACAGGAGACTCAGAGCAACAAGGGAACCAGCACCCTGCTGTTGTGTCCTCCTGGAGAGCAGGGGGGCATGGTGGCCAGGCAGGATGGCCCCTTCCTTGCTGTGTGGTCTGGGAGACATCCTCTGCCTCCTGGGAACTTGTTCCTCATCTGGAACCCCACTGGGGTGTAGGACTGATTTTGAATGCATCAGGTGCTGAGCAGGCAGGGAGCAGTGGGAGGCAGGCCCTTCCTGTTCTGAGGGGCACCGGCGTGCAGCGCTGTTACACCCGCGATGAGGAAGTGGGAGCGGCAGGAGATGTTCTCACACGCAGGGCCTGTGCTGGCAAGTGCTGAGGTGTCGTTAGAATCTCCTCTTGCCCAGTGCCTCCTGGGCTGTTTCCATCATGTAGACGAGCAGGTATTTCAGGGGCACCCCCGTTGACCGGTAAACGCATAGTAACATGAGGTCTGGCTCGGAGCTGCCAGGGTCTCTTAAGAAGGTGTTGTCAGCGACGGGGGTCTCAGGTGTTGCTTGGAGTACATGTGACTTAATCAACCAGCGCTACCAACTGTGGCGTTCAGGATGGCCATGATGCAGGGGACAACCAGGTGGTTCCTGCCACTGGGGTCTTCCAGGGCAGCACGGTAGACATGGCAGCACATAAGGACAGCTGAGCTGTGTGGTGACGGCCCGGTGGGTCTGTGATCTTAAGCGTCAGGTGCTGGGAGAGTTTGTAAATGGGCCTCACCAGGGCTGGGTGTTGGGGTGAGGACGTGACATCTCTCGGAGGAGGAATGGGAGTAGGGGTTGGGCTGGGAGGGCAGGGCACGGAAAGAGAGGTGTGGGGTCTGGAGGTGGAGAGGAGGGAGCCCCAGGGGCCGAGGATGGAGGGAGGCAGGAGCTGGAGGCCGCCGGAGGGTCCTGGGCACAGGAGGACTGGACTTGCCCTGGAGTTTACCGGCTCAGCGCAGCACTCTGTAAAGTGTTGCCTGGCACACGCAAGGCAGGGCCCGCCTTGGCACCAGCCTGCTTCGCTGAGCATGACCCACCCCAGCCCCTCTGAATTAACCCATAGTGGGCCTTTACCCAGTTACTAGCACCTAGAGGAGCCCTGCTTTTGCAGGATGTCTTGACACAGTATTTATCATGTCCTCTTTCTGTTACACCTGTGGTGCCAGAGAGGCAGGAGGTTAAGCAGGGCGCTCGCTCAGCTTTCCAGCAGAAAGAGATGCTCCCCAGGGTCCGGGGGCAGGACTCTGGCTCGGGAGACCCTGACTGTGGTCTAGCCGTTGCCTCCCCCTAGTGATAAGGGGAGACGGCAAGATCCCATGGGCCGTGAAGGAGCAGAGGGGCCGCTAATGGGGTCCTGGGAGGGTTCTTTTGTCCTTGGGTAGAGGGAGCTTCAGGGGCCCGGGTGGGTAGGTGTGGAGAGGACGTGTGAAGCTAGCCAGCCCGACATCGTTCTGAGAGAATCATACCGTGTTTAGATCTTCAGGATAATGGTTCCCTGAATAGCCACTAAGGGATGCTTCAGCCCTGTGCAGTGCTTCCCTCACGTTTCAAAAAGGCCAGTATTTTGGAAAGATAACCTTTTTTCAATATAGTCTGCATATTATCAGAAAGCATGGGTGAGTACCTGCAAGGAGTACCATGTGGACCCCTGCGAGGGGTACCGTGGGGGCCCCTGCGAGGGGTACTGTGTGGACCCCTGTGAGGAGTATCATGGGGGCCCCTGCGAGGGGTACCGTGCGGGCCCCCGCGAGGAGTATCGAGGAGTACCGTGTGGACCCCTGCCTTCTGCAGTGAGATCTCGGGACGTTTGCGGGAGACTCCGCTGCAGCCACCGCGGTGCCGTCAGAGAGGCCTCCTTGGTAGAGGTGGGTGCGCTGTGCCGTGTCCAGGCTGCTCTGACTCCTTGTCCTGCTTCTGGAGGTGCTGGTTGGCCATGGAGTCCAGCTGGAGGCGGCCTGGCCCCTCCCTTCCTCCCTGAGAGGCCTGTTCCTGTCCAGGTCCCCTCACTCTTCACATCGTTGATAATTCCTGCCGAATCGGTGACTTCATTAGGGATGGCAGAGGGTAGTTTCTGAACTTTATCACTTCTTCGGTGTTTATTAACTGGGATTGTTTGTAAAGATTAGCTTTCCCCATCAACCGGTGTCGGCTGGCTGTCCTGAAACACAATTCGTGAAAGAAAGGCAAGTGAGATGCTTTTCCCTCATCTTCCCGTACCTCAAGGAGAGAGTTGCTTTTCTTTGTAGATGTGTGTGGGCTTTCTCTCCCCTGAGTGTTGTGAAGAGCCCGTGGATTTTCCTGCATCCTGTGTGTCTGAGCCAGTGGCACTTACCCGTCTCCGCTGGCTCTGGTGGGCTGCTCCTGGGAGGGCGTCCGTTCCTGCTGACTGCACCTGAGCCAGCGGGGAACGCACTCACCGCCTCCTCACGAGTCCTTTCTCTCTGGGTTCCTGTGAACCTTTGCGCTGGATTTTTTAGGCCGGGTTGTGAGTCTGTACAGGTGTGGAATTGCTGTGCTTGCCTGGAAATCACATCTTTTCACTGTGTGGGGACCCACGGGCCTCTTGGAAGATAAAGGCCTCTTGCCTTTGATTATTTTGTCTGATACTGGCATGGCCACCCCAGCTGTCTTTTAGAGAGTATTCACCTAGTACTTTTTCCTTCTATGATTTTACATTTTTCTGAAAACTTTTGTTTAAGACACGTGCACCATCGATAGCACGTAGCTGGATTTTTAAAAAGTCAAATCTAAGAAGACTAAGTCTTTTGATGGGAATGCGCTAGTTTCATCTTTCTAGTTAAGAGATGCCTAGATGGATACACAGATTTACAGATTTTTTACATGTTTTCTTTGGTGCTTTTATTTGTCCTACATTTTCTTATTTTTTTTCTCTCATTGCCTTTTGAATTTATTAAATGGAGTTTTAAAAAATTCAGTTGTTTTATCTCAAGTACATACACACTGTGCTGGGAAAGTACAGGGGCTCCCCTGGAAATGGTAACATGCACTTATCAGCTTCTGCCATGAGGGAGTCTCTGAGTGAACTCTGGCTCCGGAGGCTGCCCGGCTAAAGAATAAATAAAGAAGAAGTTAATCATTGTCTGTGCCACCTCCGGATCCACGCGGAGACCTCGGCCGCCCCGTCCTGGCGCGGGTGCTGCTGTGCCTTGTGTGGGTGCTACCTCCCCTTGGGGCTCCCGCAGGAATGTGTTACTTCTCTCGAGTCAGCGCTTGTTTAGATTTCCTTCTGTGTTTCTCTTTTCTTATCCCTTCTGGTGTCTCGGGCCTTCCATTTGGGGTCACTTTCCTTTAGCTTCAGGTTCATCTAGAATTTTCCTTGCTGGCAAACTTGATTTTTGCTTGTACATGCCTTTTCTCTGTGTCCTGACAGCTATTTTTGTGTGTGTGGAACTCCAGGTGGGCGGTACTCCAGGTGGACAGTACTCCCGGTGGACGGTCACTTGTCCTCAGTGCCTCGAAGGTGGGACCCCGCCCTCTCCTGGCTCCTGGAGTGGCTGCTGAGCAGCCCGGGAGTGGATGTCCCTTCCTCCGGCTTTCCTTCGTTTTTGGCCCTCTGTTTGCTGCCTTCTGAATACGCTGCTTCTGGCCTGCCTCCCAGTTCACTTGAGGTCTTTTTTTTTTTTTTTTTTTTTACATGGAGGCTCGCTCTGTAGCCCAGGCTGGAGTGCAGTGGCACAATCTCAACTCACTGCAACCTCTTCCTCCCAGGTTCAAGCGATTTTCCTGCCTCAGACTCCCGAGTAGCTGGGATTACAGGCGTCCACCACCACGCCCAGCTAATTTTTGTATTTTTAGTAGAGATGGGGTTTCACCATGTTGGCCAGGCTGTTCTCGAACTCCTGGTCTCAAGTGATCCGCCCACCTCAGCCTCCCAAAGTTTTGGGATTACAGGCGTGAGCCACTGCACCCGGCCCTAACCTCTGTTCATCTGGGCCTCTAACACTGTCCCTTGACCTGCCCGACAGGCCCCTGGTTAGGCCTGCTGTGCAAGTGTTTCCTGTCCCTGAGTCACTGTCTCCAGATCCTGCGGGCCCTGCCCTGGCACCGTGCTGGTGAGGCCTGCCTTGCTGCCCTGTGGGAAGTGCAGCGTGCCCCTGCCACCCGGCCTTGCCCTGTTTCTTTGCACAGCGCCTCCTGCCGTTAGCATACAGCATAACTCATGATGCTTCCCGTTTGTCTTCTTCCACTCACGTGTAAGCATCCCAGGAGCAGGGGTGCCCCAGCACCTCACCATGGAAGCCTCAGGCACACAGTGACACGCAGAGGCTGCCGCAGCGCGCGCCCTGTGCCCGGCGCCCAGGGCCTGCCACGTCACATGCCGTCCCTCTCTGGATCTCTGTCCGCCCTTGGCCTGCTGCTTGACTGGCTTTTGTTTCATCTGAATGAGAAGGGGTTTTCCGCCTCTGCCTTGCTTGACCGTCCCAGCACTTAGGATGCAAGGCTGCCTGCAGTGGAGTTCCTGGCAGAGACCCCATTTAAAGTCGCTTGTTCTGTAGTCAGCTTTTATAATCTATGCTTATTCTCATTCTGTCCTGTACTCTTCCCTTTCACCGCTCTTCAGCTTACACGGGTTCGTTTCAATACTGTCATCTCCCAGCTTCCCTTACACAAATTCTAGTGTTTGCTTTGAGACTTTAGCAGAGCCAGGGAACCTCCCGGCATGTTGGCTTTGAAGCGCCTGTTGTGTTTTGTATAATTAAAGGAAGAGGGGAGGGGGTGATAGGAAGAGGGAAGGAAAGCCCTGTCTGAGGAAGGCCCCGGAAGGGGAGACAAGGCACGGCGAATGAGTGCTCAGCGAGGGCTCCTGGGAGGGGGCTGCTGAGCGGCCGTGGGAGGAGGATGTGGGAACTGGGGACAAAGTCACCACTGCCCGTCCACACTGGCGTGGGAGCTGCCTTGCCAAGAGCAGTTGCATGAAATGCCACTTATTTGCTCAAGGGTTGTTTATTGAACATGCCAGTGCCAGGAGACTGGCGTGGAGCATGAGGCCGAGGCTGGCTGGAGTGGGTTTTGGGGAGTGTCAGGAGGCTGGTGTGGAGCGTGAGGCCGAGGCTGGCTGGAGTGCCAGGGGCTGCAGGGTCAGGTACTGGTCCAGCTTTTGGATGCTGGTGCTGTGAAGGGTGGTGGGTGAGGGAGCCAGCAGCTGAGTGGGCATGGGGAATTGCAGTTTTCCTTCTAGCCTTATTTTGGAAAATGCTAAACTTACAGGGCAATGGCAGTGGCCACCAGTGAGTGTCGGTGAGTCCTTCACCTCCACGGGGCTCCCCTCTTGGCCGTGAGTGTGCAGGCCTGGGGCATGTGCAGGCTGGCACTTCAGTCTCTGAAACCCTGCGCACTGAGGGGTCAGTCAGCTGGGCAGAGGGACCGCCAGGGCCACCCAGGGTCTGTCCTGACTGCCCACGGCCCTGTGTCTCAGCCCTGGTGCGCGTTCCCGCCCTCTTGCACGCCCGGATCTGGATGTGAATCACACAGGTGTGCGGGCATCGGGTGGATGGGCCATTTCTCCTGGGCCAGACTGAGCTCTGACCTGGGTGTGAACCTAGCAGCAGACATCCCCTGTAGGACAGTGGCCTGGAGCAGGCCCCTTGCAGGGCCTTCAAGGCAGGGCCAGCCCCTCAGACACAGCAGGGAGGCTGGTGATGACCTGGGCTCCAGGTTCTCAGCTTCATCTGGACCAACTGTGCTGTTCTATGTGAGTCCTGGGGCCCTGACCGAGTCTGGGGCTCCCTTCCTAGCAGACACTCAGACCTCGCCCAAGAGGCTTTGAGACTGACTTCCGCCCATATCCCTAGATGTTCCTACTACGGGGGATTTATTTCTCTCTGTTTCATTAGCTTCCTCTGTCCCTTTAGCCACGAGCCCAGCCCAGGTCTTCCTGCTGTGGGTCCCAGCTCTGAAAGTCACGTTGAATCATGGCCATGTTAGGAACTGGAGAAACCTAGGGCTCAGGGTACAGAGTTTCACTAGTTGGGCTTCTGTGTTGGGGCCTCCGTGGGCTGGCTTTGTGGCTTCAGGAGTCCTTGACGCTTGTTCTCAATGTGGGGGTGATATTGACCCTGAGAGGGCACAAGGGGTTCTTGGGGGAGGAAACTTCTGGGGTTTGGCGGCCGTGTGTGCCTCCCCAGCACAGCTCCTGGATTTCTTGCTCCTTAGTATTTCATTGTCCCTGGGTTTTCTGGGTGTCCCAGCACATGGATACGGAGTTCTCGGAAGCCCGCGACACATGTGCGATCTCAGACCTGCTGTGAGGTGGGTGGGGAGGGTGGGCAGGCGCCTGCGGATGCCGTTTGTGTGGGATCCTCAGTGCTGGTGTGAGACTCTGGCTTGGAGAATTGAATGAGAATCGTCGACATTTTGTGATTTAATTCCACAGAACGTATTTAGCCCATCGCTAATGATGTCAGTTTGCTGAAAGAATACCAGCCAGCCAGTTAAAAGGTACTTTCTCACATCAAGCAAAAGCTTCAGTTCACTAAGGATATTTTTTATTGTGTTTATATAAGTTGTTTATTTCTACGTGTGATTTGATACATTACAATTTATGTAAATAAATTACACTCAGCGCTGCTCAGCGCATAGTCATGAAGTGCTAGAAGCATTTTAGTTTTTAATTGAACTTCGTTCGACTTAGTTATGCTAACCTGGCGTTAGCGCTGAGACTCGTTGAGCCTTGCTTGCAGTGTTTACATGCCAAGTGCAGGTGCATGCGTGGCACACAGACACAAACAGCACCTCCACAGCCTCGCAGCGTCATGGGGTGGGAACGGTGAGAAGGTTTAAAAAGGCTCCGCAGGGGGCCAGTCATGGAAGTGGCCAGGAAACCCTGGTCTCCTGCCGCCTGCGTGTGGCCAGCCGTGCTTCAGGGGCGACTGTGGTGCGGCTCCTTGGGGTGATGTCTCCTGGCAGGCGTGAGGCCAGGACTGCATGTGTTCAGGACTCCACGTCCTGGGCTGAGCTGGGCTCTTCCGGGGCTCTGTCAAGGCAGAAAGTGTGGCCCAAGGAAGCAGCGGCACTCTCAGTCGGAAACGTATTCCTAACAGGTGTCGGGCAGAAAGTGTGGCCCAAGGAAGCAGCGGCTCTCTCCGTTGGAGACGTGTCACCAACAGGAATATTCACAGTGGGTGTTTAATTTGTGTGCTTAAAAAGAAAAATTAGCTTTGGATTGACTACACACATTGCATGACAAAAAAGAAGAATTAAGACTTTATTTCTGTGCCAAAACTAAAACTTAGACTTGAAGAGAAATTGTTTTAAATAGAAGTGAATGTTGGAGACCTCTTTTCTTTCGTGTGGAAAGGTACGCTGCAGTGGTTTAGAGCTCTGGCGTCAGTGAGGGAGGAATGGTCGTCAGTCACAGGCTTGCGTCGTGATCCTCTGAGAGCGGCACATGGGGGAGGAGAATCAGCAATTCCAAGAAATTTGAAGTTACATTTTAAAACTATATTTAAAACAGACTAATATTTATAAAAGTAGCTTTTATTTTCAGAGAAGATAAAATGCTGTGAGCTCTGTGGGATGAGAGCCCTACCCTGTCCTTTTTATTTTAAAAGTAATTCACGAATGTTTTTAAAAAGTTTCTAAAAATAACTAGCAGGATATAAAAGTATAAATAAATTGAAATAGAATCTTCCCTGCCTGTTTCCCTCGAGTTCCATTCCTGAATGCTCCTCCAGAGTTGGTGTCGACAGAGGCCTCCTTATGGCTCCCTGCAGCAGGTCGTGCCGCACCTCCGCCTCCGCCTCCGTCCCCCGAGTCTCCATGTGTTCGCGGCAGGGACCGCCGGCTCCTGGTGAGGCCGCGTGGCGATGCGCTGGGTGGATGTGCCTGGCTGGTGGACGGGGCGTTTTGACGGCACAGGTGACGCAGCCTCAGGCATCCTGTGCTCACGTGCCCGAGTGAGCATTGACAGGGGACTGGCTCCTGAAGTGGAATTGTTGGCCTTCACACGGGCATTTAGACTTGTTAGTGTTGAACTCAGTATGTGCATCTTGTACATGGAAGCAAAATTCTAGAAAAATATCCATTATGTATCGGGAGTAATCATTTTTGTTTTCATATTTCCAAGCCTTTGAACCAGGGTAAAGCATATATTTTTATGTGACCATTGAAATAGTTCCTCCATCATCATATGGCAAAAATAAATTTTAGGATTAGCACTGAATTTAAAAAATAAATTCAAAATAGACATTTACTGAAGGACCGAGTGTCGTCACTGAAACGATAGGGTTTACTTCAGCACCTGGACTCTCTCCCCTGTGACTCGTGAAGCATGAACTGGTAGCACTCCCTCCTCGTTTGAAGGGCTTTGCTCTAAGTTGAGAAACGAGGGCATTGCAGCAGCAGGCAAGCCGCCTCTCCCTGGTAGGCGGGGCAGCAGGTTGCGTAACCAGTATTTGTACGGGGAGGACTGAAGCCTGGTCTCCGTCTCCTCTCTTGCTCTTCCTGTCTTCAGGTTAAATGGAATATTTTTCTGAAAAACCTTGAATTTTGTAGTGTTCAGTCTTATGACGAATTGAAAAGCTGGCACGAAGAGGTCCTGTGTGTCTCACCCATGTCCCCTGGCCGACGCTCCCCTCCCCGGGAACAGCTCTCACAGCTGTGGCGCTGAGCTGGGGGCATGACTGTTGGCTCCAGGTTTTATTTGGCTGTCCTGGTTTTTCGATGACTGTCCCCTGCTGTCCCAGCACCCTGCCTTGCGTTTAGCCATCATGTCTGCCATCTCCAATCTGGGACCGTCTCTCAGGCTTTCCTTGTGTTTTTGGGACCTTGACGGTTTGAGGACGACTGACTGGTCAGGGATTTTGTCAGATGTCTCTTAATTGGGGTGTGGGTTTTTGGGAAGAAAACCCAGATGTGAGGCGTGTGTCATCTCGGGGAGCTGGACGCGCACCTGCCCCGCCACATGGCGCTGGCTGCGGTCCCCGGGCTGCGTGGGGCTGATGAGCTCCATCCGCAGGGAGCTGCTTCTCCCCTTTTCGTGTTCTATCCACACGGTTTATGTTTAAAAACCCTCTTTTCCTATTTGCCATTTTATGGTTAAATCCTTGTTGAAAAATGACACTTGATCATTAGGCCTTTGGATATAATTTTATTTTCTCCCAGTAATGAGCAGTCCCACTGTCTTTAACGGACACCTAAAGAGTGCAGAGCAAGGAGATGGAGCGCTGGACGCCTTCAAATACCGGGACAACCAGGATCCAGAGCAGCGAGGGACCCACAGTGCTCCCTCAGAGGCCTCTGGACCCCACGCCCACACGTCCCTGTGACCACCCACACCCTCCCCCGACTGGCTTCTCCATGCTGCTGTCTCCGGGACATGAGTCGCCTGTCTGTCCCCCACGTGTGGCCAGGAGGGCATGAGCCACCTGTCTGTCCCCTACGTGTGCCCAGGAGGGCACGAGCCGCCTGTCTGTCTGCCATGTGTGCCCAGGAGATACGGTGCTTTTCCTGCCATGTCCTCAGAGCTGTGCATGTGGCACACAGGAAGCAGTTGTCACAAATAAACAGGAATTTGGCCTGTGTATGTTAGTCCTGAGAACTTGGTTAGCACGAGTCTGTTTCTGCAAGATAACCCGTTCCTGGTGAGCAGACAGAGCTAGTCATAGAGCCTGCTGGCATGGGCTGTGCCAGGGCCCTGTGGGGTTGGCAGGGAAGCACGTCCTGTGTGGCCAGGTGTCCCCCGGGGAGAGAGCTCTGGGCTGTGAATCCTTCTGGGAGGCAGGCGAAGGGCCCTGGCCTTCTGTACCCCAGTGTTTCCTGTGTGCCAACAGGAACAGGTGCTTAGCATCTCGTGCCATGGGGCCTCTCAGCGCCCTCCTGAGCCAGAGCTTGCTGTTGAGCTGTACAGCGCCTCGAGAGAGGCTGCCTGGGGGAGGCTGGCCTGGGACTCCTGGCATGGGCCCACTCCGCTCAGGCACCTCTGCACCCTCCTCGATTGTCCGTAAGGGCAGGGGGTCCCTCCGGGCCCTGGCCTATGCCACACCCTCCGGAGGTGAAGCCGGGGTGCTCTGCTTGTTCTCGCAGTACGGCTTCTCTCACAGGGCAAAGGTCACTCGTGACGTGTCCCAGTCAAAAACGGGGTAAAGTGTGGGGAAACGCACAAAGTGTGTTTTGCTTTTTAGAGAAGAGCGGTTGAGCACACGCCATGCTGGCTGCTCAGGTTGGGGTGCAGCCTGCAGAGAGCTTCCCGAACTTGGGGGTCCTGAGTCCGTAACTGCTCGAAGCGGTGCCTGGATCGTCCGGGTCCCTTCTGTTTACTCACATTGGTTGTGGAGCGCTGACTGGCTTGTGCGCTCCAGGCCTTAGATGGGGACACAGGTGAGGAGCTAGACCCTCTCGGGGTCCTTTGAAGTGCCAGGCGCCCAGAGCACAGCAGGTGCAGGGCTTAACTCAGAACCTCCTGGAGCCCTGCCTGGCACCGTGTCATTGGGAGTCCATGGCACAGGCAGGTACGGGTTTCTGGTGTGCATGGCAGAGGCGTTCTGGCGGCCTCAGCACGTGCACTTTGCCTAAGCTCACGTCCGACACACCGAGGGTTCCAGGTTCCACTCGGTATTTCCTGAAAACAACTGCCCAGGGCACTGGCGCTGACCGGGGCCCCTGCAGACGGCTGGGTCTCCACCCCACTCCACCAGCAACCAGGCCTCCACCCCACTCCACCAGCAACCAGGCCTCCACCCCACTCCACCAGCAACCAGGCCTCCACCCCACTCCACCAGCAACCAGGCCTCCACCCCACTCCACCAGCAACCAGGCCTCCACCCCACTCCACCAGCAACCAGGCCTCCACCCCACTCCACCAGCAACCAGGCCTCCACCCCACTCCACCAGCAACCAGGCCTCCACCCCACTCCTCCATCAACCAGGCCTCCACCCCACTCCACCAGCAACCAGGCCTCCACCCCACTCCACCAGCAACCAGGCCTCCACCCCACTCCTCCAGCAACCAGGCCTCCACCCCACTCCACCAGCAACCAGGCCTCCACCCCACTCCACCAGCAACCAGGCCTCCATCCCACTCCTCCAGCAACCAGGCCTCCACCAGCAACCAGGCCTCCACCCCACTCCACCAGCAACCAGGCCTCCACCCCACTCCTCCAGCAACCAGGCCTCCACCCCACTCCACCAGCAGCCAGACCCATGCTCAGGGCCTCATCAGCGACCTTTCACCTGTGGAGCATGGTTTACCCCAGGCCCCTTCGGCCGCTGCAGGTGTGCGGGTGGTTTCGGGATGGCATTGTCCTGCCTGGGCCCATCCTCTCTCTTCCCCTCAGAAGTGGCAGTGGTGGACAGAGGGTCGAGGAGACATAGGATGCAGAGTGGGGAGGTCTTTCGTGGTTGTTTGGAATCGATTTACTTCCTGCGTTCTTCTGGGATACTTTTGAATTTCAGCTGTTTCATGTGGAAACATTTGAAGTATATCAGCAGAGGGTTTTCCAAATCACTTTAGACCTGAGGCTCAGCTTTTGTCTCATTCGTTTGACCAAGTGACCTGCAGTTCAGTGGCCCTGCCTTTAGCTGTGGACAAGGAGAAAGAAGCCGTGGGCACACATGGTGCAAGGGAGACCCTTTAAAATGACCTGAAAACCCACCTGAGCAGGCTTTGAGGACAGGAACCCATTTTTAGCGGCAGAAACCTGCATTTGGGGATCTCCTGAGTGAGGGCTGCACCTGTACCGCTGGGGGCCAGGCCCCAGGCTGGACACCCTTGACCCCTCCGTTTAGAGATGAGGAAACTGAGGCTGAGCACAGTCCAGGACTTGATAAGGACATGGGTGGGGGCGGGGCCGCGGGAATGCCGGGGGCAGCTGCTGTCGGGCTGCTTTGTGCCCCCACCCTGACTCACTGGCCTCTCTGGTCCCCGGCCCCGCAGGTGTACATCGGTGAGCTCCCGCAGGACTTCCTCCGCATCACGCCCACACAGCAGCAGCGGCAGGTCCAGCTGGACGCCCAGGCGGCCCAGCAGCTGCAGTACGGAGGCGCAGTGGGCACCGTGGGCCGACTGAACATCACGGTGGTACAGGTGGGCCTTGGGGCACCCTCCTGCCTGCCTGGGGCTGGTGCGCTCGGTGGGGGTGGGATTTCGGATTTCGGCGTTTATACTGCATTTCCTAAGCGGGCAAACAGAACTTCTGATTCCCGCTTTTCCTGAAACCTGTGTGATGTTGAAAACGATCTGTGTGAAAGATATTGGCATTGACCCCGGGTTCTACCAAACATAACTCAAGTGATGAGTAGTGGGTGTAGGTGGGCGTCTGCTCTGTGTAGGGCCTGGCTCTTCCACCAGGCTTGAGTACGCCCAAGGACACCTCCCGGACCCCCGCCGGCAGCTGGAGGAGGCGCGGCCGGCACCCCCGCCACCTGGTGTGTGCTGCGTGAGTGGCTTCCTGTTGGCCTCAGTGCCGGTGCCTGCACCCTCCCTCCCCACAGAGCAGCCCTCGGTCAGCCTCGGGGCCGGCCCGTGGTTGCTTAGTGGTCTTTCAAGTGAAAGCCAAAATCGGCAGATTGAACGCCGATTTTGATCACACGAAAACCGTCTGTAAGACTGCAGGAAAAGGAAACACACTGTGAGCCACGCAGGCTTTCGTAGAAATGCAGGGAAAGGAGACACACTGTGAGCCACGCAGGCTTTCGTAGAAATGCAGGGAAAGGAGACACACCGTGAGCCACGCGGGCTTTCGTAGAAATGCAGGGAAAGGAGACACACCGTGAGCCACGCGGGCTTTCGTAGAAATGCAGGGAAAGGAGACACACCGTGAGCCACCCGGGCTTTCGTAGAAATGCAGGGAAAGGAGACACACCGTGAGCCACGCGGGCTTTCGTAGAAATGCAGGAAAAGGAGACACACCGTGAGCCACGCGGGCTTTCGTAGAAATGCAGGAAAAGGAGACACACCGTGAGCCACGCGGGCTTTCGTAGAAATGCAGGGAAAGGAGACACACCGTGAGCCACGCGGGCTTTCGTAGAAATGCAGGGAAAGGAGACACACCGTGAGCCACGCGGGCTTTCGTAGAAATGCAGGGAAAGGAGACACACCGTGAGCCACGCGGGCTTTCGTAGAAATGCAGGGAAAGGAGACACACCGTGAGCCACGCGGGCTTTCGTAGAAATGCAGGGAAAGGAGACACACCGTGAGCCACGCGGGCTTTCGTAGAAATGCAGGGAAAGGAGACACACTGTGAGCCACGCGGGCTTTCGTAGAAATGCAGGGAAAGGAGACACACTGTGAGCCACGCGGCTTTCGTAGAAATGCAGGGAAAGGAGACACACTGAGCCATGCGGGCTTTCGTAGAAATGCAGGGAAAGGAGACACACCGTGAGCCACGCGGGCTTTCGTAGAAATGCAGGGAAAGGAGACACACTGTGAGCCACGCGGGCTTTCGTAGAAATGCAGGGAAAGGAGACACACTGTGAGCCACGCGGGCTTTCGTAGAAATGCAGGGAAAGGAGACACACTGTGAGCCACACGGCTTTCATAGAAATGCAGGGAAAGGAGACACACTGAGCCATGCGGGCTTTTGTAGAAATGCAGGGAAAGGAGACACACTGTGAGCCACGCGGGCTTTCGTAGAAATGCAGGGAAAGGAGACACACTGTGAGCCACGCGGCTTTCATAGAAATGCACAAATACAGCAGGCAGAAGAATCGCCGTGGACCTCACAAATAAGACTTGCTTTCAGGGGCTTCATGGTGTGGTGAGCACAGCTACACCGTCACCCCTTCCTCGCGGCGTGTCTCAGACCCTTGCTTGTGCAGCTGTTACTGTGCTGGTGTGGCCGATCCCTCTGCCCACCCAGTGAACTCCCGTAAGCCCATGCATTCCTGTGCCAGCTGCCACCAGGCCAGCCAGTGCCATCACCCGTCCTCAGCCGCCACCTCCTGGCAGGGCCTGGTGACCGCAGGGCACTCCACCTCACACAGTTCAAGCTCCAGAGCTGGCTGGGCCTTGGAGGTGGCCCTGGCGTTGCCCACGCCTCTGGCCCCCCTTGGTCCTCTCCCGCACCCTGGAGCCCACCACAGGCAGCCTGTTTCCTCCACGTGAGCTCACCCAGCCTTCTGTGGCGCAGCTCCAGTGGTGGGAAACATTCCTGCCTCCTCACTGGGCCAGGTAGCTCAGCCCCTGTTTCCTGCTTCTCTTGGCTTCTGGGCGGCCACACAGGTGGTTCCCTGCTTGCGTCCCCTCGCTGCTTCCCCTTGTTGTCTCCTGGGGCCCCAGTGGGATGCCAAGGGGTCTGGTCCTCAGCCCTCCTCCCCTCTCTGCCCACACATCCCGGTGACTTCTGCATCCCTGTGGGTCTAAACACCCATGTGCTGGCCCCAGCCTGAGCCGACCACTCAGCTCCACCCCAGATCCCTAGGTACGGACCATGGCCACATGGCCTCCCCAGGTGTTCCGTGGGCACTCCGGACTCCGTGTGCCCAAGGTGGAGCTCTCGGGCCACCCTCCCGGCTTCTCCCCCGTGTCCGCAGGTGGCTGCCCCACACTCTGGAAGCTGAGGCCCAAAGCCCTCGTGCTGCTGGTGCTCCAGGTTCATGTCCACCTCTTGCCCTTCAGGCCTGACCCTCAGCACAGGCGCCACCTTCAGCCCGTCCAGGCCTGGAGCCCCCCGCACCCACCCACTGCCCCCGCTCAGCCCCTGCAGCGTGGCCAGAGTAGGTCCGTTCCCGCGTGGGCCTTTCTCGTGGGCACTGTCCTGCCGAGCCTGCTCCAGCTGGGCCCATGTTTTCCTCACCCTAGTCACTCCTGACCTTCCTCTTCCCTGGCCGTTCTCCTCCCGCTTCCTGCAGCTCTTCCTCCAGATCCTGCAGCCCGCATACCCGGTCCTCCTAGCTGGTCACTCCCTGCAGTGGTAACGCCGTCTGCTGCGCTGTGTGTCTGCCGCGCATCTCTTGCCCATTGTGGGGAAAGCAGCGGTGCCCGTGTGTCCCCACGGTGTCTGCTGTCTGACGTGCGTCTCTTGCCCGTTGTGGGGGAGGCAGCGGTGCCCGTGTGTCCCCACGGTGTCCACAGTGTCTCCTGCACCAGAACAGCATGTGGTTGTGTGCAGTCATAGTGAATGGGCAGATGCTTCCATAAACATCGAGGAGGTCACTTCAGCAGAGCAGTTGATGTCACAGGACGCTCATCCTAGAGTTTTCTAGCCACAGTGCAGAGGGCAGTGGGAGGAGATGGGAATGAGAGGATGACGCTGAGTGTGGCAGAAGCAGGCAGGATCCAATGTGAGCAGGCATCGGTGACAGGCACGGGCATGCTGGCAGGGGAGTCCCATGTGCCACCCAGAAAGCTGGCTTTGCTCAAAGCCTTTAAAGTTATTAATAAAAATAAGTCATAGCAGCTAGGCAGAGACAGCACAGTTACCTGAAAGCTTTGGAAAATCATGCTGGTCTCAGACTTTCCTGCTACATACTCTCCAGAAAATAGGGCAGTTGCTAAGGAGTTTACAGGGGCAGAGTTTGGAGTGTAAGAGCTGATCTAGCAGATGTGTGGGTGTGCAGCAGAAGGGAATTGGAAGCTGCTAGAGGCTGAGCATGCCTGTCGCCCAGGAGCTTCCGGAAAACTGTCACTCCATAGCATTCCGGAGTACGCTGTGGCCACCCAAGAAACACGCTAAAATTAAGGACCCAAGAATGGGGCAGTTTTGACCTAAAAGGACCGGCCACAGCTTTGATTAGAAGTGAAAGGAGGGAACTTGTATGTGGACAAGAATAGAAAACAGAGGACCTGGCAGTCCAGAGATGTGGGCACAGGAGGGGAGAGTTCAGCTGTGCGGCGAGGGTTGGCGTGGACGGGACAGCCGTGCCCTCGGGGGTCGGTGAGGACGGGGCGGCCGTGCCCTCAGAGGTGGGTCGGTGAGGACGGGGCGGCCGTGCCCTCAGAGGTGGGTCGGTGAGGACGGGGCGGCCGTGCCCTCAGAGGTGGGTCGGTGAGGACGGGGCGGCCGTGCCCTCAGAGGGGGGTCAGCGAGGACGGGGCGGCCGTGCCCTCAGCGGGGGGTCAGCGAGGACGGGGCGGCCGTGCCCTCAGAGGGGTGCGGTGAGAACAGGGCGGCGGTGCCCTCAGAGAGGGTTCAGTGAGGACAGGGTGGCCGTGCCCTCAGAGGGGCGTCAGTGAGGATGGGGTGGCCGTGCCTTCGGGGGGTGGGTGGTGAGGACAGGGTGGCAGTACTCTCAGAGGGGGGTTGGTGTGGACAGGTTGGCCGTTCCCTCAGAGGGGGTCGGGGGGCAGTGTCTGGACTCTGTTCCACTGGGAAGGAGGAACTGGCGGGCTCCATGTGGGTGGGAGGGCCGGGATGGCTCCCGGGGTCTCTATCACCAGCTCCTGGGGGTGAGCCGGGTTGGCTGCAGGAGAGCGGGTGGCAGTGGTACAGGGAGGCCGTCTGCATTCCAGGCAGGACGCTTTACAGGCAGCCGGAGCTGCAGGGCTGAACCCAACCCAGCTTACGAGGGCTTTTCTCCTGGTTTTTTCTTGTAAAGGTTTTACAGTTTTAGGTTTTATATTTGAACCTGCCATCCATGTTGAGTTTGTTTGCTGAACAATCATCTTACTTGCCACGGTCTTCTGTCTTATTCTGAACACACGTTCACTCCCACCCCGAGGACCTCAAATGTCCCTGCCCAGCTGAGCACCTGGCCTGAAGTCGAATCTCATGGTCTACATGTGATGTGGCTCCTTGTGATTGGGAGACACAAGAAAGACAAGTTCCAGTCCCCAAAACCCCACGTACTCCGATAGCACAGGCAGGGCTGCTGCCTTCACGAGGGAGGAAAGCAGCCACGTGGCGTCTGAATTATGTGCAGCAGGTGTCCTCACTCTCACCTAGAGCGAGGATGCACCTCTCCCGGGTCATCATGCTCCGGGGGCAGGTTCACACTCCATGTCATGCTCTGGCTCTCAGCTCTGTCCCGGGACCTCCTCCTCTTTCCCTCCTCAGCCACTTCTGAGGAGGGCATTAGAGAGTGCGCCCTTCATGGTGGGTGAGTGGCGGCCTCAGCTGTGTCTGTGAGCGTCGTAGGTTTCTGCTGTCAAGGACGAGCCACGTGCTTTGTCTCAGAACTGCACGATCCATCTGTGGCTCACTCTTCTTGCTCCTGGCCTCCTGGGAAGCAGGTCACAGCCGTGTTCAGGCGACTCTGAGTGGCTGTAGTCTATGTGTTAGGAAAAGGCCTCGTGGAAGGGTTCAGGGAGGCAGACGGCCTAGAGAACCCACCCTCTCCTGATGGTTGGCACCTCCTTTTCCTGACATTGGCTTCATTCCAGGCAAAGTTGGCCAAGAATTACGGCATGACCCGCATGGACCCCTACTGCCGACTGCGCCTGGGCTACGCGGTGTACGAGACGCCCACGGCACACAATGGCGCCAAGAATCCCCGCTGGAATAAGGTCATCCACTGCACGGTGCCCCCAGGCGTGGACTCTTTCTATCTCGAGATCTTCGATGAGGTGAGAGGGACGTGCCAGCTATTATGGAGGCTGCACGTGGCTGAGCGTGGCTGCCGTGGGGACACACCTGCCAACACAGCCACGTTCCTGGCTGGCTTCGAGGCGTGGCTCCCCACCTGGTGTTTCATTGGGTGCATGACAGGGTCCTGCTCTCCCCAAGGAATGTGAAAAAGGGATTGTTTCCAGCTCCTTGAACATACTTACATTTGGAAACATCCCCAGTGACAAGCATGACCCAGGGATACAGCGTGCACGTGTCCCCTCCGCTGGGCGCACAGGGTCTGGCCGCTCACCAGCAGGTGGGATTTCCAGGGACAGAGCGTGCACGTGTCCCCTCCGCTGGGCACTGATCTGGCCGCTCACCAGCAGGTGGGATTTCCAGGGACAGAGCATGCATGTGTCCCCCGCCACTGGGCACTCGTCTGGCCGCTCACCAGCAGGTGGGATTTCCAGGGACAGAGCATGCATGTGTCCGCCCCGCTGGGCGCACAGGGTCTTGCCGCACACCAGCAGGTGGGATTTCCAGGGACAGAGTGTGCACGTGTCCACTGGGCACTCGTCTGGCCGCTCACCAGCAGGTGGGATTTCCAGGGACAGAGCGTGCATGTGTCCGCCCCGCTGGGCGCACAGGGTCCGGCCGCTCACCAGCAGGTGGGATTTCCAGAGAGTGCGGCTGCCTACTGGGTGGGAAAGCTGTTCTTGGTGGTGCGAATGGTCGTGACCCTTGAGGGTCCTGAGTCCCGTCCGTGGCTGCACCTGCAGCGCTTCTGAGGCAGAGTCAGAAGGTCAGAGGGGATGTGGCGAGGCTGCTGCTCAGTGTGGTCCTGGCACCTCGCACCTGTGGCATTGTGAGGCTAGAGACTGGGTGGGGGCCGGGGAGCAGTGTGGGGCAGCCAGGCCAGCAGACGGCCAGCCCTCCCTGCCTGGGCCCTGCCTTTTCCTCCCGGCTTTTCTCTCCCCGTCCCTACCTGCTTTCCCCTCCCTGGCCCTCAGAAGAGTAGAGAGCGCATGGGAAGTGCAGAGTCAGCTGTGGGAGGCAGACCCCGTGTCCTTTCCAGTCTGCACCCCGGCTGCTCTGGGGCTTGACAGGTGGCAGCCGGTGGAGCAAGGATGGGGCCCCGAGGGCTGGGGAGGAGCAGCCAGTGTCCCTGAAGTGGAACTGAAGGAGGACAGCAGCCCAGGGCCCTCGCTTTCCCCAGCCCCAGACCTGGCCCTGGCCCTGGCCCTGGCCCATCCTGGTGGAGAGAGGGAAGAAGTCCCCTACGGAGGCTGATATACGATCGTGAAGCCTGCGCTGCCCGAGGGGTCTCATCGATGGGGTGTTGGTGCAGGTGGGAGCCCTGTTCCACAGATAAGACGGGGACTCGAGGCGGGCCCACGATGGTGCGGCTGCAGGGGCAGGGTGGCCCCTTCCCTGATGCCTGGGGCCTCTCCCTCTTGTCTCCCGCAGAGAGCCTTCTCCATGGACGACCGCATTGCCTGGACCCACATCACCATCCCGGAGTCCCTGAGGCAGGGCAAGGTGGAGGACAAGTGGTACAGCCTGAGCGGGAGGCAGGGGGACGACAAGGAGGGCATGATCAACCTCGTCATGTCCTACGCGGTGAGCTGCACGCCTGGGCGGGGTGGGGCGCATTGGGGTATGTTGGAGCACGTCGGGGCTATGCCGCCCCACAGACACCCTTGTCTCTTTCCTGGAGGCACTGAGCCCATAAAACAGCAGGGCTCACGTTCTGAGGACAGAGGGCAGGGGCCCTGGGTGGTTTGGTGGCAGAGAGGGGCTGCCCTGCCCACTGCTCCTGCCCATGTTCTCTGTCTGGGGAAACAGCATAGGGGTTGTTTGTGTTCCTAAGATGAGCCAACCCTTTGTGGTGGTCTCCACTGCAGGCCCCTGTGTCCTCGGAGGACCCCCACAGCCCTTCCAAGCTCTGCCCTTAGGGTCCAGCTGAGCAGCCCTCCAGGGTCTGAGATACAGCCCTGGGCCCTGCAGGACACCAGGCTCCTCCCCACAGGGCAGGCATTGGCCGTGGTGTGGCAGGGCATCTCTGGAGATGTCGGGGAAGCCTGGGGGCTGCTGTGCTCAGGGTCAGGAAGTCGAGGCCTGGCTGTGGGGCCAGCACGTCAGCGCCCTGGCTCCCAGCCATCTCCATTCTCAGGGCACCTGCAGCTCCTGGGGGCATCAGGAGGGCCAGTTAGAGGCTCCAAGACGCAGAGCTCCTGCCGTCTCGTCTGTATCATCAACCAGAGGATTTTCAGGCTGTTACTGAAAAATGGTGCTGTGGGAAATGCCAGGCAGATGTGACAGCAGAGAGGGTGCAGCAGAGAGGGTGCAGCAGGGAGGGTGCAGCAGGGAGGCTGCAGCAGAGAGGGTGCGGCAGGGAGGCTGCGGCGGGGAGGGTGCGGCGGGGAGGCTGCGGCGGGGAGGCTGCGGCAGGGAGGGTGCGGCGGGGAGGCTGCGGCGGGGAGGGTGCGGCGGGGAGGCTGCGGCGGGGAGGCTGCGGCAGAGAGGGTGCAGCGGGGAGGCTGCGGCGGGGAGGCTGCGGCGGGGAGGGTGCGGCGGGGAGGCTGCGGCGGGGAGGGTGCGGCGGGGAGGCTGCGGCGGGGAGGCTGCGGCGGGGAGGGTGCGGCGGGGAGGCTGCGGCGGGGAGGGTGCGGCGGGGAGGCTGCGGCGGGGAGGCTGCGGCGGTGAGGCTGCGGCGGGGAGGCTGCGGCGGGGAGGCTGCGGCGGGGAGGGTGCGGCGGGGAGGGTGCGGCGGGGAGGCTGCGGCGGGGAGGGTGCGGCGGGGAGGCTGCGGCGGGGAGGGTGCGGCGGGGAGGCTGCGGCGGGGAGGCAGCAGCAGGGAGCTGCTTTTCTGGGCCATCTTGGCTCCTCCCACCCCCTTTTTGTTAAAGCTGGGATATTTTAAATCATGTCCCGGCCGTGAGTGACGATGTGTAAATGTCTCATGACACGTCTTTAACAGACGCTTTCATACAAACACAGAACCATCATGACGCTCCAGTGATTTTACCTGCAGTTGACAGTTTCGAACTCAGAGACGACAGTGGTGCAGTGACTTATCCGCAGTTGACAGTTTCGAACTCAGAAGACAGCGGTGCAGTGACTTATCCACAGCTGACAGTTTTGAACTCAGAGACGGCAGCGGTGCAGTGACTTATCCGCAGCTGACAGTTTTGAACTCAGAGGCGACAGTGGTGCAGTGACTTATCCGCAGCTGACAGTTTCGAACTCAGAGACAACCGCGGTGCAGTGACTTATCCACAGTTGACAGTTTTGAACTCAGAGACAACAGCAGTGCAGTGACTTATCCGCAGTGGACAGTTTTGAACTCAGGAGACAGCAGTGCAGTGACTTATCTGCAGTGGACAGTTTTGAACTAAACTCAGAGACGACAGCAGTGCAGTGACTTATCCACGGTTGACAGTTTTGAACTCAGAGACAACAGCAGTGCAATGACTTATCCGCAGTGGACAGTTTTGAACTCAGGAGACAGCAGTGCAGTGACTTATCCACAGTGGACAGTTTTGAACTAAACTTAGAGATGACAGCGGTGCAGTGACTTATCCACAGTTGACAGTTTTGAACTCAGGAGACAGCAGTGCAGTGACTTATCCGCAGTGGACAGTTTTGAACTAAACTCAGAGACGACAGCGGTGCAGTGACTTATCCGCAGTTGACAGTTTTGAACTCAGAGGTGACAGTGGTGCAGTGACTTATCCACAGTGGACAGTTTTGAACTCAGAGTTGACAGCAGTGCAGTGACTTATGTGAAGTTGACACTTTCAAACTCAGACACCACAGCAGTGCAGTGTGGTTCCCCCCAGGCCGACTCGACACCTACACTGGGATGTCCCTCCTGTCACCATCCTCTCTCAGTCACATCCCAGTTAGAAGGGGGTCTGTAAGCCCGAGCCATGTCACCTCCTGGATTTGAGGAGGTGGTGCAGGGGTGGGAGCAGGGCCCAGCGTCCCCTGTGCACTCAGGGCTCGTGTAGCGAGGGTGATTCTGGGCTGGCATGGGGAGGGCGATTCTGGGCTGGCGTGGGGAGGGCAATTGTGGGGAGGGCGATTCCCGAGGTTCTGATGGGTGGATGTTCCTCCTTGACCCCGGGACCATCTCCGCTGTGTTTCAGCTGCTTCCAGCTGCCATGGTGATGCCACCCCAGCCCGTGGTCCTGATGCCAACAGTGTACCAGCAGGGCGTTGGCTATGTGCCCATCACAGGTGCGTGTGCTCCCTCCCTGGGTGCCTCTCCCCTGGTAGAAACCCCAGGGCCTAGGGCAGGTGCGGGAGGAGGGAACGGGGCTTAGAGCGCCGGGGTGGGGACGTCATCCATTCTAGAATCCTGTAGACGTGCTGACCGCACACAGATCCTTTCAGGCCAGGAAGCCAAGGCTTACGTTTGAATTTTGTTTGCATATCTAGAAAATAGAATTGTTTTTTTTTTTTTTTTCTAATTGTTGGCAGAAATGAGGTGAGTTGAAATTTTCAGAGATGTGGAAATGTGGCTTTGAAACCCCGTTGTGCCCAGCTCTGTGCAGGAGAACCTCACGCCCCTGTCAGGTGACACGTGCTCTGCACTGTGCCGTCGTGTCCGAACCTCACGCCCATTGGGTGACGCGTGCCCTGCGCTGCGCCGTTGTGTCTGAACCTCACGCTCCTGTTGGGTGATGCGTGCTCTCTACTGCGCTGTTGCGTCTGTTGTCGTGTGTCACTGTTAGGAGTGAGCAGCCTGTGGCTGCAGCAACACCAAGCTGGGATGTCGCTTTTCATGCTGTTGCATTTTCGGTCCAGCTGTGACTGTGGTAGCTGCTGGTGCAAGACCGGCCCCCACCATGGATGGGCCCAGCCGTCTTTAGCAGGCGGGGAGACCGCAGCCCCTGAGAGGAGGTGCTAGGGGGGAGCCTGTGGTCACCCTGGTTCTCCTGCTGAGGTGGCCTCTCTCGTTCTGGGGAGCTGGTGTCCAGGCAGAGCACTGGTCCCTCTGCACGGAGGGTGGAGGCCAGAGGCCCAGGCCATGGAAGTGGCCAAGTTGCGGGCAGGGCGCTAGGGATGCGTGGTGGTGTTGGGGGAGGTGGTGTTAGGGGAGGGTCTCGGGGCTGCATGAGGCCCCGGCTGCTTGTGCTCAGGGGCTGCTTTGGGGTTGGGGCGGGACAGAGCTGCTGGCAGGCGAGAGTGCTGTGAGGCCAGTGCTGGTGTCCAGCCCAGCTGGAGTGGAGAGGCCTGGTCAGCACCCCAGTCCTGCCAGCATCCTGCACAGATGCAGAAAGGCCACCTTGGGAGTCGGGACCTCGCCCTAGACCCACCTGATGTGGCCTGAAACCCAGCCCTGACGATGGGAAGGAGGAGACGGCACTGGGAGACTCTGGGCTGTCCACTGGTGTTCAGGACATTCTCGGACAAAACTGCCTGTGAGAACAGCATGGCCTCGCCCTCACTTGCTCACATTATAGACTCTGTTTCCATGTGAAGCCGCCCGCGCAGGTGCCAGGGCTGCCTTTCTCCAGAGGAAAGAGCAGAGCGTGTGTCTGAGAGGGCCTCTGTGGTGTCCAGTGTCTTAGAAAACCACCAGCCTGGGGGTGGGTGTGGGGGCTCATGCCTCTAATCCCGGCACCTTGGGAGGCCAAGGCGGGCAGATCGTGAGGTCAGGAGATCAAGACCATCCTGGCCAACACGGTGAAACCCCGTCTCTACTAAAAATACAAACAAATTAGCCGGGCGCGGTGGTGGGCGCCTGTAGTCCCAGCTGCTCGGGAGGCTGAGGCAGGAGAATGGTGTGAACCCAGGAGGTGGAGCTTGCAGTGAGCCGAGATTGCGCCACTGCACTCCAGCCTGGGTGACAGAGCAAGACTCCATCTCAAAAAAAAAAAGAAAACCACCAGCCCAGCAGAGGTAGCACCTGCACCCCGTCACCGAGGAAAGAATGCTTCCTAGGAGGTGACCACAGGTGAGCCAGAAACGCAGAAGCAGCCTTGAGGCGTTCAGAGTTAGAGGAGGGTGGGCATCTGGGTAAGTGGAAGAGCCAGCACCTTGGCAGAGAAACGGGGGCGAGCATGGGAGCCCCACAGCTGTTCCTGAGCCTGGAGCCTGGCCAGGGGAGCTCTGCTGCCCTGGGGGCCCTGATGCGCCCTGGCTGCCCCCCAGAGTGGCTCCTGGAGGTTCTGATTTGTAACTGGGACAGCCCAGAGCCGCCGTCGTGGGGTCAAAGTGCCTTCTGTGATGTGCAGTTCATGGGGCTAGTGAAGTTCTGTCTGGTTGTCCTGAGTTGGAGGCCAATGGCCAACCTGAAAGAACAGAGACCCAGGCCCTCCAGCTTCCTGAGGCTGGAAGTCGAAGCCCCGTAGGCAGGGCCACTCACTCGTCAAGGCTGTGAGGAGGATCCTCCCCGTCTCCTCCAACTTCTGGGCCGGGCGCTCTGTGGCTGTCTTTTTGGGGGGTGCAGTTCCATCAACTGGATACAGCGCCAGGGTGTATCTGGCTGAAAGAGCATTCAGATGACAGATAACATTGATTGGCTTACCTCTTTCTGGTTCCTATCCCTAATTCTCTTTGTAGATGCCTTTCAAGTTTGCTCTAAAACGTTTATTTTAGGAAAGGCTAGACAAACTTTGAAATTTTCTTTTGATAGACATTGTAAATTTTGGAACAGCCCCGCACTTCATAGAAAAGTTCCCAAGGAGATGCAGGAACATCTGCCAGAGCCTGTGAGGACTCGTCCACCTGACGCCCCACCGGAGCCCCCAGCCCCCATGCCCAGGCATGCGTTTCCAATAAGCAGGGGCGTCCCTGGCACAGTACGGCCATCTAGATGAAGCTGACACTGACGCGTTGGGGCTGTACCCTGCTTGGAGCCCGTCTGAGTCCGCAGCATCCAGGCCGGGGTCACTGGCCCTCCATGGCCTTGCCTCCCTTGGCCTGGAGGGGTCCCCATCTTGCTCCTAGGGTATGTTCTGGTCAGGGACCTGGTGGGGCTGCTGACGTGGCCTTGCAGGGTAGGGCTGAGTTTCCCCGGGGCTGCTGGCAGGGCCCCCGCATTTTACCCAGGCAGATGCCACCACCGCAGATTCCACCCAGCGCAGGTTTACCCAGTGCAGGGCTAGTGGTGTGACTTGCTCGTCCCTCACGGCGGGCTCTGCCTGGCTGTTCCCCGGGAACTAAAATATGTCCTGTGTGGGAGGCACCCCAGGACCACGTGAAGATCCCGCCCTTGTCAGCCCCTGAGTTTATCCGACTTCCCCAGCAATGTGGATTTACAATTTCCTATTTTATTTATTTATTTATTTATTTTAATTATATTTTAAGTTTTAGGGTACATGTGCACAACGTGCAGGTTTGTTACATATGTATCCATGTGCCATGTTGGTGTGCTGCACCCATTAACTCATTTAGCATTAGGTATATCTCCTAAACAATTTCCTATTTTATTTATTTATTTATTTATTTTAATTATACTTTAAGTTTTAGGGTACATGTGCACAACGTGCAGGTTTGTTACATATGTATCCGTGTGCCATGTTGGTGTGCTGCACCCATTGACTCGTCATTTAACATTAGGTATTTCTCCTAAACAATTTCCTATTTTATTTATTTATTTATCTTAATTATATTTTAAGTTTTAGGGTACATGTGCACAACGTGCAGGTTTGTTACATATGTATCCGTGTGCCATGTTGGTGTGCCGGACCCATTGACTCATCATTTAACATTAGGTATTTCTCCTAAACAATTTCCTATTTTATTTATTTATTTATTTTAATTATACTTTAAGTTTTAGGGTACATGTGCGCAATGTGCAGGTTTGTTACATATGTATCCGTGTGCCATGTTGGTGTGCTGCACCCATTGACTCGTCATTTAACATTAGGTATTTCTCCTAAACAATTTCCTATTTTTTTCCTTGGGTCAGAATCCCTTATGAATGTTATTTTTTCACTCAAATTATTCCAGATTTGGCCAGAGGGAGCCCCCTCAGGCGGGATCTTTGTTCTTTGGCCTCCTCTGATCCTTCTCTGGGCCCCTCCCTGCTTCCTGGCACTGCAGGAAGCCCCAGGCTCTCTGCATTTCCGGCCTTAGCCCTGGCGTTAGCTGTTTCTCCCAGGAGCCCTGGTTCCCATTAGGAGAACACTGCTTTTAGGAGCCTTTGAAGTATTTTTTAATTATCCTAGCAGTACTGTAGAGTGTGAATAAGGCACCCTTCTTCACTGGAAGCTGATGCCCTAATTTTCTTCTGAGTACCTGTGATCACAGCCCATCCTCCCGGCAGCCACTGCCAGCTGAAGGGCGAAGTCTGCGGAGACCTTGGAGAGGCTGGCGGCTGCGTGCTCAGGGCGTCTCGGGCCGACTAGGCAAGCATGGTGGAGTCACACCAGGGTTTTCTTCTCAGAAGTGGAATCTCAAAGTGCATCTTGGCCAGAGCATGTGTGTCGCCCACAGTTTCAAGTGTTTATGACTCACATGGTGGAGAAGCCTGTGCCGCGTGCTCTGCCTGGCTACGCGGTGCTGGCTGCGTGGCTTCGGGCCTGTGTGCACGCAGGGCGGCCTGGCCAAGCCCTCTGGTGAGACGGGGCTGCCGGAGTGGGCCAGGAAAGGAGAGCCCGGCTTCTTAGGGCCCTGCTTCTCGCCAGCCCCTTCAGCCGCTCGTTCATTCAGCTGTCGCCTGCTGATCGCTGCCCAGAGACCCCCGCACAGGGTGCAGGTCTCGGGGGCTCACTGTGCACATTAGGTGGGCTCAGGCCCCGAGAGCCTCCCGTGGTGTCTGAGCCCAGCTGCCACCTCTATGGAGAGTGCAAGCTGGAGACTGAGGGCTGAATGCTGGCTGAGCCCTCACGAGGACCGTCCACTTTCCTCAGTGAAAAACCAGAGTCCCCCACAAAGCAACTCAGAAGCCGGGGCGCTGAGGTCAGACCATCTCCTTCACAAAAATAAAGTGTGACCGCATCAGTGAGGAAGGGAGGCTGGAACACGAAGCACAGCTTGATTATTAAAGCTTTTACGCCATGATCATGGCCCGAAGAGAACAGTTTTAAGTTTTGATTTTTTTAAACAAAGTATTATTTTGATTACCAAATTAGATACTTTACAGATTTCAAATAATTCGTGGTAGGCATCATGTGGTTATAGGGGGTTTTTTAGCCTCAATTTTAAGGAAACATCTAGGCGTGAAGCATCTGGAGACCGCGTGGCCTCATGAAGCATGTTCTCTTCCACGGAGCTGCAGAGTGGACAGAGACTCTCCGCCAGGCTGGCAACAGCAGCCAACTGCTCAATTTCCCGTGCGTTCTTCGTGCGTGAGAGACCAGCGCGGGTGCCACTGGGCCTCAGCCCTGCCTGCACTGTCCCTTCAGCTGTCCCTGGCACAGAGGGGCACTCGGGCTGCAGCCACTGCCAGGGGTCTGCCCTGAGGGTCCCCACGAGACTGACAGGCGCTGAGGTGGAAGGTGGTGCCGGCCGCGCTGTCCTCTGGGGCCCTCCTCACTTTCCCTCCTCCTGTTGCTTTCCACCTCCTTCTGCTTGGTGGTGGGAGGAGAATCGGCCTGGAAAGTGGGGCGTCCGGCGCCTCCCCAGCCTGGCCCGCATAGGCAGCACCAGGGTGTGCATGAGCTCATTCTGTGCTCACCGTGGCTGCAGCTGCCCGTTGACGCTGTTTCCATCTGTTCCCTCGTGCACCTCCATTTCACACGGGCCTGGAGTGCTTCTCTCTTTTCTCTGCTGCCCCCACGTCCTCACCGGCGCAGTCCCTCCCGTCATCCTGGCCTGCGTCTCTGTGGGCACAACCCCCACTGGTTTCTGTGGAGCCAACCAGACCAGGACATGAATGCCCGTCCACAAAGTATGAAAGCAAAACACGCAGGTGGACGCCGCTGCTGGGATGGACAAGGGGGAGGCCCATAGAGAACGTGCACGCGGTGGCACCATGCACGGGAGCAGCCGGCGTTCGCAGCGCCTGTGAGTTCCAGAGAGGGCCAGCCAAGGGCTCACCCAGCGGCCCAGGCATGCTTCCCCTCGCACGTGGAATTCCAGCGAATAGGGAGTTTGCAGCTGAGCAGCACATGCCATTTAAAATACGAAATGGTTCCATTCAAAATGAGAATTGGATGCTTAAAAGTTTCCGAGACAAACTATCACATGGAACTCTCTGCTGTTGTGTTTATTAACCCGCTAACTTGGTCGCTTTGAAACAAAGAATCACGTAGGTTTTCTTCTTTGTGATAACGCTCTGTGGAGTGAGAAGCAGCAACAAGCCTTGGGAGTTCCGGAACAGTCTCTGAGCTGGACGGTCGTCCCCACCTGCTCTTTGGATGTCTTTCCACTGTGGTGCGAGACGTCTGGAGCCCAGGGCCACATGCCTTCAGCCTGAGCAGGGCTGATGCTCCCCTGCCCACCGGCGGCCGGGACTTACCATGCTGCGTGGTCTGAGATCAGGGCCTTCTCGGAGCAATTTTTCCTGAATGGAAAAGGGACAAGTTTTGGTTTTCCTGGGTATCCTTGTGTTTGTCAGTAGAGAATTTGATTTTGCCAAGATATGACAGCAGATTCACACGGCGTGAAGAACGTGAGGTGGGGCCTGTCCTGTGCTGCACATCCGTCCGCGTGCGTGCAGGTGGCTGGTGGGGCTGAGCGCGGCAGATGGCAGGGACACAGCAAAGCCGCCCATCACTCCTCCCAGGGCCGCTACAGGTGGGCTCTGGGCTGCCCCGGGCTCCCATGGCGTCCTCTCTGCCCACATTTTGGGGACTTTGCTCTCCGCCAGGCCCCAGAGCTCCTGGTCTGTCCTCCTGAAGTCCCCAGGCAGCCTTGACACATACGCTCACCGTTCCCGGAGGGCTTGATGGACACATCCGTGCTTGGTAACCAGGATGGGCCGGCTCAGGCCAGGCACATGGCCTCTGCCCTGCAGGAAGGAGGGGAGTGAGCCAGGCCACTGCCCCTCAGCCCACACCGTGGAAGCACCCACCTCTTCCCCCGGGGGTGCCTGCTCCCCAAGTGAGTGTGTTGGGGCCGTGCTGTTGGGATTCACTTGAGGGCCAGTCGGCGCCACATCCCCTCATTGTCAGCAGAGCAGGTTTCTCGGGACACCCCAGGCCGTGACGTCGCAGCGTCACAGCCACCGTCATCGATTTTGCAGCAGTTCCCCTCCTCCTGTCCCTTCCCCATCAGACTGGTAAAGGCTGGAGAGAGTGGGAGCACGGTGCCTCCGTTCCTCATGTTGCCACGCTGTGGGGAGACGTGTGGGCAGGGACAGGCGATGGCCGAGCCCCATTCCTCTTGTTGCCATGCTGTGGGGAGCTGTATGGGCAGGGACAGGTGATGGCCAAGTTCCTGCCCGCCTGCCAGCCGGGGCGCCCAAAAAGCCACGGGGATCCCAGGGGTCCCTCCAGGACAGACAGCGCCCAAGCCTTTGTCTTGTTTGAGGAAGAAGAAAGGGTGGTGAGGGTGGCCACGTCCCCACCTGGCCATGGTTCGGTTCGTTTTCCGTCATTGCCGAAAGGCTGATGAGCATGGGGATGATGCTTCCCCAGTGAGGTGAGGTGTCCAGTGGCCAGGACAAGAGGCAGGTGTGGGTGTGGAGGAAAGGTGGGCCTGGCCCTGAGAGAGCCGAGAAGCAGAGGAGGCAGGGGTGGGTGTGGAGGAAGAGTCGGCCTGGCCTAGAAGGAGCCGGGAAGCGGTGGCCTTCCTTGCTGAGGAGTCCTGGCCTTTGCAGCAGGTGCAGGAGGCTTGGTGGCAAGCCCTGTCTGCTCCGTTTACACCCCTGCAGGTCTTGTTGCTGGTGTTGGTTCAGGCCAGGATTGAAGTGGCTTCTGCTGCCTTTAGGATCCTCCAAGTGTAGAAAGGAACAAAAGTCCTATCCTAAGATTGGGGCTCTAGCGCTCCAGTGATCCTAGCTGGGAGATGGTTCGTGCTTTTAAAGGTGAATGAACGGGTGAGCAGTGAACCCTTGCACTGCTGCAGCTGCTGCTGCAGGAGGAGCTCTGTGCCTCGCTGGTCGCCGAGCCCCGCGCACGCTGCCTGTGCTCTGTGCCTCACTGGTCGCTGAGCCCCGCGCACGCTGCCTGTGCTCAGGGCTGCTCGTGGTTTTAGGGAGCGGCCACCAGGCTGGGAGGCGAGTCTTAAGTCCGGCCACACGGTGCCTTCAGGGGTGTGTGTGCTGCAGTGGCTGAACCGCCGTGCGTCTCCTGCTCGATAGATTGCATCTCAGTGTGTCCTCCCGCATCAGACATGGGGCGAGGGGCCTGCGTAGCTGTGGGGTGGAGATGCCAGGAACCCTGGACGGTGGCCCCAGTGCACTGAGGGTCCACTGTACACCGCACCTGCTGCCCCACTTGTTTGAGTTTTGTGAGCATTTTCTTGGTGTAGTTTGTATGTGTGTGTGGGGTTGTCATTCTGGGCATCGGCTGCAGCTTTGCTGAGGTCTTCAGTGCCTGTGGTGATTGTTCCCCACCGGCACACAGTTTAGTGACACACTTGCCAAGCTGCAAAAGCATCTTCTAGAATGCCTGATAAAGGAAGAGGCTCAGACCGTGCAGTGTTTGGATCAGCGGGCGTGACATTCCGTGTAGTCCGTCCCCAGATGCAGAGGACTCTGTGAGCCCACTGGTCAGTGAAGACGAGCGTGTGCAGTGCAAATTCACGAGTTCTGAAGGGATCAAAACACCACCCCCAGCCTGCTAGTTATAAAACAGACTCGGGTGAGATTTGAAAGATCAAACTTTGATTTTTATATGGAAGGAAGATGAGTTAGTGAAGGAGGCGTCACAGAGGGCCCTGCCCACCTTCCCCGTGGCTGTGCCTGGGGTTGCTGTTTGGGGGTTTGCCTTTCCAGGGTGTCTTGCGGGACTGGTGTTTGCTGAGACCCGAGGTGGCCCCTTCCTCAGGGAGGCCGGTGGGATGCGTTGTTTTCTTCCTTCAGCAGGAGCTAGTGTGGCACTTCTGGAACTTTCCGACGTTTTTACCAAACTTGATCTTTGCTTCCAGGGATGCCCGCTGTCTGTAGCCCCGGCATGGTGCCCGTGGCCCTGCCCCCGGCCGCCGTGAACGCCCAGCCCCGCTGTAGCGAGGAGGACCTGAAAGCCATCCAGGACATGTTCCCCAACATGGACCAGGAGGTGATCCGCTCCGTGCTGGAAGCCCAGCGAGGGAACAAGGATGCCGCCATCAACTCCCTGCTGCAGATGGGGGAGGAGCCATAGAGCCTCTGCCTCGATGCCGTTTTGCCCCCGCTCTTTGGACACGCCGACCCGGCGCTCCCCAAGGAATGCTGTCCCAACAAGATTCCCGTGAAAGAGCACCCGTGTCGCCCCCTCCCGTGGACTTCTGTGCCGCCCCGTCCACACCTGTTCTTGGGTGCATGTGGGTTTTCGGTTCCTGGCGGTCCAGGACGGGGCGGGGGCTCCCCTCCCATCTCGTGCTGGGAGGTCTCAGCGCGCTCTCCTGTCCCTGGGACGTGCGTCTCTCCTTCTCATGCCGTTCTGGAAAATGCTCTTGCTGTAGAGAGCAGCTGCTTCTGCCAGGGTGTTGGAGGTGGTGGAGCGCCTTCCGATTCCATTCATGGCATTTTGTGATGTGATGTAATTGGAATAGAGCTGTTGATTTAAGGCACACACAATCCCTCACACTGTGGGTTTTTTTTAGAACTTCCCAGACGAAAACTCACGCCCTTGCCCTAACGCGCTTTGCTGTGAGCCTGGCCCCTGCCCAGGGCTTGGGTCTGGTGAGCTGAGCAGCTTCCTGTGGATGGTGTGGGGCCGGCCTCTGGCCTGGCTCACCTGGCCACTGTCCAGCCAGCCTTGTGACAGACTCCGGCCTGAAGGCAGAATGAACCCACACCTGGAGTGAGGAAGGGGGCCTGGCACGGTTGGCCAGGCTCTGCCTGATTGCCAGCCAGCGGGCATCTGAAGCCGGGTCCTTCGCCCGCCGGAGGCTGCCGTCCGTCTCTCCTGCTGCGCTCGTGCCAGCTCCGTGGGTGTCCTCCCAGGGAGCTTCTCTTCTCAACAGGCCTTGCGAGGCTGGGGTGAGAGGTGATAGAGGCAGCACTGTGCATGATTCCGAGAGGGTGTGGTGGCACTGCCAGCCGACTGCTGACAGCTTGGGAGCTGCTGTGCCCAGGACGTGGGTTCAGCGTGGGCGAGGAAAGCCTGGCGAGCGTGGCCCTGTAAAAGCTTTCTGAGGCGGGAGGCGCTCACTTACCTCTGACTGCCTGGGCGCTGCGTGTAGCATCTTGGCCTACAGGACAGATTTTAGGTGACACCTGGTTATGACAGTCAGAAATTTGAGAAGCTTCTCACAAGTGATGCACTTTAAATAATCTGCATGCCATTGAGACACCTGCATGTCTGGTGTTTGTGGTTCAAGTGTCTTGCCGCCGGCCTTCGGATGTAAACCCACTGATAACGGACAGAAAGAGAATGCCCACAAGTGGGTCTTCTGTGGAAGATGCAGAAGGAGGAAGTTAGTGCTTACATTTTAGTCTTTTTCTCCCTCAAAAAAATAGGTTAAGTTTCAGTGCCAGCTAGAAAATACTGCTTTCTGCCATCGATTGGGGGTGGTTTTTGTCAAATATACTGTTGATAAATATTTATTTTTGTAAACTTGAAGTGTG
The DNA here is from genome assembly GCF_000001405.40 of Homo sapiens. Classification (NCBI taxonomy): domain Eukaryota; kingdom Metazoa; phylum Chordata; class Mammalia; order Primates; family Hominidae; genus Homo; species Homo sapiens. Next base: position 1,275,629 of record NC_000011.10, on the reverse strand, counting down.
TGGTGGCCGTGGGGGAGGGACATGCTGGCAGCAGGCGCCTTCTTCAGCTGTGGGTCCTAAAGGCCTTTGATCCTTTGAAGAAGAAAGACATGGTATTTGTTCAGCAGACGCCGACCACTCAGACGGAGGGGCCCCTGGGATTCCCTGTCTCAGATGGCCTGGTCTTACGCCTGTGTAGATTTCTTCTCCATTGGGAATGAAGGTGTCAGGCGGGACTGGAACGTTCTAGATGGTATGTTCCGTGATATTAACAACTCTAACCCAGGACAGACCACAAGCCACACTCAGAGGCCTCACTGTGCTGGGGGCTTCGGTGTCCAGGCGCCCAGGTGTGGCCACCAGCACCGGTTTCTGCCTTCGCGTTGCTGGGGTGCAGTGAGACTGCCACACGCGTGCACATGTGGCTCTGTGGGTGTCTCCTAGAGAGGACGTGGCCCCTGCTGCCAGCCCTTGAGCAGCCCGTGTGGGGGCCCGAGGGACCCACACAGTGGGGGCCAGCCTCGCTGGAGGGAGAGCAACCCTTTGCCGATGACCACGCTTGCCGCCATCTCTTAGTTTTCTTTTTCACAAGCGCTTTATTTTTTTAATAGACAAATCACATTTTGCAAGGCCTTTAATTAAATAAGATTCTTCTTTCCTTCATTTTATGCTTTATTTCCTGTTTGAAGGCTTACTGTAGAAGTGGCTTACTGTAGAAGCAGCTTGCTGAGCCCCTCCGAGCGGTCCCCAGAATTAGCTGGTTCACAACCCCCACCCTCCCCCGCCCCCGCCTGTGTCAGGTGTGGATGAGGTCGTCACACTCAGAAGGACAGGCTTGTCTGCCAGCTCACAAGGGGAGGCTGCAGTGGGTTTGGGAGCTGGGTTTAGGCCCCTGGTGTCTGAGGGCCCAGGCCTTGCCAGCCTCTGCTGCTCCTGCTCCTGGGTTTGAAGATGCAGGCCGATCGCCAGCTCCGTGGCAGCGGTCACTAAGGACAGCCTGACTGTGCCATCTTGGAGCCTCAGGCGGGGCTCCGGAGATAGAAGACAGGTCGCCGGAGGCTCCCCCTCCTCTCCTCTCCCCTCTGCAGATGCTCCCTGGGCGCTACCCTGCAGGGTGCCAGGCAGGAGTGGTCTCAGAACGTGCGCTTCTGATTATTTTACTGGGGTCCATTGTCCAGATTTTTCTTTGATTGTAAAATATATTTTTACTTTTTAGTCTTCTAATTTAATAAATGATCCATATAAAAATAGAGAAATAAAGTCCTTTAAGGGAAGGTTTACCATGTTTGTTCCCGAGTATTTTTTAACTTAATTCACAATACGCAGGAGTAACGAATCAGTCAGAATCAGAGTTCACTCGTCAACAGACTGGGAGCAGGAACCTTACACCTTCAGACCAAGCCTGGCCTTTGCTTCCCAGATTGAATTAGAGGAGGGAAGTCCCAGGTGCTCCTCCCTCAACAGTGGCAGTGGGCGTGGGTCTGCTCTTCCAGCCCAGGCACCCTCTCCCCACTGGGTGGTTCTGTGGTGCCTTTTCATTTCCAGGCCATTTCCATCTGGGAGTGAGCGTGGAACACGACCCCGTTCTGAGAGAGCCCACTGGGACCGTGGCACCCCCATCTCAGGAGTCTGAGCCCCTAGTGATGACTGGCTCATGCTTAGGGAGCAAAGCGCCCATAAATGTGAGCAGCACTCTAGAGACCCCGAGCCACCCTGGCACCCGGGCACGGACGCGTTGCTGGAGCGTCCATGGACACGGTGGGGTGTCTGCCCCCTCTCTGCTGCCCAACCCCCGAGGCATGCCCGCCGGTTCCCTGCCTCCACCTGAATGTGGCCTTTCTGCAGTGTTGACTCCACAGCAAACTTCCAGCCGTTACCTCTGTGGCTATGACTGATGGCATCAGTTCTTCTGTGGAAAAGACCCCTGGGCGTGGGACTCCTGAGCAAAGATGGACCCGCCTCCCCTGCCCAAATCCCAACCTGCTTCCTGGTGCCCTGTCCCCATCGCCGGGCGTCCCCATCGCCGGGCGTCCCCATCGCCGGTCTGGCCTCTCTGTCCCAGTGCTGTCTTGGTGCAGCTGCAGTTAGGATCTCTTTATTTTTTATTTTTTGTATTTTTATTTTTTAATTTTATTTATTTATTTATTTTTTTGTTGAGACAGGGTCTCACTCTGTCACCCAGGCTGGAGTGCAGTGGCGCGATCTTGGCTCACTGCAAGCTCCGCCTCCCGGGTTCACGCCATTCTCCTGCCTCAGCCTCCCGAGTAGCTGGGACTACAGGCGCCCGCCACCACGCCCGGCTGATTTTTTTGTATTTTTAGTAGAGACGGGGTTTCACCGTGTTAGCCAGGATGGTCTCGATCTCCTGACCTCATGATCCACCTGCCTCGGCCTCCCAAAGTGCTGGGATTCCAGGTGTGAGCCACCGCGCCCAGTCAGGATTTCTTTTTTTAGGAGCGAGTTTGAGCACAGCCTTGCATTCCGGGCCCGTGTTTCCCGTGGGGCTGCCTTTTTCTTTTGTCTCCTCGGCTCTTTTCACGTTATAGACGGTAACTGCGCGATATACACTGCACGTTCTTTCCCTGCTTTATCATTTGTTTATGTTGCTAATGATTTTGTCCCGTGTAAAATTTTCTTTTTTAATGTTGTCACGTGTTCATCTTTTTCCTTATCGTTCCTGGATTTCTGTTTATCATTAGGAAAGTTTTTCCACATTCAGGTTTGAAAGGCTCTTCTCTCACGTATTTTCCTTTTTTTTTTTTTTTTTTTTTTTGCCCTTCATCACGGACCCCACTGGAGGCACCAGGCCCGCTGCGCAGGATGGACCGACCCTCACTGTGCGGCGCGTTCGCAGCCCCCGGATCCCTGGGCCCGGCCTGGCCTTCCCGGCACCCCCTCCTCCTGCATTCCCGCAGGCCTGGCCCGCGCCCGGCTTCTCCTTCTAGAGGCTTCCTGGCTGTTCGTGTTGGGACTTACCAAGGAACTTCTTCCGGATAGGCTTGTTCAGAGCTCATTTAATGAACTCGGGGAAAGTAGCTTCCCACGCGCGCATCCATCGTGCGGACCCCCCGGGGGCCGCTGCGCTGAGGGGTGAGGGGGTCGCTGGCCGCCTGCGGGTCCCTGAACTCCGGGGGTTTCCAGCCTTCTCGAGGTTTCCATGGTTACCTGGCTCCGAAAGAGACGACTTCTCTTTCCCTCCACCCTGCCGCAGCATCCCAGGCCCTCGCTGGGGGATGAGATTGGGGAGGGGCGGGGGGGTGTGCAGGGCGGGGGCGGGGGGGGTTCTAGGGCCCTCCTCGCCTCCCCACCCAGACACGGGAAGCGCCCACCCTGGGGTGCTGCAGGCCGGGGCGCCGCGGGTGCCGGTGAGAGGAGCAGGGCCGGTCCTGGGGACCCGCTTCGGGGGTGGGAAGGGGCTGCGAGGCGGGGTCCTGCTCCCTCCCAGCGGAAGGCGGCCTGGGACCCAGTCAGACCGCGGTGCATCCCAAACCTCCCAGCGACCCTTGGTTGGAGAAACGGGCAGAGACCC